>NC_000010.11:99688549-99991580 GCF_000001405.40 Homo sapiens | reverse complement strand
AAAATGATATGAAGACCTTGAAAACATTGTACTAGGAAGCCAATCACAAAAGACCACATATTACATGATTTCATTTATATGAAATGTCCCAAATAGGCAAATCTATATATAGAGAAAGTAGATTAGTGTTTGCCTAGGGCTGGAGAGGAGAGGGGATGTTGTGGGGAAATGGGAAGTGACTGCTAGTGAGTATAAAATTTCTCAGACCGGCCGCGGTGGCTCACGCCTGTAATCCCAGCACTTTGGGAGGCCGAGGTGGGCAGATCACGAGGTCAGGAGTTTGAGACCACCCTGGCTGACATAGTGAAACTCTGTCTCTACTAAAAATACAAACATCAGCCGGGCATGGTGGCACGTGCCTGTAGTCCCAGCTACTCAGGAGGCTGAGGCAGGAGAATCGATTGAACCCGGGAGGCAGAGGTTGCAGTGAGCCGAGATCACGCCACTGCACTCTAGCTTGGGCAAGAGAGTGAGACTTCATCTCAAAAAAAAAAAAAAATTCTTTATGAGGTTTTGAAGTTCTAAAATTGATAGTGATAATGGTCACACAACTCTGAATATGCTAAAAACTCATTGTACACTTTAAATGGGTGAATTGTATAGTATGTGAATTATGTCTCAATAAACCTGTTTTTAAAAAATGAGATGAAGAGAAACAACCAGAATAATGATGTTGCTTAGAATATCTTTGCCTTCACCTGGAAAAAGCTATATATATATATATATATGTGTGTGTGTGTGTGTATATGTATATGTGTATATATATATATGTGTATATATGTGTGTATATATGTGTGTATATATGTGTATATATGTGTATATATGTGTATATACATGTGCATATATATGTATATTTGTGTGTATATGTGTGTATATATGTGTGTGTATATATATGTGTGTATATATGTATATGTGTGTATATATATACACTTATACACACACTGTCTTTCTTGTCCTTTTTTTTTTTTTTATTCATTAATTTGGGGTGTTTAGTCATTTGCAACCAATCCTATTTTTTATTTTTTTTTTTGAGACAGGATCTGGCTTTGTCACCCAGGCCGGAGTGCAGTGGTGTATCTCAGCTCACTGCAACCTCTGCCTCCTGGGTGGAAGCCATCCTCCCACCTCAGCCTCCCGAGTAGCTGGGACTATGGTTGCACGCCACCATGCCCAGCTAATTTTTGTATTTTCAGTAGAGATGAGTTTCACCATGTTGCCCAGACTGGTCTCAAACTCCTGAGCTCAAGCCATCTGCCCACCTTAGCCTCTCAAAGTGCTGGGATTACAGGCATGAGCCACCACGCCTAGCCAGCCAATCCTAATTTTAACCATTGTATCTGCCTACTAAAAAATCTTCAGGTGCCGCTAATTGCCCAAAAAACAAAACCCAACCT
Organism: Homo sapiens; assembly: GCF_000001405.40. Taxonomy (NCBI): domain Eukaryota; kingdom Metazoa; phylum Chordata; class Mammalia; order Primates; family Hominidae; genus Homo; species Homo sapiens. The sequence goes on along the minus strand of NC_000010.11, from coordinate 99,990,186 downwards.
TCCTAACCTGGAAATAAGTCCTGTGAAACCTCATGTACCTCTGTGGGAAAGAATAGTGTGATCACTGGGAATGTGAATGTACGTTTTGATGTATAAATTAAGACAGTTCAGTATGTTAAACCATTCATCATGCAAATATTTACGGAGGGCTTACTGTGTATCAGGCAGAACTCTAGGTGCTTGATTGACATCAGTGAATAAAATAGACAAAAAGAATCCCTGCCCTGTAGGACATACAGGAAACAGGGATGGATCCAAAAGAGAATAGTTAACTCAGATGGTAAGAGTTATGTATGGGTTTAATAGAAGAGGGGGCAGTTTAATAGAAGAGGGGGTACATAGCAGTTTAATAGAAGAGGGGGTACATAGCAGTTTAATAGAAGAGGGGGTACATAGCAGTTTAGCTGATCTGAGCTAGACTAGGTTGAATCCTATAGTCTTCCATTTGGGTTCAAGTCTGTTTTTTCTTTTTTTTGAGACAGAGTTTCGCTCTTGTTGCCCAGGCTGGAGTGCGATGGCGCGATCTCGGCTCACTGCAACCTCCGCCTCCCAGGTTCAAGTGATTCTCCTGTCTCAGTGTCCCAAATAGCTGGGATCACAGGTGCCCACCACCACACCTGGCTAATTTTTGTATTTTTAGTAGAGATGGGGCTTCACCTTCTTGGCTAGGCTGGTCTCGAATTCTTGACCTCAGATGATCCACCTGCCTCAGCCTCCCAAAGTGCTGGGATTACAGGCGTGAGCCACTGCGCCTGGCCTCAAGTCTGTTTTTTCTTGTCTTCATTCTGGGGCCCAGGCTAAAGAGCCAGGGGCTTTCAGGGCATGCTCTTCTAATGGCAGATTACAGGAGCACCAGAGGACAGGCCAAACCATAAAATAATGGCTGAAAGCCTGTGCTTATGCCATCTCCACTCCACTCCAAGTCCTACCAAAATGTGACAGGGAAACATACTCTGCCTGTAGTGGGAGGCACTGCATGATTACACAGTAAAGGGTATGGATATGCAATTCTATATTTGTATACTATTAATGATATACATAATGATATACATTATTATACACATATAATTACACATCTTGTAAGGATATATAATTCCTACAAGAGGGTGAGGATTATTGAATAGCAGTTCTGTCTACTAGCGTATATATTATAAGAATAAGAAGTAGCTGAAAAAGTTTGAATATAGAGGTGAATGGACATGGGTATAGAAAGGGCTAAAAGTTGGCTGGGTGCAGTGGCTCACGCCCATAATCTCAGCACTTTTGGGAGGCCGAGGCAGACAAATCACTTGAGATCAGGAGTTTGAGACCAGCCTGGCCAACATGGTAAAACCCCATCTCTACTAAAAATACAAAAATTAGCCGGGTATGGTGGTTCATGCCTGTAGTCCCAGCTCCTCGGGAGGCTGAGGCAGGAGAGTCACTTGAACCCAGGAGGCAGAGGTTGCAGTGAGCCAAGATTGAACCACTGCACTCCAGCCTGGGTGACAGAGCAAGACTCCGTCTCAAATAAATAAATAAATAAATAAAAATAAAAATAAAATTGTCAGAGATATCAAGATATTGCTAGAGGAGTGGGGACAAATTGTGAATTATGGTGGTTAAATGATGCACTGATCTTTGTCTCGTTTCAGTGTTGCTAGTATGAATTCTAATTCATAACACTATGGTGTAAAGACATTAGATATTTACTTATCTAATCTCATTTTACCTATTCTAAGCTCCCCTCTACCTGGCTATTGGAAAACTTAATTTTAGGTATCATTGGAGCCCTTCTTCCTTTCCTGTACCCAGTGGGCCAGGCACGAACAGAGCAAGACTAACCCTTATATGCAAATCTGACAAGGACATTTAAAGAAAAGGGAGTTATAGACTAATAACCCTTGAGAGCACAGGTGTAAAAATCTGTAACAAAAAAGTACCAAATTGAAAATTGAAGTCTCTAAAGAGGATAATACATCATAAGCAAGTAGAATTTATCCCAGGAATGCAAGGTTGATTTAACATTTAAACTTATGACATCAGAATAAAGGGGGAAAATGGTCATCTCATTGGACGCAGGAAAAGCATTTGATAAAATTCAACAACTATTCATGATTTTTTTTTTTATTAAGCAAAATGAAACACTGCAGAACTGGTGTGAAGTTGTGAACTATTTCCCCCGCCTGCCTCTGAGCAGGAATCCCAATGATCAGACATGCTAACTGCCTAGATGGCCCCGCAAAAGTCTGTGGAGTCTCTAGGACATAGTTAATTAATCGACCTGTGATCATATGCATTTGCTAATTGTTAGGAAGTTAGTAGTCCAGTTTATATCAACTACCACATGCTACTGTTAGTTTCTGTATCAATTTTGTAATATTATTAAAATATCCTTTTTGTTCTCTCTCATAGCAGTCTGTAATATAAATCTCCCACCTGTTTCTTTCTCCTTTCATCTTTTTTTTTTTTTGACATGGGGTCTTACTCTGTTGCCAAGGCAGGAGTGCAGTGGCATGATCTCAGCTCACTGCAACCTCCACCTCCCCTGGGTTCAAGTGATCCTCCTGCCTCAGCTCCCAAGTAGCTGGGACTACAGGTGCACACCATCATGCCCAGCTAATTTTTATATTTTTAGTAGAGACAGGGTTTTGCCATGTTGGCCATGTTGGTCTCGAACTCCTGACCTCAGGTGATCCACCTGCCTTGGACTCCCAAAGTGCTAGGATTACAGGCGTGAACCACTGCACCCAGCCTCTCCCTTATCCCAGCTACTCTTATCTTATCCCAGCTACTCTTCGTAATGTTTTATCCCCAGATTCATGGGTTTTCATGTGGATATATTATTTTCTTTTTCTTATTTATTTGTTGTGGAGATGAGATCTCACTATGTTGCCCAGGCTGGTTTCTAGCTCCTAGCCTCAAGTGATCCTAGCCTCGGCCTCCCAGAATGCTCGGATTACAAGCATGAGCCACCCTGCCTGGTCTTATTTTCTTTACATGTCATGTTAGTGCCCCCATCTCCTGTTAGAGATTTCTTTTTTTTTTTTTTTGAGATGGAGTCTTGCTCTGTCGCCCAGGCTAGAGTGCAGTGGCGCGATCTCAGCTCACTGAAAGCTCCACCTCCCGGGTTCATGCCATTCTCCCGCCTCAGCCTCCCGAGTAGCTGGGACTACAGGTGCCCGCCACCACACCCGGCTAATTTTTTTGTATTTTTAGTAGAGACGGGGTTTCACCGTGTTAGCCAGGATGGTCTCGATCTCCTGACCTCGTGATCCGCCCGCCTCGGCCTCCCAAAGTGCTGGGATTATAGGTGTGAGCCACGTGCCCGGCCTTAGAGATTTCTTTTACATGAAGTGAACCTTCCCACTGTTGAATTTTGGGATGAGTTCTAACATACCTCAAGAGTCATAGACTGTTTTTACTTTGTTGTATTATAATTTCAGCCTCACTTTGTTGCTCATACTCTGGGCCTTGATATACTGTATGGATGTCCTAACCTCTGATTGTTTCAAGCTCACTTGCGTTTGTTGTCCGTTTTCTTCATTAAATATTATCCTGCATATTATCCTGCCTTGCAGGTTTTTTTTTTTTTTTTTTTTTTTTTTTTTTTGAGACGGAGTCTTGCTCTGTCTCCCAGGCTGGAGTACAGTGGCACGATCTCAGCTCACGCCTTGCAGTTTTATATCTGGGGCTTTGTACTTTTTCTTTTCTCTTTTTCAAAATTCAGCTTAAAGTAATTGGAATCATTTTGGCACATTTCCCACCAAATAAATTCTCCCTTGCTTTTGTGAAGGGCAGCCGTCCTTTACCAGAACATATCATGGAAATACTGTTAGTCTCTGAACTAAATTTTTTTTTCCAGAGATGGGGTCTCACTATGTTGCCCAGGCTGGACATGAACTCCTGGCCTCAAGCAACCCTCCCACCTTGGCCTCCCAAAGAACTGGAATTATAGGGACACACCACTGCATCTGGCTAAGAACTAACATTTTAAATCAGAACTTTAATAAATTAATGTGGGTCAAGATTTTCCATGAAATAGCATTAACTTTACTCATGAACATTCCCCTTTGCTTTCTTGAATGGATAAGAAAGATGTATATCCTCTGTGACTTAGAGAGGGAAAAAAGGCTTGAACATCTAGGACATTGAGAGGCCAGGCACCGTGGCTCACACCTGTAATTCCAGCACTTCAAGAGGGCGAGGCAGGCGGATTGCTTGAGCTCAGGAGTTTGAGACCAGCCTGGCCAACATGATGAAACCCGTCTCTACAAAAAATATAAAAAATTAGCCAGGCATAGTGGTGCATGCCTGTGGTCCCAGCTACATGGGAGGCTGAGGCAGGAGGATCACTTGAGTGCAGGAGGCAGAGGTTGCAGTGAGCTGAGATTGCGTCACTGCACTCCAGACTTCACTTTCTGACACCTCTCATCCTTTCATACAAAGAGAAGAAATTATTCATTTAGCCTTCGTGTTGTCTTGTATGAGCTCTTGTATTGTCAAGGACAAGAGAAATGTGCAGTTGCTTTTAAGGTTAGATATTCCTTCTCATTGCTGGGACTTGAGATTTTTTAAATGGATTCTCATTCCCAAAAGGTAATGTTAACTGGAGAGTTCAGTTCCAAGACATAAGGATGCTCGTGGAAGCATATTCTTTTGAAGGAACCTCCACCTGACAGCCCCTACAAAAAGGGAACCCCTTTCCCAGCTCTTCCCAGGTAGGTACTCTCCCCTGGGTGGCTGAGCGAGACCCTGACTCAAAAAAAGAAGGACACTGAGTTCTTTTGACACCATCTAAAGAATCAGCCATTCATTGGGTTTGCCGTGTTGTGGCATATTCTCTGGTTCATCTTGAAATTATATATACATTTTATTTTCAAGTATAGTGGCTGTAGTTTCTATAAAAGGCAAGCAGTACTGCAGTTTTTGTTGTTGTTTGTGTAAAGCTGCTCGTCCCTGGTTTTCCATGGTGCTCAAATGTTGGTACTCCTTAAAATGATCTAAAATCACCTACCCTGCTAATGATCTTAGCTATTTTTAACTCCAATTGGACAGTTTGTTTCCTCCCAATTTTTCTTCCTCAGAATCTTCAGTTTTCTAAATTCTTTTCCTGATTTTTCTTCCAAAATATCAAGAATATTTTATACCTTAAAATAGGTTGAGGCCAGGCACAGTGGCTCATGCTTGTAATCCCAGCACTTTTGAGAAGCTGAGGCTGGAGGATTGCTTGAACTCACGAGTTCAAGACCAGCCTGGGCAACATGATGAAATCCTGTCTGTACACAAAAAAGGGAAAAATTTGTAAATTCATTATCTGGGTGTGGGGGCACATGCCTGTAGTTCCAACTACTTGTGAGGCTAAGGTGGGAGAATCACTTTAGCCTGGGAGGTCAAGGCTGCAGTGAGCCGTGATCATCACTGCACTCTAGCCTGGGCAACAGAGTGAGACCCTGTGTCAAAAAAAATAGGTTGAAAGGTAGAGAAATTCCTCATGTCTTTTTAAATCTTCTGTAGCAGAAACACAAGTTTGTGCTTGAAACAGATAAGAAAAAGAAACAAGATGCCTGCCTTGCAGATCTCACTAACATTTGTCCTCACAACTTGGAACACTGGGTTAATAAATTTTCTTAGTGTCTTCTGGAAACTGTCTTAAAAACTGCGTGTTTTTACACGTTTATTGTGTTCTTTGTTATCTATAGCCACACCCTAAAGTTTCACTTTATAGTTTCACTTAATCTGCACGTCTGTAACTGCTGTCATGTGTATTACATCTGCAACATAGTGGAGCTGTTAATTTTAATATGTTGCTCAGCTACTTAGCTCTGACATGTCCAGTTTATTTAGTTATGAGTCAGTGGTTCTTAAATTTCCACCCATAATTGAGATTCATGCATTATTTAAGAAATGTGAGTCTGAGAGGATACTTAGGAACTCCTAGGTTAACCCATTTGAAAATATTTCTTGAATGTAAATTTCCTCAAACTTTGTAGGTCCTGAAATATTAATCTTGGGACCTCCCTCCACCAGTGCAGTTTCATTAAAAAGACAAAACTGATGTGGAGATATAGAAGTAATTTTTTAAAAAAAGAGCTAAAAATGGAAGGAAAACAGCAGTTTAATATGGGTGGCGTAGACGCTGTAAATTAGTTAAAACTACTGTACTGTGAGAGTCAATCCTGAAGCTTTCTTATTTTAAATTCTGTCTTTCGTAAAACAAAAAAAATTTATAGAAGTGTTCGGGTGGTTTAGATAAGGGTTGCTCAGTTTAAATCCTGAGAAGGACTGAGGCGGCCTTCCACGATTGGTGGAAACTCTGACATGTATCCTGTTCCATCTGGAGTTGTTGCCTTCCAACTTGGGCCAAGTTTGAAATCAGCAAAGTGTTGCAATATAAGTAGTTTCAGACGGTATAGGACAGCAGATTCCTTTACTTTCCTACCCTAGTTTCTCTGGTCAGCTCACCTAAGCCAGCGCAGGGTTTTCATTTGTTCTTCCAGTTCGACATTCTGTACCCTGTGGAACCAGAGTCCGTGTGGTGAGTCAGTGCTGCGGTCCTGGGGGCACGCAGGGTAGGAGGCCGCTGTTGAAGAGCAGATGGCCCAGGCCGTGCTTCTCAGCCATGTGGGGATGCTGCGGCCAAGAGGGGTCCTGCTTTTCCCTCATCTGTTGCTAGTTATCTGAAGAATCTCTGAGGAACCTGGCTGTGACTGCTGACCTTCTGTCCAGAGTGAACTCCAGCGACATAAACCATAGGAGGAAGTGCTGTTTTCCTAGCTTCTCTCATTTCCTTCCTTCCTGAAGCAGATTTAGACTTCATTTTCTGACACCTCTCGTCCTTTCATGCGAAGGGAAAAAATTACTCATTTAGCCTTCGTGTTGTCTTGTATGAGCTCTTGTATTGTCAAGGACAAGAGAAATGTGCAGTTGCTTTTAAGGTTAGATATTCCTTCTCATTGCTGGGACCTGAGATTTTTTAAATGGATTCTCGTTCCCAAAAGGTAATGTTTTCTGGAAAGCAGTTCCAAAACATAAGGATGCTCATGGAAGCATATTCTTTTGAAGGAACCTCCGCTGGACTGCCCCTACAGAAAGGGAATCTCTTTCCCAGCTCTTCCCAGGTAGGCAGTCTCTCCTGGTAGAGTAAGCAAGAAAGGAGAGACAGCTGTTTTTTGTCTTTCAGTTAAGGAAACCCCTTCAGAAGTTTTGTTCTGGGACCCCAGAATTTGAATTTTTTTTTTTTTGGCAGGGTCTCGCTCTGTTGCACAGGCTGGAGTGCAGTAGTGCGATCAGCTTGCTGCAACCTCCACTTCCCAGGTTCAAGCAATGCCACCTCAGAGCTGCTCCCCCATACCCCCGCCCTGAGTAGCTGGAACCACAGGTGTTCACCACCACGTCCAGCTAATTTTTATATTTTTGTAGAGACAGGGTTTTGCCATGTTGCCCAGTCTGGACTCGAACTCCTGGGCCCAAGGGATCTGCCTGTCTTGGCCTCCCAAAGTGCTGGGATTACAGGCGTGAGCCACCGTGCCCAGCCTCACCAGTGCTTTTTGAAAGAATATACTGACTAATTTAGGGGAGTACAGGGAACCCAGGCATTAATATTTTTCTAAATTTTTTTTAAACCTTCAAAATGTATGTCTCCAGTGCTTACCTCTCACCTGGATTTAGAATGGTGGATTTAGGGAACTATTTTTATAGTTTTCCATATACTTTGCTCAATTCTTTATTTTATTTTATTATTTATTTATTTATTTATTTTTTGAGACAGGGTCTCGCTCTGTTGCCCAGGCTGGATTGCAGTAGCACGATCTAGGCTCACTGCAGCCTCCACTTCCTGGGCTCAAGTTATCCTCCCACCTCAGCCTCCCCAGTAGCTGGGACTACAGGCGTGCACTACCACGCCCAGCTAATTTTTGTGTTTTTATAGAGACAGGATTTCACCATGTTGCCCAGGCTGGTCTCGAGCTCCTGGGCTCAAGCAATCCACCCTCCTCTGCCTCCCAAAGTGCTGGGATTATAGGTGTGAGCCACTGCGCCTAGCCATCCCCATTCTTTTCATGTGTTGTTCTCATAAATCCAAGTCATCCTTTTGGGCGTGTATCACTCAGGGGCCCAGCAGAAAACAGAAGGCACACTCAAATTGGGTAATTGGAAGAGGTCCAACTTAAAGCAGAATGGAGAAGTTTAGGGAAAATAACAAAGGATTGTACCATATGTCACGGCTAGCTGGAGAGCCACCCTGCTCCTGAAGAGGTGGGGGATGGAATGGTTACCTGATGCAAGAGAAAGCTGTTTTGAGGAGGTCTTCATATGGTAGCTGTGGTGTTTAATAGAGCAACGCAGCCAACTCACAACCCAGCAGGGAGAGAGCCAGGGGAGTAAATATCACAATCTCACTGTCCCTCTGCCTTCAGACCTCCTGCCAGTGCCATCCATTGGCTGAACCCAACTGAAAGCCAGAGATGGGGGAGGCCTTGTTCAGTTCTGGTGGGCCAGCCTCCGGGAACACAGGGTAGGCTGGGGCAGACCTGAAAGGGCAGATTTTCGGTATCCTCAATCTGTGCCAAGTTCAGACTTTGATTCCAAAGGCCACATTAGAAATTACTTATTAAACTGTTTGATATCGGTGTCTATCAGGGTAAAAGTTTATAGTTTGTGATCTCAGGAGATTTTTTAATGAAGTATGTCCAGACTTGAAGATATGTTGCTTAATAAAAATTACTGGCCAGGCACAGTGGCTCATACCTGTAATCCCAGCTCTTTGAGAGGCCAAGGCGGGCAGATCACTTGAGGCCAGGAGTTTGAGACAAGCCTGGCCAACAAGGTGAAACCCCATCTCTACTAGAAATACAAAAATTAGCTGGGTGTGGTGGTGCATACCTGTAATCCCAGCTACTCAGGAGGCTGAGGCACGAGAGTTACTTGAGCCCAGGAGGTGAAGGTTGCAGTGAGCTGAGATTGAGCCACTGCACTCCAGTCTGGGCAACAGAGCTAGACTCCGTCTCAAAAAATAAAATAAACATTACTGAGTCCTCCAGGCCTTCTTTCACATTCACGTTTTATGACATACCTTAAAATTTTTTTTTATTGTGGTAAGTGTACATAACATAAAATTTACCATTTTAACCATTTTTAAGTTTACAGTTTTGTGGCATTAAGTAATTCACATTGCTTTTCAACCATTACTACCATTCATCTCCAGAACTTTTTTTATCTTCCTAAACTGAAATGCTGTACCCATTACATACTAACTCCCTATCTCCTCTTCTCGCCCCTACCCCCTGGCAACCACCATTCAGCTTTTAATCTCTTATGAATTTGACCCCTCTGTGTACCTCATTCATGCAGTATTTGTCCTTTTGTGTCTGGCAGATTTCACTTAGCTTAATATCTTTTTTTTTAAGACAGGGTCTCACTCTGTGGCTCAGGCTGGAATGAGTGGCACAAACACTGTTCATGGCAGCCTCAATCTCCTGGGCTCAAGCAACCCTCCCACCTCAGCTTCCTGAATAGCTGAGACTATAGGCACCTGCCACTGCGCCCAGCTATTTTTTTTTTTTTAATTCTAATTTTTTGTAGAGTTGGGTTCTCACTATGTTGCCCTTCTGGGCTCAAGTGATCCTCTCCTCTTGGTCTCCCAGAGTGCTAAGATTACAGGCATTAGCCACTGAGGCCAGCCTTAGCTTAATGTCTTCAAGGTTCATCTGTGTTGTAGCACTTTACAGTGATACATATTGTAACTTTTTTTTTTTTTTTTTGAGACGGAGTCTTACTCTGTTGCCCAGGCTGGAGTGCAGTGGCCCAATCTTGGCTCACTGCAACCTCTGCCTTCTGGGTTCAAACGATTCTCCTGCCTCAGCCTCTTGAGTAGCTGGGATTGTAGGCATGCATCACCACACTTGGCTAATTTTTTTGTATTTTTAGTAGAGATAGGGTTTCGCCACGTTGGCCAGGCTTGTCTTGAACTCCTGACCTCGGATGATCCGCCTGCCTCAGCCTCCCAAAGTGCTGAGATTACAGGCCTGAGCCACCGCACCCAGCTCTACATTGTAAATTTTATTTCTGAATATGTTTTCTCTGATACATTTACTCTCATGGCTTTTAACTTTTACATGTCCAGTCCAATGTCTCACAAATCTGCAAGATGGTTGATATAAGAGCAAGGGCTGCAGGACTTAAGACATGGCAAATGAGTGGACCTGAGCAGGAGAGGTGGCATCATTTGGGGGAAGTACTCCAGGTGTGGAAAGTGTTTAAATATGTGGGACTGACCATGGAGGAAATAAACAGCAGTAAACCAAAAAACAAGTTCTGAGCGGACAGTGCCTTATGGGAGCTGAGACATTTCGTTTGGATGGGACTGCCCTGAATATTATTTATGAATGACAAGTGGAGTGGGACAAGGTTACACAAATCTGAAGTGGGGCCTGAAAACGGCGTGCTGTGGCCAGACAAGTTTAGAAATGCCAGATTGAAAAGGATTCTTGCCAAATTGTTTCAGTCTTTAATATGCTAATTTTAAAATGCTCCTCTAAGAAGGAAATATGGTTTATAGCCTTCCTGGAGTTTATCATGATCATGGAGCTCTTGTGTCTTGGAGCACAAAGATTAGCGTCCTCAGAACATGTTTTGGGAATTGGTGGGGACTAAACTAAGCTTCTTGGGTGCAGGGACTATAACTTATCTCCCACACAACACCAGGAAGGTTCCTGGACACATCATTGGAGCAAAGCTGGATTAATAGGTAACTGCCAAAGGCTTTAGTCCATAGAAAGTATTAAAATATCCTTGAGGCACAAAAAAAGTCACTGCAGATTTGAGTCCTTCCCCGACCCCCACATTGAATGGGTAAGACTGAGTGAGTGTCTCCTTTTGAGATTAGTGCTCGGGCTTTATTTTTTTCCCAGTTGGGTAGATACTTGGTGATAGGAGTTGAATTGCTTAGGACAATAGAGGAGACTCTAAACGCTACTGTCCGCCACCAACAGGATTAGAGAATAAATACCTAGAATGTTGGGTGAAGGGTCATCAAATGATTAGCTTACCCAGTCAAGCCAGATTTTTAGTTTGCATAGGGCTTTGGTTGATGCCATTTGGCTTGATAAATATTCATTGAATGTATGAATTATAGAAAATAGGAGGACCTGTAAATTCTCATCCAACTGTGTTATATATATAAATTGACATTTTAGAAAGATTAATCAGATTTACTGCCATTTTAGTGGGGAAAACAGAACTGCAATTCTGTTAAAATCCAGAATTTGTAATTCCTTGGCCAGTAGGGAGAGGAAAAAGGTACTTTAAAAAAACAAAAATAAAAAAAAACTGCTGGCCAGGCGTGGTGGCTCACGCCTGTAATCCCAGCAATTTGGGAGGCCGAGGAGGGCAGAGCACCTGAGTTGAGGAGTTCAAGACCACCAGCCTGGGCAACATGGCAAAACCTCACCTCTGTAAATAAATTAGCCAGGTGTGGTGGTACACACCTGTGATCGCAGATATTCAGGAGGCTGAGGTGGGATGATCACCTGAGTCTGGGAGGCAGAGGTTAGAGTAAGCCAAGATCACGCCACTGCACTGTAGCCTAGGTGACAGAGACCCTGTCTCAAAAAAGAAAACAACAACAACAAAAACCGTAAACAAATATTGGACTCTAGTTAAGATATATATGTCAGAGTTTGGTGGGAAATGTTTATGATTTATTTTGAAGTGCATCAAAATAAAAAATATATATATTTGAAATGCATCCAAAAAATAACACAAATTGATAAACGAATAAAGGGATAGATAATATGTGATAAAGTAACTGCAGTAAGATGTTAATGCTAGAATCTAGGTGGTGGGTGTAAAATTCTTTCAACCTCACTGTTTGAAAATTTTCATAGTTAAATGTTGGAGAAACAGAAAAATGGAAGTCTAGAGGATGTTGAAGGAAGAACCAATGAAGTTTAAGAAAAGTGATGTTTGCCATAAAAAGAACGTGGGCATGGGAATCAAACAGGCCTGAATTCGGGTTCTGGTTTAGCTATTTGTCAGCTAAAGAGATTGAGTAAATTGCTCAGTGGTGGTGCTGGGATTGGAATGCAGGCACCCTGGCTTTGGAGACTTGCTGTCTACCTTGCGGAGTCGTGAGGATTTAAGCTCCTAGATCAGTGTCTGACACTTGGTAGATAATCATACAATAGCTGTTGTTCTTAGTGTACCGTCTGCCATAGAGGATGAAGAAGTCCAAGACATTAATGCTTGACCTGGAAGATTTCTATGACATTGCTATGGCACTGTTGCCAGTGCCATACATAGATAGACAAGCTGGAAGGTAAAACTATTTTTGGGGAAGAGATGGTTAATTTAGTTTTAGGTAAGTAAAACTTGAGATTTTGATATGAATAGTTTCATATATTGTGACAGGTTGGATTATTGGAAAAAAATTTTTAAAAGATAAGAATAAAAAAAGAGTTTCATATATTTTCCCAAACTTCAACAAATCGTTTGTTCATCAAAAATCTGAAAATATTTTATGTGCCAGGCACTGCTGTAGACCAGTGAATGAAATAAATCTCTTCCTTCACAGAGTTTACATTCTAAAAGGGTTTGAAGAATTTTCTTTCCAAATATATCTATATTTCAAATGCAGAATGACTCCCTAAAGGTGGAAAGATAGGCGTTCACCAGCAAGGGAAGAAGATGGTGTTTTCATAGCAAATTTTTCTGCTGTCCCTGAAATCATGCCATATAAGCAGTAATTTCCTCGGTGTTCTCTCAAGCCCATCTGTGTTCTGATTTCCTCTGCAGTTCTTTTTACTTCTATCTGGAGTTGGTGGAACAGCTTATAGAAGCCATTTATGATTGTTTCAAAATATATGCTCAGGCTTCTAAAATGGCCCTGGCATGAATAAGAGTAGCTGCTTTTCATAGGGTATACAGGGCAGAGAAGACAGATGAGATTCGTCATATTATACATACTTTTGGGTCTCACACATGAATCATGTAATTTAGCGAGGCCGTGACTTCAGTACCCTTCTAGGGTGTGTGCTCCTCAGTGATTATGCACTCATTCCAATGGAGTAGGAGGTCAGTCAGTAAAAGTATTTATTGAGCCAGATTCTCCTCTGCTTCTGAGTCATTTTCTGGTAGAGTGAAAAGGTTCTCTGGGAGAAGCTTTAACTCTTTCAGATTACAAGCATTACTCCCTTTGTGTAATGGGGTAGTTCTCTAAGTAATTATATGGGGTTTATGCTAATTCTTTACTTGATATTTTAGATAATTAGATATATCTAGTCTGATAGATGAAATCTGAGAAAATGTAGTATAAGAAGAAAAATAGTATCTAATTTGGCCGAAGGTTAAGGAATAGTTTTAATAACATAAACATCTAGATGGCTAAGAAGTTTGCAGGACATTATGTGTGGTGTTTTTTTTTTTAAGAAAATACTTAGGACACCACCCTTATGTGGAAATCTGACATCTGGCAACTTCAGTCCTCTGGAAGACAGCCAGAAAGTAAGAAAGGGGCCTCAGTGCACATGAAAATAACTGTTGAAAAACTCTACCACGAACATGTGTCCTTTCCCACCACAGTAGAGTTTGTTAGCCTCGCATTTAGAGCTTGTTTACTTTTATTTATCTAGGAACTTTACATAATTTTGGTAGTATGCGTGTGGTCTCCCCTCCATAGCAGATCATAAACAGCAATATAGCAAGGGCGTGGAAAAGTTGACAGAGGAGAGCAGAGGGTAGGCTGACGTTGAAAGAGAAAGGCCTAAAAGATAGACAGTGCTGGTATTGTGTATCACAGCTTAATACAGTAATGTGTAGTCTTAATAATGAACTTGGACCCATCAGCCAAAGAGTAAGTCATGTTCAAGGTCTTCTAATAAAGAAGTCAGGGAAGTCTGGAGTGTGTCTATTTTTAAACAATCAAAGTTAACCAGGTTTTGACATGTTGAAATGGTAAGCTCCGTAGAGTTTATATGTTTGAAATAGCACATTCTCTGATGATGCTATATCAGTGACACAAATTTGAGCTTGCAGTTGATTATGGAAATGATGCTTTGTAATAATGACTAATGTTTATTGAGCAGCTACTATACCAGCCCTGACCTAGGTGCTTTCACACTGTTAGCATACTGGTTAAGGCTTTGGAGACAGACAGATTTGGGTTCCCATTACACCTCTGACTTACTATGTGACCTTGGACAGCTATCATCTCTCTGATCCCGTGTCCCCACCTGCCAAATGGGAACCAATAACATATGATAGGGTCCTTGCGAGGACTCAGGGAAGTACATGGTAAATGCATGTACCTAGGAAGTACTCAATGAATGTTAGGCACTGTTATAACTATAATAGTCTTGATGGTTATTATGAAAGTATGATTATCTCCATTTTTCTGGATGAGGAAACTGAAGCCCAGAGAGTTTAAGTAAGATGTCCAAGGTGAAATCGCTAATAAATAGTGGAGCTGGCCTGTGGACCTGGGTCTCTCTGACTACAGAAGCCTAGTGCTTTACATTCATATATGCTGCCTCTGCAGCATGTAATTATAATTAGATTTTTTTTGGTAATACTTAGAGAAAATGTGTTAGTAGCATCTGTGGGAAATACCCACTTACCACTTCTCTTTTCCACTGTGGACTCAAGTCGTCTTATTATAGACAAAAAGTCTATAATAAGTAACACAAAGATAACCTACTTTTGCTTGACAGTACAAATTAAATAGGTAATGTTTGTGTAGCATGATTTATTAACATCTTCTAGGTACTCCATATTAATATACTAAATGATTTATTATATGCCTAATATGTTTATCCACATCAGTGTTTTCTTGGATATAATTTTTTTTTTTTTTGAGACATAGTTTTGCTCTTGTTGCCCAGGCTGGAGTGCAATGGTGCGATTTTGGCTCACTGCAACTCCGCCTCCTGGGTTGAAGTGATTCTCCTGCCTCAGCCTCCTGAGTAGCTGGGATTACAGGCATGCACCACCACGCCTGGCTAATTTTGTAATTTTAATAGAGACGGGGTTTCTCCATGTTGGTCAGGCTGGTCTCGAGCTCCCTGACCTCAGGTGATCCACCCGCCTCAGCCTCCCAAAGTGCTGGGATTACAGGCATGAGCCACCGTGCCTGGCTGGATTATAAATTAACAGAGGTCAGGTATGGTGGCTTCTCCCTGTAACCCCCTGGCACTTTGGGAGGCCAAGGTGGGTGGCCCAGGAGTTTGAGACCAGCCTGGGCAACATAGTAAAACCCTGTCTCTACAAAAAGGTACAAAAAAAATTAGCTGGGCATGGTTATGCATACCTGTAGCCATATGTACCCAGGAGGCTGAGGTGGGAAGATTGCTTGAGCCCTGGATATCGAGGCTACGGTGAGCCACTGCTCTCCAGCCTGGGCCTCAGAATAGGACCCTGTCTCATAAATAAATAAAATTAACAGAGCTACCACTACCTTTTCTTTTTTTGTAATTAGGCACTTCATGCTTTTTGATGTGATGATGGTTGTATGTGAGATGGAAGGTAGAGTCCTCATTCATCTCTACCAAGACCAAATAAGTACTTGAGATGGTTGAAAATAGACTTGTACTTGGGAGGCTGAGGCAGGAGGATCACTTGAGCCCAGGAGTTCAAGGCTGCAGTGAGCTATTTTTGCACTCCAGCCTGGGCAACAGAGCAAGACCCCATCTCTAAAAAGAAAAGAAAAGAAAAACAGATTTCAGGCCTGGATACTCTGGTGATCTTCAGCTGCTCCTTTAAGAGACCTAGGGAGAAATGTAGCTGTCATCAAGGCTGATTGTCTACAGAGGGATGGATGTCCACTACTTATGTCCTCTCTTTCTGCTGCTTCAATACATACGTAGGTTCCCCAGCCACATGCATCAAGGTAATGGACACATCGTCTTATTACAGCACAGACACCGTAACAGTACAAGGATACTCCCCGGGGTTGGGCCACTGACTTCTGTGAACCAAAAACATATACTTGATCTGGCATAGGATGCTAAATCTTGTCTGGAGGTGCCATCTACATAGTCCTTTCTTCCTTTCTTACAGATTTTTACTTTTCTAACTTTTTTTTTTATAAAATAGAGGTGAAGTCGTGCTGTGTTGCCCACGTTGGTCTTGAACTCCTGACTGCAATTGATCCTCTAGCCTTAGTCTCCCGAAGTGCTAGGATTATAGGCATGAGCCATTCAATAGATTTTCCCTTTCCTTTTCCTTTTTCCTTTTCTGAGTCTCACTCCGTCACCCAGGCTGGAATGCAATGAATGGCATGATCTCGGCTCACTGCAACCTCGGCCTCCCAGGTTCAAGTGATTCTCCTGCCTCAGCCTCCCAAGTAGCTGGGATTACAGGCACCCGCCACTGTGCCTGACTGATTTTTGTGTTTTTAGTAGAGACGGGGTTTCACCATGTTGCCCAGGCTGGCCTCAAAACTCCTCACCTCAGGTGATCTGCCCGCCTTGGCCTCGCAAAGTGCTGGGATTACAGGTGCGAGCCACCGCGCCAGTCCCCAACAGGTTTTCCATCTAGGCCTTTGAGGCATAGTTCTGCTGCTGTTCTTCAGGTTGTGGTACATTTGTTTGCAGATAGTCTCAGTAGGTAGGAACCAGAATGCCCTCAGTTTGAGTTCTGGCCCTGCTGCTGTGAGCACTGTGATCTTGGACAAATAATGTTTTCTAACTATACTGAGCCTTAGTATCCTAATCTTTAAGATCTATAGGGAATAAAATGCCATATTTAAAATCTCTACTTTTTAAAGTATTGTATTTTAAAATTACCATGTTGTCTGGTGTTTTAAAAATGTTAATTTCATTACTGCCCTCTTCAGGCATTCTGAAAAGCCTACATTTGCTGACACTTGAATCTTTTCTATCACTGAGAGGTCTAGGGTTTTTGTTTTGTTTTGTTTTGTTTTGTTCCTGAATTCCTTTGCGGTCCAAATGAAAAATATATGAAGAAATTATTATTTTTAAATTAGACCAGGTGCGGTGGCTCATGCCTGGAATCCCAACACTTTGGGAGGCCAAAGCAGGAGGATCACTGAAGCCAGGAGTTCAACACTAGCCTGGGTAACGAAGTGAGATCTCATCTCTACAAATAAATAAATAAATAAATAAATAAATAAATGCCGCAGGCAGTGGCTCACGCCTGTAATCCCAGCACTTTGGGAGGCTGAGGTGGGCAGATCACTTGAGGCCAGGAGTTTGAGATGAGCCTGGCCAATGTGGCAAAACCCTGTCTCTACTAAAAATACAAAAATTAGTTGGGCATGGTGGTGCATGCCTGTAGTCCTACCTACTTGGGAGGCTGAGCCTTGAGAATCACTTGGGAGGCTGAGCCAGGAGGCAGAGGTGGCAGTGAGCCAAGATTGTGCCACTGCACTCCAGTGTGGAACACACAGCGAGATTTCATCTCAAAAAATAAAAATAAAAAGTCAGGCACAGTGGTGTGCGCCTGTAGTTCCAGCTACTCAGAAAGCTGAGGTAGGAGGATCACTTGAGCCCAGGAGCTGGAGGCTGCAGTGAGCTATGATCACACCACTGCACTCCAGCCTGGGTGATAAAGCGAGACCTGTTTCCCCCGGCCCCCAAAAAGGGAAAAAGAAATGAGAAATAACTTTGATATTTTAAAATATGAGGCCAGGTACAGTGGAGCATGCCTGTAATCCCAGCACTTTGGGAGGCCAGGGTAGGCAGATTGCTTCAGCCCAGGAGTTTGAGACCAGCCTGGGCAACATGGTGAAACCCTGCCTCTAGTAAAAATACAAAAAATTAGCTGGACATGGTGGCACATGCCTGTAGCCCAAGTTTCTTGGGAGACTGAGCTGGGAGAATCACCTGAGCCCAGGAAGTCGAGGCTACAGTGAGCCATGATTGCTCCACTGCACTCCAGCCTGGGCGATGGGAGTGAGACCCTGTCTCAAAAATAAAATAGGAAGTACTAACTTATTTGCTTAGCTTTGGCTTCATTTTAAGTATATTTGTATCTTAAGCTTTATCATTCCAAGAAATAGATCTATATTGCAGTGTCTTAAATATTGATGTTTTCTATTTCTCTTGATCTATCTTTCCAGGTTATAAAACATGGAGGCTGGCTCAGTGGTTCGAGCCATTTTTGACTTCTGCCCTAGCGTATCAGAAGAACTGCCGCTCTTTGTGGGAGATATTATTGAGGTGCTGGCAGTGGTGGATGAATTTTGGCTTCTAGGAAAGAAGGAGGATGTTACAGGTAAGTAAGAGACTCATAGTGGACCACAGGCCCTGACTTCTTTCCATATTAAAAATAAAGGCTGGCACTGCACTCCAGCCTGGGCAACAGAGTGAGACCCTGTCTTAAAAAAAAAAAAAGAAAGAAAGAAAGAAAGAAAGAAAATTATTCCTAGCTGGGCACAGTGGCTCATGCCTATAATCCCAGCACTTTGGGAGGCTGAGGTGGGTGGATCCCCTGAAGTCAGGAGTTCAAGACCAGCCTGGCCAACATGGTGAGATGGTGAGACCCTGTCTCTACTAAAAATACAAAATTTGCTGGGTGTGGTGGCGCGTGCCTGTAATCCCAGCTACTCAGGAGGCAAGGCTGGAGAATTGCTTGAACCCAGGAGGTGAAGATTGCAGTGAGTTGAGATTGTGCCATTGCATTCCAGCCTGGGCGACAAGAGTGAAACTCTGTCTCTAAATAAGTAAATAAATAATAAAAATAAAAATAAAGGCTGGGCATGGTGGGTCATGCTTATAATCCCAGCACTTTGGGAGGCTGAGATGGGAGGATTGCTTGAGGCCAAGAGTTCATGACCAGCCTGGTCAACATAGCAAGACACCATCTCAATAAATAAATAAGAAAGGATGGGAGGTAGGGAGGGAGGAAGAGAAAGAAAAGAAAGAAAGGAAGGAAGGAAGGAAAGAAAAGAAAGCTAGCTAAATGGGAAGCCCAAGTCAATAAATTTCAGAATCCTTTTGTGTTTACCTACTGTATTCATATGTGGTCTCTACCAGTTAGGGGAAGATTTCTGTTACCATTCCATCTCTGTGTTGATTCCTTCAAGAGGTTGCACCACTAGACACCAGCTGCCCCAGCCCAGGTTTCTATCCAAGTCTTTGTCTTTCACCCGCTTTCCCTTCCCAGGTCTTTATCCTTTGTGTTCAGTGCTATTATTCCTCTTCTCAAAACATGTTATTCCTTTCTTCATAACCCTGTTGTTTACTACTGCTTTCCTTTTTTTTTTTTTTTTTTTTTTTTTTTGAGACGGAGTCTTGCTCTGTTGCCCAGGCTGGAGTGCAGTGGCATGATCTCGGCTCACTGCAAGCTCTACCTCCCAGGTTCATGCCATTCTCCTGCCTCAGCCTCCGGAGTAGCTGGGACTACAGGCACATGCCACCACGCCTGGCTAATTTTTTGTATTTTTAGTAGAGACGGGGTTTCACCATGTTAGCCAGGATGGTCTCAATCTCCTGACGTCATGATCCGCCTGCCTCGGCCTCCCAAAGTGCTGGGATTACAGGTGTGAGCCACCGCACCCGGCACTACTGCTTTTCATAACCAGCTTTATGATTTGTGGAACACAAGGTGCTCTCCACCTTGTTTCCTCTGGCTGTCTTCTTTGAACATTTTCTACCCTTTCTTTCATTCTTCACTTGATCTTAGGCAAAAGGCTGAGAAGTGATCTTTCTTTCATTTTCTTCAAAGGAGCATGATTCATCCTGTTCACTCCTTCTTGGATCCATGGCTGGCCCAAATTTATTAAAGTTATCCCTTACCCTACATGGTACCTACCACCCACATTCCACGCACCTGGTTAGCTTTCTTCAATTCTGTAAGATATATGTTCACATCGATTTCTTTCATTAATAAGCCTAGGGAAGGGTGGAAGCTTTTCCCACACCACATGCATCTGTGTTAATCCAATCCTTAACTTGCATGTACTCATATTTATGTAAGTCTGGGTTGGAGTCCTTCGAGCACACTCTGTTGACACTTAACCCACATTTGGGAGATAAATTATTTCCCAGTAGAAATGGTATCTCAGCTGAGACAAAAATGATGAGAAGGAGTTAGCAAGGAAAGATGGTAGGCAGAGAGGATTGCTTGTTGAAGGTCCCTGGAATGTGAGAACACAGGGGACCTAGAGAAGTTTAGTAGGGCATGAGGTGTGAGTGGTTGAGGGAGAAAGGTGGGCTGGAGAGATGAGCAAAAGCTGGATCATGGGAGACAGAGTATGCCATGGTAAGGAGTGAAGAAAATGGGAAACCCTGAAAGTGCTTTGAACATGATCAGATTTGAATTTTAGAAAACTCACTGCTGCAGACTTAAGAATGATAGAAAGGGACAAAACTGAAGGCAGGGAAGCATTTGGAAGGTCGCTGCAGTAATCCAGGTGAGGGATGGTGATGGCATGGACCAAGGTGGTGGGTCTGGAGATAAATATACCCAGAGACAGAAGGTAGAATCAATCAGACTTTCTGATACTTTCCAACTGGCAGGCCCTGTCTTTCTCCCACCACCTATTAAAACCTTGTCCACCGTCAGATTCAAATGCTATTGTTTTCATAAAGTTTTTTATGTTCTTCCTGACCTATTACCTACCTTTTCTGAACTTCCGTAACAATTTGTGTACTTACGTTATGATACCAGATTTCAGGATTGAATTATTATTTATGTCTGAATTCGACTTTTTGTCTGAACTAGGTTTTTAGATCTTTGAAAACCAAAACTGTCTTATGTTTTCCTCTGCAGCGTGCTTTGCCTATAGCAGCCCCCAGTAAATGCGTACCAAATTGAATTGCATTCTGTCTGTCCTGCATGCATCTAGTTTTGTGCACTATACTTCTTCTCCAACAGATTCTCCAATTATGAGTATTCCCTGAGTTTTCAAGTTACGGTCTATACATGGACTCAGAAGAAAAGTTTTTGTCCTTGTACACAGACGGGAAAAGAAATCTCAGTATTAAAATTTAATATGTTTGCTTTTATTTTCAGGACAATTCCCCAGCAGTTTTGTGGAAATTGTGACCATTCCCAGTCTAAAAGAGGGAGAGAGGCTGTTTGTGTGCATTTGTGAATTCACATCCCAAGAGTTGGATAATCTTCCCCTCCATCGAGGTAAGCTGCTCATCAAATAGTAGACTATTTGAAATTAGATTTTTGGAGTCTGCCCGTTTCGACAACCAGATCCTTTTTGAATTTGTGAAGTGGCTTAACCTCTAGAGAGTCCTCGGCAATACCAAATAGCGTGGACGTAATGATGCCTTATAGTTTAGTACCATTTTAAAATTTCCAAGGTATTTTCTCACAAATATATTCTCATTTGATCCTCAGCACAGACCTGGGAGGTAGGAAAGTGGGGATTATTAACTGTATTTTATAAATAATGAGAGCAAAATTCAAAGACTGTTGGCCGAAGGTGGGAAGTCTTGGCCTCAGAATATGAACTGATCATATTCTAAGTCCAGTGTTATCTTTCCAATGCCCCCATGCTATAGCCACACTTCAGGCTCATGCTCTCTCTCTCTTTTTTTTTTTTTTTTTGAGACAGTAGTCTCACTCTGTTGCCCAGGCTGGAGTTCAGTGGTGCGATCTCAGCTCACTGCAACCTCTGCCTCCCAGGCTCAAGCAGTCCTCCCACCTCAGCTTCATGAGTAGCTGGGACCGCAGGCACGTGCTACCACGCTGGGCTAATTTTTAGTATTTTTGGTAGAGATGGGGTTTTGCCATATTGCCCAGGCTGGTCTCGAACTCCTAGGCTCAAACAATCTGCCTGCCTCGGCCTCCCAAAGTGCTGGGATTACAGGCATGAGTCACTGCGCCTGACCAACTTCAGGCTTTATTTCTCTTTTTTTCTTTTAAAAACTGATACGGGGCGTGGGCGGAGGGAGAAAAAAATAACTGGGTACGGCTTTGCTAACAATATTACCATTTATTAATGTATAATAGTAGAGCAGGAATTTTGATGTGGAAATTAAGAGATAGGTGCAAAACATCCGCATTTTACTACTGTCTTATCAGAGCCAGTTTAAAAGGAAGTGATTTAAAACAGATAGTCATACTTAGCCAGGCATGGTGGTATGCACCTATAGTCCTAACAACTCAGGAGGCTGCAGCAAGAGGATCGCTTGAGTTGGAAGCGTCAGTGAGCTATGATCACATCACTGCACTCCAGCCTGGGTGACAGAGCGAGACCCTGTCTCAAATAAATAATACATAAATATATAAATATAAATTAAAACAGGTAGTCATAGCTATCTCTCAGTGATTTTCCAAGTATTTCTCCCTTCTTGCACTCTGATTAGATGAACAAACTATAAACCATTTCAACAAGTATCCTTAAGTCCATTCTGCATAAACAGAGAAACCAGTAGTGTCTAAAAGACAGAAGCTTCTGATCAATCCAATTTTGTGATGACTCAGTCATCAAAACAGTAGAACTTATTAGGTGTGTTATTAATATCATTACTTGCTCTTTGGCATATGGCACAAAAGGGACAGGCTTCATTTCTTAAATCATGTACACACATACCCACACACACACACACACACACACACACACACCCAGAAAAACCTATCAAACTTCTCTAACCCTTAGTGATAAGAATGGAATAATGGATTTTGACCTTAATCCTCAAAATCTATTTTGAGAATTTCTTTATTTTTAGATTTTGTTTTATTTTGTTTATTTATTTATTTGTTTGTTTTTTGAGACGGAGTCTCATTCTGTCGAGGCTGGAGTGCAGTGGCATGATCTCGGCTCACTGCAACCTCCGCCTCCCAGGTTCAAGCGATTCTCCTTCCTCAGCCTCCTGAGTAGCTGGGACTACAGGCACCTGCCACCACACCCAGCTAATTTTTGTATTTTTAGTAGAGATGGGGTTTCACCATCTTGGTCAGGCTGGTCTTGAACTCCTGATCTTGTGATCTGCCCACCTTGGCCTCCCAAAGTGCTGCGATTATTTATTTTTTATTATACAAATTTTATTTTATTTTTTAAGACACAGGGTCTCACGTTGTTGCCCAGGCTGGTCTGAAACTCCTAGCCTCAAGTGATGCTACCACCTCAGTCTCCCGAGTAGCTGGGATTACAGACCTTACTTAACTTTAAGAAGTATCATTAGGATTGATAAGAGGCTGGGTATAGTGGCTCATGCCTGTAATCCTAGCATTTTGGGAGGCCAAAGGCAAGAGTATCCCTTGAGCCCAAGAGTTTGAGATCAGCCTGGGCAACATGGCAGGACGCTGTCTCTACAAAAAAAAAAAAAAAAATTAAATTAGCCAGGCATGGTGGTGCATACCAGTGGTATATGCCTGTGGTCCCAGCTACTCAGGAAACTGAGGCAGGAGCCTGAGCCCAGGAGGTTGAGGCTGCAGTGAGCTGTGTTTACGCCACTACACTCCAGCTTGGGCAACAGAACAAGACCTTGTTTCAAAAAAAAAACAAAACGTATTAACGAGAGAAAACGCCACCACGCTCTGTTG
Organism: Homo sapiens; assembly: GCF_000001405.40. Lineage (NCBI taxonomy): Eukaryota > Metazoa > Chordata > Mammalia > Primates > Hominidae > Homo > Homo sapiens. The sequence continues at coordinate 99,966,747 of NC_000010.11, read as the reverse complement.
TTTTGAGAGTTTCTTACACTTCACTTTATACTCAGTCTCTACTTCAGCTCTATGCTTTCTTGTTAATCAGTGTTGGGAAGGTAGACAGAAATAGATTAAGAGATTATAGCAGGGACCTTATCTGTCCTTACTCATAGCTCTCCCAGTGGAGTCTGTAGTCCATATCTGATGGAATGGAGAAAGGACAAGAGTACAGTGGCTTCCGCTGAGCTGTTCAGAGGATGTGGGTAGCATGAACTTTTCTTAGGAAGCATGCCATCCGAGAGATTCTCAGAAAGAATCTGGCATCGTGAGTCACCTGTCTGAAGACTGACTCAAGGTCAGGCCAGGACCTGGAATCTAGATTTTATCTTGACTACCTTTTAACCAGTTAAGCCTAATAAGCTTAAAGATGTAAGTGGAATCCAAAGGAAGAGGATGTGGGCAGGGGGATACACTGGGAAAGAGAGACTAGAATGAGATGTACTAATTATCCATGGTTTTATCTTGTTCTCCTCTCTGTGATAATCTACTGCCAGTAAACACACTGACCAGTCAGCTTTCCTTCTATGCCTTTCACGTTTTTTTTTTAGCTCTGTCTTTTAATTTGGAAACACAAGGCTTGGAGGATGGAGAAGTTAGTTATACCTATGCAATTTGCCTTTTTCTGGGAAACTTAGCTTGTGCACAAATGATTTTAATTTCTCTTTTTGTATACGTGACAAGTCACATCAACAGGTATTTACTGGTGGGAAACAAAATCACTAAAAAATGAAAGTATTGTTTTATGCCAGATATGCAAGTTTATCAGACTTGCATCTAGGTTTCCTGTTTTTTAAGTCTAGTGCTTGGGATGGCGCTTCAACTTCCTAGACTGAAAATCACTTTTTCCATTAGATCAGTGTGTCTGTAAATGAAATGTTGATGATGGAATAGGTCAGGAGGGGATTTGGAAACCTTAAGAGTATGTGGGGCCAGGCATGGTAGCTCAAGCCTGTAATCCCAGCACTTTGGGAGGCCTAGGCGGGTGGATCACCTGAGGTAAGGAGTTCGAGACCAGCCTGGCCAACATGGTGAAACCCCATCTTTACTAAAAATACAAAATTAGCTGGGCATGATGGTGCATACCTGTAATTGCAGCTACTTGGGAGGCTGAGGCAGGAGAATTGCTTGAACCCGGGAGGTGGAGGTTGCAGAGAGCCAAGATTGCGCCACTGCAGTCCAGCCTGGGCAACAAGAGCGAAACTCCATCTCAAAAAAAAAAAAAAAAAAGTATGTGAGATAATGTTTGAGATCTGTTGTGTTTTACCACGTGCCTTTTTAGTTCACTGTTACTTACTTACCTTTAAGAAGTATCATTAGGATTAATAAGAGAAAAAATATATGTGTAATTTATAGATGTCTATATGTATTTAGAGCAGGCAGTATAGCTTAGGGGATAAGAATTCTGACAGGCCTAAGTTTAAATCCAAGTCCACCACTTAATAGCTGTGACCTTGGACTAGTTACTTAAGTCTCTCAGCCTCAGTTTTCTTATCTACAAAATGAGGATAATAATATAATACCTACCTCAGGGTGATTGTGAGGATTAGATGAGGTTGTACATGGAAAGCATGTGGTAGTAGGTAAGCGCTCAGTAAATGCTAGCTATTCTTATTAGTCTTAACCTGGGCGCCTGGGCTTCATTGATGTGCTTTGGGTATCTTGTTTCTGGGATAAGTCTGTGAAGTTTTGTGTGTCTGTTCTCAGAGAGATTCTATGTGAAATCAGAACCACTGATCTTTGTTCCAGCAGATGTCACCCTTCTTCCTTTTCCTGAAGCTATGTAATTGTTTTGGACTATTCCTACTGTTTTGAGTTAAAATATATATATATATATATATTTTTTTTTTTTCCTTGGGCTGGAGTCTCACACTGTCGCCCAGGCGGGAGTGCAGTGGCGCAATTTCTGCTCACTGCCACTTCCGCCTCGTTGGTTCAAGTGATATTCATGCCTTAGCCTCCCGAATAGCTGGGATTACAGGTGTGTGCCACCACACCCAACTAATTTTTGTATTTTTAGTAGAGACAGGGTTTCACCATTTTGGCCAAGCTGGTCTCGAACTCCTGACTTCAAGCAATCCGCCTGCCTCGACCTGCCAAAGTGCTGGGATTACAGGCATGAGCCACCACGCCTGGCCTCGAGTTATATTTAAACTGAGAAACAAGTCTGTCTCTTAGAAGAAGAATCAAAACAGGTGGCCAGTGCCCCTGACTATCCTAAAAAAAAAACAAAAACAGGAGAAAAGAAAGGTGGGGGGTGGAGGGGAGTAAAGAACAAAGCCAAAATAAGAGATTAGTGCAAGGAGGCTGGGCGCAGTGGCTCACGCCTGTAATCCCAGCACTTTGGGAGGCTGAGGCGGGTGGATCACGAGGTCAGGAGTTTGAGATCAACCTGGCCAAGATGGTGAAACCCCATCACTACCAGCATGGTGGCAGGCACCTGTAATCCCAGCTCCTCGGGAGGCTGAGGCAGGAGAAATTGCTCGAACCCGGAAAGCAGAGGTTGCAGCGAGCCGAGATCGCACCACTGCACTGCAGCCTGGGCGACAGAGCAAGTCTCTGTCTCCAAAAAAAAAAAAAAAAAAAAAAAAGAGAGAGAATAGGACAAGGAAAAGACAGAGAGGAGAGAAACAAGTTAGTGCATATTATGACAAGTGATAAAATATCACTAATAATTGCCTCACGTAAGACAGAATCCTCATCCCTTGCCTATAACCTGCCCCCTCAAACAACAGGCCAATAAAAAATAAATTGACCAGTGGTATTCATCAGTCAAAGCACATGTGTTATAAATTTGTGATGCCATGAATGTGAACTCTCAGGAAAGAAGTTCTGACATGGCTCGTATGGAAACCTGAATAAAATACTCTACGTGGTCAGGCTGCATAAAGCACATAGTTCCCCTGGCATTTAGAGACAGCCCAAAAGGAGTCCGTGAGGAACCCAGGACTGCAGTCAGACTGCTCATATCCGATTCTAAGAAGACCTGCACTCCTTTTTACCATTTTATTCCTAATGCATTTCCTGTTCAAATAAAAAATCCAACCAGAGGAAACAAGCAGTGTGGCTGGGATTAATTGTGCATGAGTCAAAGGCTCAGGCTGACCCTAAGGGTCACCACACTTCCTATTTTTCTGTTCTCAAAATCTGGTCTTGCTCGTGCAGGAGTTCCTCATATTGGCATTTCAGAAGTCTGGGAATGACCACTAGTTATTCTGGAGATACCAATCTAATGGAAAAAGTGATCCGTTCCTAAGGAATCACCTAGGACCCCAGGGGAATAGCTTGTATGACTCTTTCTGATGAAAAACAGAGACTTACGGTTCAGTAACAGGGCTATAAAACAGGGGCATTGAGGCAGAATATGGTGACCCACACCTTTAATCTCAGCAGTTTAGGAGGCCTAGGTGGGAGGATCACTTGAGCCCAGGAGTTTGAGGCCAGCTTGGGCAACAAATGAGACCCCATCTCCACAATAACAAAAAAAAAAATTAGCTGGGCACAGTGGCACACACCTGTAGTCCCAGCTACTCAGGAGGCTGAGGCAGGAGGATTGCTTGAGCCTGGGAGGTCAAGGCTACAATGAGCAGTGATTGAGCCACTGCCCTCCAGCCTGGGTAACAGACTGAGACCCTGTCTCAAAAAATAATAATAATCAAATGAATTTTAAAATAAAAAGGGTATTGAACTAAATAATCTCTAAAGTACTTTCCAGGTTCTAAATTGTGTATGTTTTTCAAGATTCACCTTTACTGTGTAGAAATAACCAATAAAATAGCAGTCCATCAGGTAATAAAGCTTATCAAAACAGTTATCCTGTTGAAAATAGATAGGAAAACAAGCCTTATTATATGGGTTCAGGGGGATCTGACAAAACAAGGAAAATAGCATAATTCTACAGCTTTAAGAAAGCCAGTTGATTTCAAAGCCAGCAGAGTGGGAGTTATGGCACGCTTTTATTCTTCCCCTTCACCAAGAGGCCCATTGTGTCTGAACAGCAGTCAGTCACCAGTGCATTCCCTCTGTGTTCTCGATGGATGGCCTTAGGGCCAGAGGGGGAAAAATTACTTGTGGTTTTTTGTTTGTTTTTTTTTTTGAGACGGAGTCTCGCTCTATCGCCCAGGCTGGAGTGCAGTGGCACAATCTCGGCTCACTGCAAGCTCCGCCTCCCAGGTTCACACCGTTCTCCTGCCTCAGCCTCCCTGGTAGCTGGGACTACAGGCGCCCGCCACCACACCCGGCTAACGTTTTGTAATTTTAGTAGAGACAGGGTTTCACCGTGTTAGCCAGGATGGTCTCAATCTCCTGACCTCGTGATCCCCCTGCCTCGGCGTCCCAAAGTGCTGGGATTACAGGCGTGAGCCACTGCGCCCAGCCTTGTGATTTTTTAGGACCCCAACTTCTGACCAAGGGATAGGGAATCATAAGTTAAAGGAATGTAGAAATACAGGACCAAGACCCTATTTTTGGGGAACACTGAAACCAAATAATATCAAATTTGTGAAAATATTTTGGGCAACTCTCTCTAAGTGTAAAATCTTATGTTAGGTGCTGTATAGTATATAAAAATACAAGTGTCAGAATTCATGATATAGACAATAATTTCTTTTCTAGGCTATAGACAGCCAAGATGAATGTGAGCTTCTAAGGTTTTTTAGAGAAGCAAGCCTAGGTTTCAGATGGAGAGACAGTGTAACTGGAGTAAGGCTTTGGGGTTAATAATGATGCGGCTTCATAACAATAAAAACCTCCTTGTGTGGAATAGGGTCTCATATCATAGGTGAGATAATATTGGATAGTTGGAGAAGGGGAAAGTTGTGACTGGATAATCATGAATGTAAGTTTGCTTTGGGGTGAAAGCATAAGTCTTTTGGTAGCTCAGTAAACCTCTACAGAGAGTGTCCAGAGCAAATTTATTTTTTATATATTTTGGGTAATAAGAATAGGATTACTGAGGAAGAAGCCATTAGCAGTAGGCTCCTTGTGCTTCATGGTAAAAGTTTGGCCCGGGGAGGGAGATGGTAAAACTGGTGCATTTGTAATCTTGATTTGTCATGAATCAATTGGTAGACTTGAAGAAATAATGCGTGGGGACAAGATTTCAAAGGGTGAGATGGTGGGAATTGGACCAGGGTCGTAGCATAGAGCAATTAGTAGAAGGAAGAGGCCGGGCACAGTGGCTCATACCTGAAATCCCAGCACTGTGGGAGACTCAGGCGGGTGGATCACTTGAGTCCAGGAGTTCGAGACCAGCCTGGGCAACATAGTGAGACCCTGTCAAAATAAAAATTAGGTATGGTGGCGCATGCCTGTAGTCTCAGCTACTTAGGAGGCTGAGGTGGGACAATCAGTTGAGCCCGGGTGGTCAAGGCTGCAGTAAGCCATGATTGCACCACTGCACTCAGCCTTGGTGATAGGGTGAGACCCTGTCTCCACAAAAAAAAAAAAAAAAAAAAAAAGAAAAAGGGAAGAAATATTTTGAAAGAAGGAATTAGAAGAAAAAAGGAAATGAGCAGCAGAAGTCAGTTTGGAAAGCAGAATGTAATGAATTTATTTGGGAGTTGGAGTTGAAGAATAATCATCATTAGCAAATGAACATCAAGTGCTTGCCATGCAAAAGGCATCATACCAGACTCTTGAGATACCAAAGAGAAGGTGGTACCTACCATTAAGGAACTGTAACCTACTTGGGAATATAAGACAGACTTAGTTTTTTTTTTTCTTATTTATTTATTTTATTTTATTTTTTAGAGACAGGGCCTCTCTTTGTCACCCAGGCTGGAGTGCAGTGGTCCGATCATAGTTCACTGTAGCCTTGAACTGTTGGGCTCAAGCAGTCTTCCACCTCAGCCTCACGAGTAGCTGAGACTACAGGCAATAGCCACCTTGCCTGAGTAGACTTAAATTTTTTGTTGTTGTTGAGATGGAGTTTTGCTCTCGTCACACAGGCTGGAGTGCAATGGTGCAGCCTCAGCTCACTGCAACCTCTGCCTCCCAGGTTCAAGCCATTTTTCTGCCTCAGCCTCTCGAGTAGCTGGGGTTATAGGCGTGCACCCCCCCACCTGGCTAATTTTGTATTTTTAGTAGACACAGGGTTTCACCATGTTGGCCAGGCTAGTCTTGAACTCCTGACCTGAGGTGATCCTGCGCACCTCGGCCTCCCGAAGTGCTGGGATTACAGGCGTGAGCCACCGCACCTGGCCTAATTTTTTTTTAAATCAAGAGCATGTAAAAATCAAGAGCATAAAAGATAACCCAGTTTTCCAATGTGCTTGACTATAAAATGACTCATAGGATTTTGCCAGGTGCTTTGCTACCCAGATCTTATTTTACCTAGGCCAGGTGCATTCCTTGAGCACCTCTGACTTGGGTACTGAGTGAGAAAGAAATTTTAACTATAAAAGTATAGGTAAGATTAACTTTAATCTTAACTGTAAGATTAAAATAGATAATCTACAAGTGAATAGCTTATAATCAGATAATCAAGAGTTTGTTATAAAACAGTTGATAAAATTAGAGTAATTTTTTCAAAATTAAATCATAAATCATATAGAACTGAATTTTAATTTCATTTTTCCAGAAACATATACTGTGCTCTTATCCTTTCTTTACCTCAACTTCTTCTACAATAAGACAGATGCTAACTGTTCAGCTTACGTTTTGTGAGGATAACCTGAAAATTGGTTATTTTCAAAAACAAAAGTGGTGATTATTGGTACCTTCTTTTAAGATCTCATTATAATATATTTTCAGGATAGGGACAGTTCAAGAAGGCCTCTGGAGAACATGATTGAACATTCATTGTCCATACCCTTCATCTCCAACAAAGAACCCTTTACTAAAGATTTGTTTTTTTTTTGTTTTTTTTTTTTGAGACACGGTCTCACTCTGTTGCCCGGGCCGGAGTGCAGTGGTGCCATCATAGCTCACTGCAGGCTCAAATTCCTGGGCTGAAGCGATCCTCCTGCCTCAGGTTCCCAAGTAGCTGGGACTATAGCGCTCACCACCACACCGGCTAATTTTTTTTTAAATTTTAAATAGAGACGCGGTCTCACTATGTTGCCCAGGCTGATCTTGAACTCTTCTGCTCCAGCAATCCTTCTACCTCAGCCTCCCAAAGTGCTGGAATTACAGGTGTGAGCCACTGCACCTGGCCTCCCTGTATACTCTTAAAAGTTATTGAGACCCCAAAGAGCTTTTTTGTTTTTTTGGGTGGTTTTTTTGTTTTGTTTTTGTTTTTGAGACAGTGTCTTTCTCTGTCGCCCAGGCTGGAGTGCAAGTAGCACAGCCATGGCTCACTGCAGCCTTGACTTCCCAGGTTCAAGTGACTCTCCCGCCTCAGCCTTCCAAGTATCTGTGACCACAGGTGGGCACCACCACACCTGGCTAATTATTGTATTTTTCCCAAAGAGCTTTTGTTTATGTGGGCTGTGTCTGTTGATATTTATCATATTAGCTATTACAACTGGGAATTTTTAAAACTTGTTTATCAGTCTATTAAAAACCCATTACATATTTACGTAAATAACATATTTTTATGAAAAATAAGTATAGCTTTCCAAACAAAAAAAAATTAATGAGGAATGACATTGCTTTACATGTTCGTAAATATTTTTAATGTTCAACTTACTAAAAGAAAACCAGATTCTATTTGCATCTGTATTCAATCTGTTGCAATGTGTTGTTTTCATGGAATTATGTGAAGAAAATCCAGCCTTACACAAATATGCAATGGGAGACAGGAAAAGGTATTTTAATAGTCTTTTCAAATAATTGCAAATATTCATCGTTGACACTGCACCAAAATTCAACGATTGGTAATTTCTTACGAGTTAATTGCAGTGTGGGATCTGAAACTACGTCGGTGAACTTTCATAATATTACACTAAAATTCATTAATCTATCTTGCTTTTGGAGTGTGAATCTTTTAGCCATGAATGATTTTATACCAGCATGCATTTGTCATTTAGGAAATATTGATTCAATTAGCTACTCAGTTATTCCAAATGTTGACCATTTCAACATACAATGTGAAAAAATCATATTTGTTACTATCTCATCAGAAGAATCTTTAAGTATGGGAAAGCTGCCAAGCCCATGGTAGTAGATACAAGTTTTCCAAAATTCTCATTTTCTCTTGGAAGTTGGAATTTTATCATTGGCAACAAATACTGTCATTTGTTCTCCTTGATGTTTCAGACTCACTTTCATTTTGGAGGAAACATCTGCCAGATATCTAAGTCTGAATAAACATAGTTGTCTGTTATTCATTCTTGCACATAAAATGGTGTTATGTGAAAATAAACAGACGGTTCAGGCATATAACTCAGTTACTCGTGCTTCTCCTCAGCAGTAAAAGTGCTTTATGTGTAATTCCTATATTGTCACACAGAATATTACAAAAGAATTGTTCTTAAGGGTTGAGATTTAGCACAGTGCATAATTTGTATTGCTTCTTAACTGAAAATGGCTTTTTTAAAAACTGTGAGTACATGGTTGTGAAGAATACGATGACCATACAGTGACTATTCATGTAATTTGTGGCTACTGCCTTTGCTTATGAATTGCCAGCAGTTTTTAATTAATTTATTATTTTTTTGAGATGGAGTCTTGCTCTGTTGCCCAAGCTGGAGTGCAGTGGTGCGATCTCGGCTCACTGCGACCTCTGCCTCCTGAGTTTAATTTCTGCCTCAGCCTCCTGAATAGCTGGGACTACAGGCACGTGCCACCATGCTCAGCTAATTTTTGTATTTTTAGTAGAGATGGTGTTTCACCATGTTGACCAGGCTGCTCTCGAACTCCTGACCTCAAGTGATCCGCCTGCCTTGGCCTCCCAAAGTGCTGGGATCACAGGCATGAGCCATCGCGCCCAGCCATTTTATTTTTATTTTTGAGACAAGTGTTGCTCTGTCACCCAGACTGGAGCGTAGTGGTGAAATCACAGCTTACTGCAGCCTTGACCTCCTGGGTTCAAGCTATCCTCCCACCTCAGCCTCCTGAATAGCTGGGACTACAGGCATGAGCCACAGTGCACAGCTAATTTTTAAATTTATTGTAGAGACAAGGTCTTGACATGTTGCCCAGGCTGGTTTTGAACTCCTGGTCTCAAGCGATCCTCCTGCCTTGGCCTCCCAAAGTGCTCGGATTTCTGGTGTAAGCCACAGCACCTAGCTGGCCAGCAGTTTTAATCACCATTGCTTTTTCACAGAGATTACAAAAGTCAGCAGAGTAAAATATGTAGATAAAGTCTTAGTGTTATTATGAGAATGGTTTTGACCTCACAGATTCTCTGCTAGGATCTTGGAGACCCACCTGTAGGGTTCCATGGAACACTCTGAAAACTACAGGTTTATAGAACTGCTCCAATTCAATAAATTGTCAAAATTGTTCATGCTCCTAAAGCTCTAGGTGTATTTCCTTGAATTTGGTAGCTGTTTAAAATGAGAGGTTGCACTATTAGTCGTGATAATGTTCTGCTGGGTGATGACTGAGGTCACCATCTCTGCTCCTCTTTTCTTTAGGTGACCTGGTGATTCTCGATGGCATTCCCACTGCAGGCTGGCTGCAGGGCCGAAGCTGCTGGGGCGCACGGGGCTTCTTCCCATCTTCATGTGTCCGCGAGCTCTGCCTCTCCTCACAGAGCCGGCAGTGGCACTCCCAGAGCGCCCTGTTTCAGATTCCGGAATATTCCATGGGACAAGCCCGGGCCCTAATGGGGCTTTCTGCTCAGCTGGATGAAGAGCTGGACTTCAGGGAAGGGGATGTGATCACCATTATTGGAGTTCCTGAACCAGGCTGGTTTGAAGGGGAGTTAGAGGGCCGAAGAGGCATTTTTCCAGAAGGTTTTGTAGAGCTGTTGGGGCCCCTGAGGACTGTGGATGAGTCAGTAAGTTCTGGAAATCAAGATGACTGCATTGTTAATGGTGAAGTAGATACCCCTGTAGGAGAAGAAGAGATAGGGCCGGATGAGGATGAGGAGGAGCCAGGGACCTATGGGGTCGCCCTGTACAGATTCCAAGCCCTGGAGCCAAATGAGCTGGATTTCGAGGTCGGGGATAAAATCCGAATTCTGGCGACCTTGGAAGATGGCTGGCTGGAAGGATCCCTGAAGGGCAGGACAGGCATCTTTCCTTACCGGTTTGTGAAATTATGTCCTGACACACGGGTGGAGGAAACCATGGCTCTGCCCCAGGAAGGCAGCCTTGCCAGGATCCCGGAAACTTCTTTGGATTGTTTGGAGAACACCTTAGGAGTAGAGGAACAAAGACATGAAACCAGTGACCATGAGGCCGAGGAGCCTGACTGCATTATTTCTGAAGCACCCACTTCTCCCCTCGGTCATCTGACTTCAGAGTATGACACAGACAGAAACTCTTATCAGGACGAGGACACCGCAGGAGGGCCCCCGAGAAGCCCAGGCGTGGAGTGGGAAATGCCTCTTGCCACAGACTCTCCCACATCTGACCCTACAGAAGTAGTCAATGGTATTTCCTCCCAACCTCAGGTCCCTTTTCATCCCAACTTGCAGAAAAGCCAGTATTATTCTACAGTGGGAGGGAGCCACCCGCACTCAGAACAGTACCCCGACCTTCTTCCCCTAGAAGCAAGGACTAGAGACTATGCCAGCCTACCTCCCAAAAGAATGTATTCCCAGCTAAAAACTCTTCAGAAGCCAGTGCTCCCTCTTTACAGGGGCTCTTCTGTTTCAGCTTCAAGGGTAGTCAAACCCAGACAATCAAGTCCTCAGCTCCACAACCTAGCAAGTTATACTAAAAAGCACCACACGTCCAGTGTTTACTCCATCTCAGAGAGATTGGAGATGAAGCCTGGTCCGCAAGCCCAAGGGCTTGTTATGGAAGCAGCAACACATTCACAGGGAGACGGCAGCACTGACCTGGACTCGAAGCTGACACAACAGCTGATCGAGTTTGAGAAGAGCTTGGCAGGGCCCGGCACAGAGCCAGATAAAATTTTACGCCACTTTTCAATCATGGACTTTAACTCTGAGAAGGATATTGTCCGAGGTTCCTCAAAGTTAATCACCGAGCAGGAGCTGCCGGAAAGGAGAAAGGCCCTAAGGCCACCGCCACCTCGTCCCTGTACTCCGGTATCCACTTCTCCCCATTTGCTGGTTGACCAGAACCTAAAACCTGCACCACCCTTGGTGGTGCGACCCTCTCGCCCAGCTCCCCTGCCTCCCTCAGCACAGCAGAGAACGAATGCGGTATCCCCCAAGCTCCTATCTCGACACCGTCCTACCTGTGAGACCTTAGAAAAGGAGGGCCCTGGTCATATGGGAAGGAGTCTGGACCAGACCTCCCCATGCCCCTTAGTGCTGGTGAGGATTGAGGAAATGGAGCGGGACTTGGATATGTACAGTAGAGCTCAAGAAGAGCTAAACCTCATGCTGGAGGAGAAGCAGGATGAATCATCAAGAGCAGAGACCCTCGAGGATCTCAAGTTCTGTGAAAGTAACATTGAAAGTTTGAATATGGAACTCCAGCAACTAAGAGGTAAGTGACGAGGAAATAATATGTAATTGTTTCTTGACACTCACAAGTCCCAGAAACAGCCTACCCAGGCTTTTTAGGGATATGTTACCATCCTCGATGGACAAAAAATGATTTACATTTTCATTACCTAATTTCTTTTCTTTTTTTTTTTTTCCTTTTTTTTGAGACAGTCTCGCTCTGTTGCCCAGGCTGGAGTGCAGTGGCATGAACTTGGCTCACTGCAGCCTCCACCTCCTGGGCTCAAGTGATTCTCCTGCCTCAGCCTCCCAAATGGCTGGGATTGCAGACATGCGCCATCACCACACCTGGCTAATTTTTGTATTTTTAGTAGAGACAGTGTTTTGCCATGTTGCCAGGCTGGTCTTGAACTCCTGGCCTTGGGTGATCCACCTGCCTCGGCCTCCCAAAGTGTTGGGATTACAGGCATGAGCCACCACGCCCGGCCTCTTTTTTTTTTTTTTTTTTTTTTGAGACAGAGTTTCGCTCTTGTTGCCCAGGCTGGAGTGCAATGGCGCGACCTTGGCTTACCACAACCTCTGCCTCCCAGGTTCAAGCGATTCTCCTGCCTCAGCCTCCTGAGTAGCTGGGATTACAGGCAAGCGCCACCATGCCTGGCTAATTTTGTATTTTTAGTAGAGATGGGAATTCTCCATGTTGGTCAGGCTGGTCTCGAACTCCTGACCTCAGGTGATCCGCCCACCTTGACCTCCCAAAGTGCTGGGATTACAGGCATGAGCCACCGCACCCAGCCTCACTACCTAATTTCTTATTTCATCACCCTAGATAGGCTGTCTTGAGCCTCTGACTCTGTTTTGAGCCTATGACTGCTGTAGCCTCCTGACTTCATTTGCTGCTCAGATAAAGAATCTCAAACCTTGCCGGGTGCGGTGGCTCACACCTGTGATCCCAGCACTTCGGAAGGCTGCGGTGGGTGGATTGCTTGAGCCCAGGAGTTTGAGACCAGCCTGGGCAACAGGGCCAAACCCTGCTTCTACAAAAAAATACAAAAAATAATTAGCCAGGAGTGGTGGTATATCCCAGTAGTCCCAGCTACTCGGGAGGCTGAGGTGGGAGGATTGCTTGAACCTGGGAGGCAGAGGTTGCTGTGAGCAATGATCATGCCACTGCTCTCCAGCTTGGGCAACAGAGTGAGACCCTGTCTCCAAAAAAAAAAAGAATCTCATACCTCGGAGACACATATACCTCTGGGACATTTATGTCTCTTATTCTGCTATGGCATCCATAGCAGTGGTGCAGATGGGAAGTCCCTAAGTAGAACTTTCTTTAATCAGGCTCCATTAAGCACTAAAGACTTCCAGGTTAAGAAAGACTCATGAGAAAACTCCATCTTGTATCTTTGCTGTCCAGAGAGTAGATTTCTTTTTTTTCTTTTTTTTTTTGAGACAGAGTCTTACTCTGTCACCCAGGCTGTAGTGGTGAGATCTTGGCTCACTGCAACCTGTGCCTCCCGGGTTCAAGTGATCTCATGCCTCAGCCTCCTGAATAGCTGAGATTACAGGTGCATGCCACCACGCCTGGCTAATTTTTCTATTTTTAGCAGAGATGGGGTTTTGTCACATTGCCCAGGCTGGTCTCAAACTCCTGACCTCGAGTGATCCACCCACCTTGGCCTCCCAAAGTGCTGGGATACCATGCCTGGCCAAGGGAGTAGATTTTAATAATAGTAATAGCTAACATTTATTACCATATTAGTAAGCATGTGTTAGAATTTGCCTACAGGAAGAATGTTCACAGCTACCCTAAAGGTACAATGATAATTCATATGGCTACTCTATAGATGAGGAAACTAAGACATAGATATTGAGTAGGCTCAAGCCTGTAATACCAGCACTTTGGGAGGCCGACGTAGGAGGATCACTAGAGCCCAGGAGTTCAAGAGCAGCCTGGGCAACATAGAGAGACCTGTCTCTTAAAAAAAAAAAAAGTTTTAAATTAAATTTGAAAAGAGATTAAGTGACTTGCCAAGGGAGTTGGGATTTAAGCTTATGTTTCTAACAACTATAGTTCACCGCTTCCTATACTGGCACACTGAAAATTCAAATTATTTCCCTTAATTTGGGAATGATAAGCCTCTGGAGACTTCATTCATATTCACCAGACTCACAGGAGAAAAAATTTATAAATAGGAAGAGTACAAGAGGTAGGCAACCAACAGCAATTGGTCTAGGGCCCAAGAACGTGAATACATGTCACTTTTGGCTTGTGTACCAGAGATTTGAACTTATGTGTCATCAGGAAAGTCAATAATAGAAAGCAACCCAGGGGGTCTAGGAATAGCAGGATACTAATAAGAGATAAAAGCAGAATGGTGATCCAGAGATCCTGGATCAAGATGGCAGACTGAGCACATATAGCTACCTCCCTCCCTTTCTACTTTAGGTCTATAAAAGTGAATGGAAATAATAGAATAAAAAAATTCCAATAAAAAAGAGTATTATTGGAAATCAAGTAATCTTCTGAAAGATGATATAGCAGAAAGAGAGGGAAACCTCTATTCAAAATATTCTTAGGAAAGGACTATTATGCATGTGGGCAGAGTTCTAAGGGAACTGCAGACTAAGAGATGGTGCGGTAGGAGGGGTCCTAGAGCACATTCAGTGTAATTGATTAGGGGATAGCTAGGGAGCCAGGCCGCTGGGTTGCTTGTACTGAACAGCAGGAGCATTTACCCTCAAGCTACAGCATGAAGTAGATGCTTAGACAAGTCCTCAAAAAGGTGTTCATTTAATATGAGTACTTGAGCTCTCAGGGGAATGCCAGATACCTTGATTTCAGAGTCCCTGAAAAAGAATTCTGAGGGAACCTTGGCTGAGTGTTACATTCCCAAAGCCCTAGCAAACTCCAGATTCTCCATCACTTTCTATACCTACAAGTTTCAAGATAAACCTGTAAACAATTCTTGCATTAGATATTGTATTAGTCCATTTTCACACTGCTGATGAAGATACCAGATACTGGGCAATTTACAAAATGAAGAGGTTTAATGGACTTACAATTCCACATGGTTGGGGAGGCCTCACAATCATGGTGGAAGGCAAGGAGGAGCAAGTCACGTCTTACATGGATGATAGCAGGCAAAGAGAGAGTTTGTGTAGGGAGACTCCCATTTTTCAAAACCATCAGATCTCATGAGACTTACTCACTCTCACGAGAGCAGCACAGGAAAGACCTGCCCCCATGATTCAATTATCTCCCACCGGCTCCCTCCCACAACACATAGGAATTCAAGATGAGTTTGGAGTGGGGACACAGCCAAACCATATCATTCTGCCTGGATCCTCCCAAATCTCATGTCGTCACATTTCAAAACTAATCATGCCTTCCCAACAGTCCCCCAAAGTCTTAACTCATTTCAGCATTAACTCAAAAGTCCACAGTTCGACGTCTCATCTGAGACAAGGCAAGTCCCTTCTGCCTATGAGCCTGTAAAATCAAAAGCAAGTTAGTTACTTCCTAGAAACAATGGGGATACAGGCATTGGGTAAATACAGCCATTCCAAATGGGAGAAATTGGCCAAAACAAAGGGGCTACAGGCCCCACGCAAGTCTGAAATCCAGTGGGGCAGTCAAATCTTAAAGCTCCAAAATGATCTCCTTTGACTCCATGTCTCACAACGAGGTCACACCGATGCAAGAGGTGGGTTCCCATGGTGTTGGGCGGCTCTGCCCCTGTGGCTCTCCAGGGTACAGCCTCCCTCCTGGCTGCTTTCACGGGCTGATGTTGAGTGTCTACAGCTTTTCCAGGCACACGGTGCAAGCTGTTGGTGGATCTACCATTCTGGGGTCTGGAAGATTTTGGCCCTCTTCTCACAGCTCCACTAGGTGGTGCCCCAGTAGGGACTCTGTGTAGAGGCTCTGACCCCACATTTTCCTTCTGCACTGCCCCAGCAGAGGTTCTCCATGAGAGCCCTGCACCTGCAGCAAACTTCTGCCTGGACATCCAGGCATTTCCATACATCCTCTGAAATCGAGGCAGAGGTTCCCAAACCTCAGTTCTTCTGTGCACCCGCAGGCTCAACACCACATGGAAGCTGCCAAGGCTTGGGGCTTGCACCCTCTGAAGCCATGGCCTGAGTTCTACATTGGCCCCTTTCAGCCATGGCTGGAGCAGCTGGGACACAGGGCACCAAGTCCCTAGGCTGCACACAGCATAGTGATCCTGGGCACAGCCCAGGAAATCACTCTTTCCTCCTAGGCCTTTGGGCCTGTGATGGGTGCAGTTGCCGTGAAGACCTCTGACATGCCCTGGAGACATTTTCCCCATTGTCTTGGGGATTAACATTTGGCTGCTCATTACTTACGCAAATTTCTGCAGCTGGTTTTTCTCTTCAGGAAATGGGATTTTCTTTTCTATCACATTGTCAGGCTGCACATTTTTGGAACTTCTGTTCTGTACATCCCTTATAAAACTGAATGCCTTTAACAGCACCCAAGTCACCTCTTGCATGCTTTGCTGCTTAGAAATTTTTTCTGCCAGATACCCTAAATCATCTCTCTCAAGTTCAAAGTTCCACAAATCTCTAGGGAAGAGGCAAAATGCTACCAGTCTCTTTGCTAAAATATAACAAGAGTCACTTTTGGTCCAGTTCCCAACAAGTTCCTCATCTCCTTCTGAGACCACCTCAGCCTGGATTTCATTGTCCATATCTTTATCAGCATTTTGGTCAAAGTCATTCAACAAGTCTCTAGGGAGTTCCAAACTTTTCCACATTTTCCTGTCTTCTTCTGAGCCCTCCAAATTGTTCCAGCCTCCGCCTGTTACCCAGTTCCAAAGTCAGTTCCACATTTCCGGGTATCTTTTAAGCAGTGCCCCGCTTTACTGGTACCATTTTCCTGTATTAGTCCATGTTCACACTGCTGATAAAGACATACCCAAGACCGGGCAATTTACAAAAGAAAGAGGTTTAATGGACTTATCGTTCCACATGTTGGGGAGGCCTCACAATCATGGTGGAAGGCAAGGAGGAGCAAGTCACATCTTACGTGGATGGCAGCTGGCAAAGAGAGAGCTTGTGCGGGAAGACTCCCGTTTTTCAAAACACCATCTTTTGTGAGACTTATTCAGTCACGAGAACAGCACAGGAAAGACCTGCCCCCCATGATTCAATTACCTCCTACCAGGTCCCTCCCACAACACGTAGGAATTCAAGATGGGATTTGGGTGGGGACACAGCCAAACCATGTCAAATATATAGGTGGGAGAATAAAAGACTCCCAAATTTCAGGTAGCAGGAATTTCCCAGTAATGGTACTTTTTAGAATTAATAGTGTTCCATGGAAAATGTTATGTCTTCTGTGCTTAAGAACACTGCAGTGTTTTTATTTTTATTTTTTGTGTGTGCAGTGTTTTTAAATGGGTAAATGGACTGGTACTACATAAAACTGGTGTTCTTTTTTATTCACCAGACCTTCATTTTCAGAATTAGTTTATTCAGCAAGTGTTCTGACTTTTTAAAAAAATTGCTGTTTAGTGCTGTGAAAGACTTAATGTGGGTGTAGTCTATTTCGGGAAGACTTTGTAAAATTTGAATCCACCAAATACAGTATTGGGTATGTTAATGTTGATTTGATTGATTTCTCAAAAGGTGTTTTGATAATATCTATTGCTAATATGATAAAATTACTTATTCCTTGCAGTAACAGCCAATTTCTCATAAGGTCATTTTTTTCTGTCTTCATAAAAGGTGTATCCAACAATATAAGCTATCCCTCAAGAGGTGGAAATTAACCAGTTTGAGCACCAGGCATTACTTCTCTAATCTGGTTCTGTATAAGTTATAATTTTAAAATTTAAGGCCTAAGATTTAAAGAACTTTCAATATAACATTTATCTAATTCTGATCAATATTATATTTAGTTGTTAATATGCTTACTGAGAAGACAGGTTTTATCTATTATTCAGTGTGTCATTTCCCACACACCTGGTATGATGTTCTATACATAGTAGGGACTCAAATACCTAATGAAGGGAGTTGAGTTTAACTGAATTGATTTGAATTGAATTGCCTGCTCTACCTCCCAGAGTTTTCAGAGATCTCCTACTTCTGTTGTTACTTTGAACTGGTCTACTTGGGACCTGGGAATCAGTGCAGAGATGGCAGGCCCCTTGTCAGACCAGTGCTGTGCCAGACCCACAGTGAGGTTTTTAGTGTAGCTACTGCCTCTTCTTAAAACTCTGCATTTATTTATTTATTTATTTATTTATTTATTTATTTATTTATTTATTTTTGAGATGGAGTCTCACTCTTGTTGCCCAGACTGCAGTGCAATGGCGTGATCTTGGCTCACTGCAACTTCTGCCTCCCGGGTTCAAGTGATTCTTCTGCCTTAGCCTCCCGAGTAGCTGGAATTACAGGTGCCCGCCACCACACCTGGCTAATTTTTGTATTTTTAGTAGAGATGGGGTTTCACCATGTTGGTCAGCCTGGTCTCGAACTCCTAGCCTCAAGTGATCCGCCTGCCTTGGCCTCCCAAAGTGCTGGGATTACAGATGTGAGCCATCATGCCCAGCTTTGGTTTTTATTTTCTTTCCATATGGTAAGCATAGCTGTTTTATAGTCTGTGTATGATTCCAAGATATTCAGTGTTAGTGGGACTGTTTTTGATGTCACATGGGTTCTCATTTTTGTGGTCTAGGCTCTTTGTGTGTCTGATTATCTTACTGTGTGCTGGTCATAGTATTTGGAAAATCTTAAGAGTTGAGGTGAAGACACCTGAACTCTAGAAAGAATTTGCATTTGTTTCTGTCAGTTGTTTGTAGTCAACTAATGTTTCCAAATTCCTGAAGGATAATAATATTTGAGATTCAGGAGTAAGAAGTTGGAATTCCTGGGAGTTCCTAAATTATAACCTTGTATTTTAAAAAACTTTTACTTACACATTCTTGAATAGTAGTAGAGATCATAATCAAAGATGACAAGTTTTCCTGTGCTAGTATTACACTAACATTTTCAGAGGTTTTATATTTGTGTATGATAAATGCACGGTTTGTTGTTGTGAGCCACAATGTCGTGATATGATTATATATTTTAATAACATGTAAAAATATTCTCTACCTGATAATAGACTTTTTTAAAGGACTTGTTTTTTGTAAGAGCTGTTTTAGATTAACAGCAACATTGAAAGGAAGGTACAGAGATTTCCCATATCCCGTGCCCCCACACATACATAGCTTCCCCTATCATCAACATCGTAAAAACATTCTTAAATTTCATTTTTAAATAATTTTAGATTTATAGAAAGCTGCAAAAATAAGAGCTTCCATATACTTCGCTCAGCTTCTCCTAACCTTAATATCTTACACACCTATAGAAGATCTATAAAATCAGAAAATTAATGTGATAATGTAAAACATTAAAAGAGCATTAGTACAAGATAAATGTCAAAAACTATTTAAAAATTGAAAGAAATACCACAAATATTTAGTATTTTAAATTACTCTTAAAATAGAATTTTATTTTAACTTTTAAATGTTAGATTCAGGGAGTACATATGCAGATTTGTTACAAGGGTATATTGTGTAATGCTGAGGTTTGGGCTTCAATTGATCCCATCACCTGTGTAAGAGAACATAGTACCTAATAGGCAGTTTTTCAACCTTTGCCTCCCTCCCTCCCTCCCTCCCTCCATTGTCCTGTAGTCCCCAGTGTCTGTTGTTCCTATCTTTATGTCCATGTGTACCCAGTGTGTAGCTCCCACTTATAAGTGAAAACATGCAATATTTGGTTTTCTGCTTCAGCCTTAATTTTCTTAGGATACTGGCCTCCAGCTGCATCCATGTTGCTGCAAAGGACATGATTTCATTCTATTTTGTGGCTACATACTATTTTATGGTGTATATATACCAGGATTTCTTTATCCAGTCCACTGTTGATAGGCACCTAAGTTGATTTCATGTCTTTGCTGTAGTGAATAGTGCTGGAGTCAGCTGAGTGCAGGTGTGTTTTTGGTAGAAGAATTTTCCTTTGGGCATATACCCAATACTGGGATTGCTAAGTCGAATGATAGTTCTACTTTTAGCCCCTTAAGAAATCTCCAAACTGCTTTCCACAGGGGCTGAACTAATTTACATTCCCACTAACAGTGTATAAGTGTTCCCTTTTCTCTACAACCATGCCAACATATCTGTTATTTTTTTACTTTAATACCCATTCTGACTGGTGTAAGATGGTTTCTCATTTGGTTTTGATTTGCACTTCTCTGATGATTAGCGATGTTAAGCATTTTTTTCATATATTTGTTGGCCACTTGTATGTCTTCTTTTGAGAAGTGTCAGTTCATGTCCTGTGCCCAGTGTTTAGGGGGGTTGTTTTTTTTCTTGTTAAGTTCCTTATAAATTCTAGATGTTAGGCCTTTGTTGGATGCATAGTTTACATATAGTTTTTCCCAGTCTGTAGGTTGTCTGTTTACTCTGTTGATAGTTTGTTTTGCTGTACAGAAGCTCTTTAGTTTAATTGGGTTCCAGTTGTCAGTTTTTGTTTTTGTTGCAGGTTGCCTAAGCCAATGTCTAGAAGAGTGTTAACTAGGTTTTATTCAAGGATTTGTGTAGTTTGAGACCTCACATGTAAGTCTTTAATCCATCTTGAGTTAATTTTTGTATATGGTGAGAGATGGAAGTCCAGTTTCATTCTTCTGCATATGGTTAGTTTTTCCAGTACCATTTATTGTATAGAGAATTCTTTCCCCATTGCTTATTTTGGTCAACTTTGTTGAAGATTACTTGGTTGTAGGTGTGCAGCTCTATTTCTGGATTTTCTGTTCTGTTCCATTGGTTTACATGCCTTTAAATAGTATTTTAAATACACAGAGCATTAGTTGCTCTATCTGATAGTGTTGATCTTTGTTTTGTGACTAATATTTCATACATCAAAAAAAGGTTTTCATTTTATGTTGATGTTGGTGGAATTGTTAAGTGTGTATTCAAAAGCATTTCTGGAGCTGGGCTCAGTGGCTCATGCCTGTAATCCCAGCACTCTGGGAGGCCGAGGCGGATGGATGACTTGAGGTCAGGAATTTGAGACCAGCCTGGCCAACATGGTGAAACCCTGTCTCTACTAAAAATACAAAAAATTAGCAGGGCATAGTGGTGTGCACCTGTAATCTCAGCTACTTGGGAGACTGAGGCAGGAGAATGGCTTGAACCCAGTAGGCAGAGGTTGCAGTGAGCCAAGATCGTGCCACTGCACTACAGCCTGGGCAACAGAGCGAGACTCCGTCTCAATTAAAAAAAGAAAAAAAAGCATTTCTGGGTAGGGCTGTTCGGTTGCATGTTGTCTCATGAAAGCTCATTTTCTTTTTAATGTTGAAAACATTTTTTCTGCTTCTTCTGATTTTGGCTTTGCCATTGAAATTGATATTGCTTGTGCTAATTCAGATTTTAGATATGTTCCTGATTTTGTGTAGGGATATTTCACAGCAATATTCACATCTCTTTTGTATTTCTTCTGTTAAAACATTTATAAAGAACTATATAGCAAATATTAAGCAGTGGAAAACACTGGACAAACATTACTGGGTGGTTTTCAAATAATGGAACATTTGCCTCTCTGAGCAAGATTTAGCACTGTACAGAATCATGTGTCAGAATTGCTAAGGACTTACTTTGTTTGCAAAACTTTATTTCTTAGACTACCCTTATAAGATCTGTATAAAGCATACTATACAAGTAAGCTTATTAATCTTTATTTTATTTGCAAGAATGACTCACTGTTGGCAACACACGGGGCCATGAGCACACACTCTTCTAAACACATGTATTACATAGCAACAACTATGAGCAAAGCTAACTGATTAGACCCTGGCCCTCCTACCCACTCTTGTCCTCATTCCCAGAAATGTCACCTTGTAACATTTTACTCCGCGTGCCAGTATTCTCTGCTCTTGCGTCAACTTGACATTGGTGGATTTCTTTAAACTCTTAATGTCTCTGCATTTATTGTTAGGCTTTATTCTCTCAGGAGAATCCTAGTACCTTCTCTTGTTTCCTAGAGTCCTCAGCTGATTTTTTTTGTTTTTTTTGTTTTTGATTTAGAAAGACATATAAATTTCCTAAGAAATGCTGAGAAGGAATTTCCACATGGAAACAAACACTAGTCATTCTCAGCCCAGGTCCAACTTAAACCAATTTCAAGGCTCAGTGTACCTTGTACCTTGGATGACCAAGGTATCGGAACTCAGCTGTAATTTAGCAAGAGGGCTGGCCCAATTCTGATTTACCCTCGGGAGTTCTTTAGGATCTTAGCTTATTACAGAAAAGGTCTCCTTTTAGATTTCTATTTTAAAGATTTTTTTTTTCTATGAGAGACTGATCCAAATAATGTAGACTTCAATTATTGGAAATAAAAAGTCCAGTATTAGTTTTAGATAAGCCAGTCTTTGGCTGTAACTGAGAATTAGGAGTTTTAAATTTGGAATTATCATCTAGAGTCAGGGTAGAATACTAGACAGTATTTATGATTGCTGTGTGTTGGGGAATGAAACATCATTTTGTGGGCTTCCGTGTGGTATTCAGGTCAATCACTCATTCATCCAGGAAATACTCAATTTATTTTTACCATGTGCCAGGCACTGTGCTAAGGGCTGGGTACATAGCGATGAACATTATAGATGTGCTCGCTGGTCTCAAGGAGCTTCCAGTCAAATGAGTTGCTAATTAACAAGTTAAGGTTCAGATCTCAAGCACACTACCTTCAAGTCTGAACAGGTTGACTTGCAAAGCAGTAGAAACATTAAGAGGTAGTTCTCAGACTTTCAGGTTTCCCAGTACATATTATTTTTAGAAGCTCTGATCAGGACTACCTAGTGCTACCCTATCTCTTGGTGAGGTTCACACACCTGAATTTGAAAAGAGGGTGTGCATTCATTTCTTTATTCAGTGTATATTTCTTGAGCACACATGATGAGCCAGGCACTAGCTACACGTTGATTAATTTAAAAAAACATAGTCATATTATCATTCATATTTATGTGTGTTTGAAACCCCAGTGATCATATTGATATTGACCTCTACAGCTAATTATGCTCTTTCCTGCTGCCTTGGAATCATGACCAATGGCTACTTTCGGTGTGGGTCAGTTCCGGAACCCCATTGTTCTAAATCAGTGCAATGGATGCCAAACTACAGAGTGAGTCAGGAACCTTGCTCCTCAACTTTCCTCTTTTTGGCCTTTAAGATAATGTCAAAGGAAGGTTGACCAGAGACTCTACAAGTAATTTTCAGTGATGTCTGTTGCAAATTAAATCAGAACATGTTTTTCAGGAAAATAATATTTCCCCAGTCTACTGGGTAGCATCTAAGATGCACTAAAGACAGCCAGTAGATTAACAAGCTGGAGAATGACTGATATGGAACAATAACGTCTTTATACTAAAGTGATACGTAATATTCTAGACAGATTTTTAAAATTTTAAAGTGTAACTGTTTTATATGCAGAAGCAATTTGTCATTCTGCAGCCTCCTTGGAATCCCTTAGGTATAAGAATTATTTCTCAGCCGGGCATGGTGGCTCATACCTGTGTGTGGTAGTTCATGCCTCCCAGCCCTTTGGGAGACCAAGGTAGGAGGATTGCTTTAAGACCAGCCCAGGCAACATGGTGAGACCCCGTTCCTAAAAGAAATACAAAAATAGCTGGATATGGTGGTGTACACCTGTAGTTCCAGCTACTAGGGAGACTGAGGTGGGAGGATTGGGTGAGCCCAGGAGGCCGAGGCTGCAGTGAGCTGTCATCATATCATTGCACTCCACACTCCAACCTGGGTGACAGAGTGAAACTGTCTCAAAAAAACAAACAAACAAACAAACAAACAAACAAAAAACCACACACAAGAATTCCTTCTCAAACTAGTAACAGATAATAGAATTAAATAGCCAAATCATTCTGTGTTTTTTTTTTTTGTTGGTTTTTTTTGAGACAGAGTCTCACTCTTGTCACCTAGGCTGGAGTGTAGTGGTGCAATCTCGGCTAACTGTAACCTCTGCCTCCCGGGTTCAAGCGATTCTTCTGCCTCAGCCTCCTAAGTAACTGAGATTACAGGTGCCCGCCACCATGCCCAGCTAATTTTTGTATTTTTAGTAGAGACTGGGCTTTGCCATGTTGGCCAGGCTAGTCTCGAACGCCTGACCTCAGGTGATCCGCCCCCCCCTCAGCCTCCCAAAGTGCTGGGATTACAGGTGTAAGCCACCACACCTGGCCCATTCTGTGGTCTTTCAAGATAATGAAAGTTTATGTAAAGGAAATAATAATCTTTCTTTCTAGTTTGTCAGTATGTAGGAAAAAAGCAAGTATCTTCAACTTGTGTAACATCTGGTTGAGGCTTTTGGCTCAGTAAAAATGAGCTCAGAGTTACTTCTAAAGGATTTTATCCTAGTATAAGACAGCAGCCATCATCAGAACCCGTTAATAGGCTATGTTAAGTCAGGAGAGAAACTAGTTTCTGATTTTAGGATGGATGGTTGAATGTATGTCAAGAAATGTAGCTTAGAATGGTGAACTGAGGTATAATTGACCTGTGAGTCACTGTTCTTAGCAGTTTGTAGGATGGCCTTGTGAACATTTTCGCACTCTCAGCTCGAGGCACAGGGTGAAGAAGCTGGAATGCATTGAGGTACTTAAGTATTGGTTTCAGATTTCACTGAGGCTTTGCAGCATGGTACAGGAAAATAATTCATCTTCAGATAGCCTGAGACCCTTAGTTGCGAGTGTTCCCACCATCACACCCCTACCTGAGCTGCTTGCTGCCTTTTACTGTTCACTTTACCAGATGTAATAAGACCCAAAAGACAGGACAGTCATCAGTCAACCAGTATGATTGAGCTCCCACTGTATTCCAGGCAGTGATCTCGAGTCACAGTAGCAATCAATCTCTGCCTTCATGGGAAAAGACAAGCAATAAGTAAGTAAAACTCTAAGTATATTTTTTTGCCTTTTTGTCAGAAGGGAAAACAATCTATGGAGAAAAGAAATCAGAGAAAACCTTCTGAAAAATAATGTTTGAGTAAGATTGTTGGGGGCCAGCCAAACCATTTCTGGGGGTGGGAGGCATCGTTCCAGACAGATAAGACAGCAAGAATGAGAGTATGTTAGATGTTTGAGGAAAAGCAAGGAGACTGGTTCAGCTAGAGCAACGGCACAGTTGTAGTTCATCATTTAGGGTAAGAAGAGAAGTTACTGGAAGGTTTTGAGCAGGGGAATAATATGACCTGACCTACAATTTAACAGAAGAGAATAGACAGAAGAGACACAGGGCAGAGGCTGAGAGACCAGTTAGGAGGCTACTGCAGTGACCCAGGCAAGGGATGGATGCCAGCACCTTGGACCAGGATGGCAGCAGTAGGGATGAGAGGTGCTCAGCTCTCAGCATATTTTGAGTTAGAGCCAGTAGGACTTGCTGGTGGATTAGATGTGAGGTATAAGAGACTGAGAAGAGGCCAGGCGTGGTGGCTCATGCCTGTAATCCCAGCACTTTGGGAGGCCAAGGCGGGCGGATCACCTGAGGTCAGGAGTTCAAGACCAGCCTGACCAACATGGAGAAACCCCGTCTCTACTAAAAATACAAAATTAGCCGGGCATGGTGGCACATGCCTGTAATCCCAGCTACTAGGGAGGCTGAGGCAGGAGAACCGCTTGAATCTGGGAGGTGGAGGTTGCGGTGAGCCGAGATCGTGCCATTGCACTCCAGTCTGGGCAACAAGAGTGAAACTCCATCTCAAAAAAAAAAAAAAATTGAGAAGAGTCAAGGGTAACCCTGAGGGGTAACCCTGAGGTTAGGCAACTGGAAGGATTAGAGTTGCAAGTAGCAACCACATTTCTGGTCATATCAATACTTCTTGAATTCCTGCTGTGTGCCAGTTAATTGGGCGTATAGGAGAATATGATCTAGAACTTAGCCCTGGGGCATTCCAATCTTTAGGAATATGGAAGACAAGGGAGATGGGCCAGCAAAGAAGAAGCAACCAGCCAAGGAGAAGGAAAGCCAAATGGAAAAACGGTTTCACGAAGGGGCAAGTGACGCCAGGTGCGGTGGCTCACGCCTGTAATCCCAGCACTTTGGGAAGCCGAGGCGGGCGGAGCACTTGAGGTCAGGAGTTTGCGACCATCCGGACCAACATGGTGAAACCCCGTCACTACTAAAAACACAAAAATTAGCCAAGTGTGGTGGCGGGTGCCTGTAATCCCAGCCACTCGGGAGGCTGAGGCAGGAGAATCACTTGAACATGGGAGGTGGAGGTTGCAATGAGCCAAGATCGCGCCACCGTACTCCAGCCTGGGTGAAAAAGTTAGACTCTGTCTCAAAAAAAGAAAGGGCAAGTGACAGGATCAGAAGCTGCCGAGAGGCCAAGTAAGGTGAAGTCTCCAAAATGACTGTGGGATTTGGTGACCTTGTCAAGAGCAGTTTCACTGAAGGGATGATATTGGGATGCAAGCCCTATTGGAGTGGATTAAAGAGAAAATGAGAGGTAAGGAAGAGAGGCATTGAGCATTTAGTGTGCTCAAAAGTCTTTCGAAGAGTTTTGCTATAAAAGAAAGCAAAAAAATAGGGTAGTGGCAGCAGGGGACGTTGGATTGAGGTGCCAGCGGAAGTCGTTTGTAAGATGAGAAACATTAGTACGCGTTCATAAGTTTACGGGACTGATCCACTAGAATGGGCACATTGAAGAAGCAGGGAGAGGAGGCCTCACTGCTATTAGATAGTGAGTGGTCAGGAGGGGAGGGGTCTGGCAAGCCAACGGAGAGATTGGCCTGGGATCAGAGCAGGGACCCTTCCTCCATTGTTAAAGGTGGGAGGCAGAGTGTTTGGGTTCACAGGCAGGTAGCAGGGTAGGTTTGATGGTGAAAAGGTGAAGAAACAAGCCTAGAGAGATTAAATAACCTCCCCAAGATTATACAGCTATTAAGTGGCAAAGTCAGGATTTAAGTCCAGGGCTATCAAAGCCTGTGCACTTAACCTCTAAGCTAGATTGCCCTCTACCTAGCATCTAGCATGTGCCAAATAAATGCTACATGCATTGATTCATTAAACATTTAAATACCTACTGTGTACCCCATTGTAATCACCCAATGGGTTCTTCCTGCCCACTGCACAAACAAAACCAATTCACTGAGGCCATTGCATGAAGAAAGAGTGATTGACATGCAGCTGGCCACTCCATGTGGGAGATGGAGTTACTACTCAAATCAGTCTAAAAAATGCAGAGGTTTTTCCAGGGCAGTTTAGTGGCCAGGGGGCTAGGGGAATGGGTGCTGCTGATTGGTTGCGGATGCAACCATAGGGATGTGGACAGTGGTCCTCCTGTACCAAGTCCCTTTCTGGGTGGGACCACAGGACTGGTTGGCAGGTCCAGGTGGAGCCATCAGTCCTCAGAAATGCAAAAGCCTGAAAAGACATCTCAAAAGATTAATCTTAGGTTCTACAGTAATGGCGTTATCTGCAGGGGTGATTGCGGAAGTTGCAAATCTTGTTACCTTCTAAATAATGGCTAGTAATCCTTTATGTCTATATCTTAGCAGAATTAGGCTCCTCTCATCCTTCTGACTTGGTGACCTTTCATTAGTTTTACAAAAGTGGTTTAGTTTTAGAAAGTGGAAGGGCTATTTCCATTTCAACTGTAAACTAAATTTCTCCCACAGTTGGCTTAGGCCAAGCCCAGGAGTGATCAAGGACAGTTTGGAGGTTAAAGACAAGATGAGGGTTGTTTAGATCCAATCTCTTTCATTGTTGTAATTTTCTCACTGTTATAATTTTCTCAGTGTTATAATTTTTGCAAAGAGGTTTTACCATCTACAGAGCTGTGCTAGAGATAGGAAGACAAGTTAGACCATCCTAGCCCTCAAGGAACTTTCAGTATAATAAAAGGAGGTAAGCAAGTATAATGAAGTAACAGCATAGGTTAGCCAAGAGAGATATTTGCAAGGTTCTCTGGAAAATAGCAAGAACTGTAGGAATCAGAATGTCACTGGGCAGAGTCCTAGAGAGTGAGGAGTTGTTGACCCTCAGTGGAGCAACAACATGGGCAGTCACAGAGGAATCCACAAAAGTTTAGGGAGTTACATATTCTTGCTCTTTTTTTTTTTGGCACACTTTTCTCCCTTTTTTCCTTTACCCTTCTTCTACCTTCTCTGTCTCTTCTCTCTCCTTCCAAATCCTACTTCTCCATCCTCACTTCTAGAATAGGTGGCAGTCTATCCACTCTGGGCATCACACAGATAGTCATGATGGCCCACCCACTAGGAGCAAATAGCAAACATCACGGTGAGGTGGTGCTTCAGGACTGCTGAAAAGAGCCAGTGGAGTGTGACTGTTGTGTAAAGTGAGAGGGGGTGCTGAAGGAGGGATGGTTGTCTACAGGGTTCTATTTCACCAGCAGTCCTACCATTGAGAAAAGTAGAAAAGTCATCCTCCCTCTTTCCTCGGCCACTTTCTCTGTACACAGATTTATTACTCAAAAATGGCAACCCATTCACAGCTTTTGTTTAGATCTGAGTCATAGTAGTGTGGAGATAAAGCTGAGGGAGTTTACCTCTTTATGCAAACTGCTTATCTTTAAAGTCCTAAAGGCAATCGGACTTAGAAAGGGTGGGGGAAGCCCCCTTTTGTAACCAACTGTTCACTCTCCACTTGCCCAACTATAATTTCTTTTTTTTATTTTTTGAGATGGAGTCTCACTGTGTCACCGAGGCTGGAATGCAGTGGCACCCATCTTGGCTCACTGCAACCTCCGCCTCCCAGGCTCAAGCGATTCTCCTGCCTCAGCCTCCTGAGTAGCTGGGATTACAGATCCTGCCACCACACCCAGCTAATTTTTTGTATTTTTAGTAGAGATGGGGTTACACCATGTTGGCCAGGCTGGTTTGGAACTTCTGACCTCAAGTGATCCGCCCACCTTGGCCTCCCAAAGTGCTGGGATTACAGGCCTGAGCCACCACACCTGGTCAATAATTTCTTTTTATAACTAGGATCCTTACCTACAATTTAGTCCTCTCTTTTTATCTCTTCTCTTGGTTGATTAGGTGTATTTTTCTTATCTTGCTAGCTTTATCAAAGATATCAAGTTGCTAGTGAACTTTGTTTTCCATAACAGAGAAAGTTTAATCTTTTAATTGGATTAGAAATAAGCAAGATCATAGAATTGTAGACTTAAAGTGGCAGAGAAATCATTAATGTCCACATTTCCTACATAGGAAAGTGACAGCCAAAGAGGGTAATCATACCTGAAAACTGGTTATTAGCAGAAATTGAACTTCTAGAAGGCAGGTGTCATTTCCTCATTTGGTCTCCAGTGCTCTCTCTGTTACACTGTTGCTCTGTTTTAACTTGTGGTGAAAGCTGTCCTCCCGAATAATGTTGACTTCCTATTGGTTTGGTGAACCAAGTCACAATCTTTGTTGGGTTTAGGTGATAGGTTGTAATGACTGAGTCACTCAGTGCTGGGCTGTCTTGTGTGTCACTGCCATTCTGTGTGCTCATGGTGGTTGGCTGGTGAGGCCCAGCTGAGGGCAGGGTTGGTCGGCCAGGACTGGAAACAAAGAGAGAATGGTGGTGTTGGGGTGTACATGGCTTGCCTCGGTAGTGGTCCACTTTTGAATTAGGCCAGGATACTTTCTATTTGTTTGTTCACTTGGTTTGAGGGAAATTAAGATTTACTGTGTTTTGAGATATTCTTCTTAGTCTAGTGCCATGAAATCAAACAGATCTGGGTTCAAACTGTGGCCCTGCCATGTACTAGTTTATGTGATCTTGGACAGGTTATTCACACTCGCAGATTGTTTCTTTATCTGTGGTAAAACAAGTATAATAAATACCCTCCTTGGAGGGTAGTGAAAATGGAAAACCTCTACCATCTTCCTAGTGCTGATCGTAGCCCATAGTACACACTGAAAACATGGTAGCTGCCTGGGCTGTTGCTGCTGCTGCTGTTGGTTGAGGAGGTACAAGGGACCAGAACAAGTGGACATCAGAAGTTTTGACAATATAGAGGTTCGTTTGGGTCTGGTGCACCTGTAGTCCCAGCACTTTGGGAGGCCAAGGTGGGCGGATCACTTGAGGAGTGATCAGGTCAGGAGTTCAGGAGTTCAAGACCAGCCTGGCCAACATGGTGAAACCCCGTCTCTACTGAAAAATATAAAAATTAGCTGGGCGTGGTGGCGGGCACCTGTAATCTCAGCTACTTGGGAGGCTGAGGCAGGACAATCTCTTGAACCCTGGAGATGTAGAGGTTGCAGTGAGCCAAGATCATGCCACTGCACTCCAGCCTGGGTGACAGAGTAACACTCTGTCTCAAAGAATAAGAAATAAAAGAAGGTTTGACAATCTAGAGTTTCATTTTGGCTGGGCATGGTGACAAATGCCTGTAGTCCCAGCTACTAGGGAGGCTGAGGTGGGAGGCTCCCTTGAGCCCAGGAGTTCAAAGCTTCAGTGAGCTTAGATCATACCACTTCACTTCAGCCTGGGCAACAGAGCAAGACCCTAACTCCAGTAAATAAATAAAGGCTTATTCAGTAAGTCAGTAAAGAATCCAAAAGGCACGTAATAGCACATCAAGTATTTGAGGAAAGCAAAAATAAGTTGTGAGGGAAAATAGAAACATGGATTGTTTGAGCCTGCAGTGAGCTGTGATGGCACCACTGCACTCCGGCCTGGGCAACAGAGTGAGACCGTGTCTCAAAAAAAAAAAAAAAAAGAAAAAAGAAATCTTCAGTAAAGGGTTCTTTGTTGGAGATGAAGGGTATGGGCAATGAATGTTCAATCATGTTCTCCAGAGGCCTTCTTGAACTGTCCCTATCCTGAAAATATATTATAATGAGATCTTAAAAGAAGGTACCAATAATCACCACTTTTGTTTTTGAAAATAACCAATTTTCAGGTTATCCTCACAAAATGTAAGCTGAACAGTTAGCATCTGTCTTATTGTAGAAGAAGTTGAGGTAAAGAAAGGATAAGAGCACAGTATATGTTTCTGGAAAAATGAAATTAAAATTCAGTTCTATATGATTTATGATTTAATTTTGAAAAAATTACTCTAATTTTATCATCAATTGTTTTATAACAAACTCTTGATTATCTGATTATAAGCTATTCACTTGTAGATTATTTTAATCTTACAGTTAGATTAAAGTTAATCTTACCTATACTTTTATAGTTAAAATTTCCTTCTCACTCAGTACCCAAGTCAGAGGTGTTCAAGGAATGCACCTGGCCTAGGTAAAATAAGATCTGGGTAGCAAAGCACCTGGCAAAATCCTATGGGTCATTTTATAGTCAAGCACATTGGAAAACCGGGTTATCTTTTATGCTCTTGATTTTTATATGCTCTTGATTTAAAAAAAAATTAGGCCAGGTGCGGTGGCTCACGCCTGCAATCCCAGCACTTCGGGAGGCCGAGGTGCGCAGGATCACCTCAGGTCAGGAGTTCAAGACTAGCCTGGCCAACATGGTGAAACCCTGTGTCTACTAAGAATACAAAATTAGCCGGGCGGCAGGGTGTATGCCTATAACCCCAGCTACTCGAGAGGCTGAGGCAGAAAAATGGCTTGAACCTGGGAGGCAGAGGTTGCAGTGAGCTGAGGTTGCACCATTGCACTCCAGCCTGTGTGACGAGAGCAAAACTCCATCTCAACAACAACAACAACAAAAAATTTAAGTCTACTCAGGCAAGGTGGCTATTGCCTGTAGTCTCAGCTACTCGTGAGGCTGAGGTGGGAAGACTGCTTGAGCCCAACAGTTCAAGGCTACAGTGAACTATGATCGGACCACTGCACTCCAACCTGGGTGACAAAGAGAGGCCCTGTCTCTAAAAAGTAAAATAAAGTAAATAAGAAAAAAAAAACTAAGTCTGTCTTATATTCCCAAGTAGGTTACAGTTCCTTAATGGTAGGTACCACCTTCTCTTTGGTATCTCAAGAGTCTGGTATGATGCCTTTTGCATGGCAAGCACTTGATGTTCATTTGCTAATGATGATGATTCTTCAACTCCAACTCCCAAATAAATTCATTACATTCTGCTTTCCAAACTGACTTCTGCTGCTCATTTCCTTTTTTCTTCTAATTCCTTCTTTCAAAATATTTCTTCCCTTTTTCTTTTCTTTTTTTTTTTTTTTTTTTTTTTTTTGTGGAGACAGGGTCTCACCCTATCACCAAGGCTGAGTGCAGTGGTGCAATCATGGCTTACTGCAGCCTTGACCACCCGGGCTCAACTGATTGTCCCACCTCAGCCTCCTAAGTAGCTGAGACTACAGGCATGCGCCACCATACCTAATTTTTATTTTGACAGGGTCTCACTATGTTGCCCAGGCTGGTCTCGAACTCCTGGACTCAAGTGATCCACCCGCCTGAGTCTCCCACAGTGCTGGGATTTCAGGTATGAGCCACTGTGCCCGGCCTCTTCCTTCTACTAATTGCTCTATGCTACGACCCTGGTCCAATTCCCACCATCTCACCCTTTGAAATCTTGTCCCCACGCATTATTTCCTCACGTCTACCAAATGATTCCTGACAAATCAAGATTACAAATGTACCAGTTTTACCATCTCCCTCCCCGGGCCAAACTTTTACCATGAAGCACAAGGAGCCTACTGCTAATGGCTTCTTCCTCAGTAATCCTATTCTTATTACCCAAAATATATAAAAAATAAATTTGCTCTGGACACTCTCTGTAGAGGTTTACTGAGCTACCAAAAGACTTATGCTTTCACCCCAAAGCAAACTTACATTCATGATTATCCAGTCACAACTTTCCCCTTCTCCAACTATCCAATATTATCTCACCTATGATATGAGACCCTATTCCACACAAGGAGGTTTTTATTGTTATGAAGCCGCATCATTATTAACCCCAAAGCCTTACTCCAGTTACACTGTCTCTCCATCTGAAACCTAGGCTTGCTTCTCTAAAAAACCTTAGAAGCTCACATTCATCTTGGCTGTCTATAGCCTAGAAAAGAAATTATTGTCTACATCATGAATTCTGACACTGGTATTTTTATATACTATACAGCACCTAAGATTTTAGACTTAGAGAGAGGTGCCCAACATTTTCACAAATTTGATATTATTTGGTTTCAGTGTTCCCCAAAAATAGGGTCTTGGTCCTGTATTTCTGCATTCCTTTAACTTATGATTCCCTATCCCTTGGTCAGAAGTTGGGGTCCTAAAAAATCACAAGGCTGGGCGCAGTGGCTCACGCCTGTAATCCCAACACTTTGGGACGCCGAGGCAGGGGGATCATGAGGTCAGGAGATTGAGACCATCCTGGCTAACACGGTGAAACCCTGTCTCTACTAAAATTACAAAACTTTAGCCGGGCATGGTGGCGGGCGCCTGTAGTCCCAGCTGCTGCGGAGGCTGAGGCAGGAGAATGGTGTGAACCTGGGAGGCGGAGCTTGCAGTGAGCCAAGATCGCGCCACTGCACTCCAGCCTGAGTGATAGAGCGAGACTCCGTCTCAAAAAAAAACAAAAAAACAAAAACAACAACAAGTGATTTTTCCCCCTCTGGCCCTAAGGCCATCCATCGAGAACACAGAGGGAATGCACTGGTGACTGACTGCTGTTCAGACACAATGGGCCTCTTGGTGAAGGGGAAGAATAAAAGCGTGCCATAACTCCCACTCTGCTGGCTTTGAAATCAACTGGCTTTCTTAAAGCTGTAGAATTATGCTATTTTCCTTTTTTGCCAGATCCCCCTGAACCCATATAATAAAGCTTGTTTTCCTGTCTATTTTCAACAGGGTAACTGTTTTGATAAGCTTTATTACCTGATGGATTGCTATTTTATTGGTTATTTCTACACAGTAAAGGTGAATCTTCAAAAACATACACAACTTAGAACCTGGAAAGTACTTTAGAGATTATTTAGTTCAATACCCCTTTTATTTTAAAATTCATTTGATTATTATTATTTTTTGAGACAGGGTCTCAGTCTGTTACCCAGGCTGGAGGGCAGTGGCTCAATCACTGCTCATTGTAGCCTTGACCTCCCAGGCTCAAGCAATCCTCCTGCCTCAGCCTCCTGAGTAGCTGGGACTACAGGTGTGTGCCACTGTGCCCAGCTAATTTTTTTTTTGTTATTGTGGAGATGGGGTCTCATTTGTTGCCCAAGCTGGCCTCAAACTCCTGGGCTCAAGTGATCCTCCCACCTAGGCCTCCTAAACTGCTGAGATTAAAGGTGTGGGTCACCATATTCTGCCTCAATGCCCCTGTTTTATAGCCCTGTTACTGAACCGTAAGTCTCTGTTTTTCATCAGAAAGAGTCATACAAGCTATTCCCCTGGGATCCTAGGTGATTCCTTAGGAACGGATCACTTTTTCCATTAGATTGGTATCTCCAGAATAACTAGTGGTCATTCCCAGACTTCTGAAATGCCAATATGAGGAACTCCTGCACGAGCAAGACCAGATTTTGAGAACAGAAAAATAGGAAGTGTGGTGACCCTTAGGGTCAGCCTGAGCCTTTGACTCATGCACAATTAATCCCAGCCACACTGCTTGTTTCCTCTGGTTGGATTTTTTATTTGAACAGGAAATGCATTAGGAATAAAATGGTAAAAAGGAGTGCAGGTCTTCTTAGAATCGGATATGAGCAGTCTGACTGCAGTCCTGGGTTCCTCACGGACTCCTTTTGGGCTGTCTCTAAATGCCAGGGGAACTATGTGCTTTATGCAGCCTGACCACGTAGAGTATTTTATTCAGGTTTCCATACGAGCCATGTCAGAACTTCTTTCCTGAGAGCTCACATTCATGGCATCACAAATTTACAACACATGTGCTTTGACTGATGAATACCACTGGTCAATTTGTTTTTTATTGGCCTTTTGTTTGAGGGGGCAGGTGATCTAGAAACATGCTGGGGGAATCCGAGGAGTCATTGTGGCCAACTGCCTCATTTTATTGATGGGTAGATTGAGTTCCAGAGAGAATTAGTAGTTACCCAAGAGTAAACATGTAATTATTAACAAAGCATATAAGGCAGTTTTCCTCAGGGTTCTGGATATTATTTCACAAATAAGGATTAAAGTTCAAGGAATCATTCCTAGATATCTAAGAAATGACCAGACAGCTAAAAGAGTAATCTTATTAAGGCCTGTCTCTTAGCATGTGTTTCCCCTGCTCAAAAACCTCATGACTCTTTGCTTTCCATTGAATAAAATAAATGTCATTGACATCCTCTGGGGTCCACCCCAACCTATCTCTTCAGCCTCCTCTCTTATTTTCCACGTATTATATCCTTCAGATGATTCCCCATTTCTTAGTGCTCCATATGTGAAGTCTGCAGAGATCCTGCTTCTCCTAGAAGTCACTGTTCACATCCAACCGCTTCCCTGAAGCCTCCACTTGCCATGCCAGGGACTTTGCTTTGGTGCTGTTGCTGTTTGTCTTTGCTCCATAGCACTTATCACATTAGATCTTTCTTTAAGCGTGTTGCTTCTGCATTGTAAGAGGCAGGGACTAATTTGTTTGTCTTTTTCTGTTCCACAATGCCTCCTCTATGATAGGTAACCATCTAATATTTGTTGATTTAAATAGCCATTTACCTGCCTTTTTGATTTCTGGCCTCATTTTCGACTTCTTAAATATGTTGTATGAATTAACTAGAAAAGAGGTTTAAGAAATGAATGTTTTTGATGCTTCCCTGGCATGACAAGTATCTGGGAAAATGTGAAAGCATACCTAACTCCATTCTGGGAAGAATGTTTACGCTATAAAATCACCTACTCACCAGATCAAAGTAAAAGGAAGTACTTTTTCTTCCTTCAGTCGTATGACTAACTGTCTGCAGGTGGGAGCTTCAGCAGCTTGCGATTGGAGTGTACACTAACTGGTGACTTCAATTCCAGAAAAGCAAAGCAGTCAGAAGAGTCCTGACTCTAAGTTAAGGGATGAAGTCCTGAAAGGTTTCAGATGTTCAAGGATTAGAAAGGTGGACTTGGAGGATGGGGAATGGAGGTGCAGCTTGAGAAGGAAAGCACTTGTTTATACCCCTGGTGGCTTACTAAAGGATTAAAGAGGCGGGGGAGACTGATATATGACCTGACCTGGACTTCTAAAGGGGTGCTGTTTCTCTTTCACACGACTTTTCCTGCAAAACCTTTGGAGTAGCAGAATGCCTCTATCTTCAGCAAGTAAAGCAGCCAAGCCAGTTTGACCAGCTTGAGGGAAACACCAAACAAAGCTGGCAACTCCAATCACATGCATACTAGTTACTCATTATCTTCTGGCCTCTGGAGAAAGATAGAGTAGCTCGCTGATTGGATCCTGAGGTTGAAATAACTCCACATCTCACTGCGCTCCGACTAGAGCAACGAGAAGAGTGTCTGGAATGGTTGGGAGACATTTTAAGCAGGACAAATCCAGCCTTAGGCTAGACTGCACCTGTCCACAGCCCAGCCCAGGCCCATGGAAAAGAATAGTAAAACCTTTGTCTTTAAGCACATAGAATATGTGTGAAACCCAGAAGGCTAGAAAAGAAAGGGAAGTGGAGGAGAAAAGGCACTGGGACTCCAGCTGGGAGTATGAAGACTACGGGAGTGTACGGAAAAGGAACCTTACAGTGCTGGATGGACTCTACAGAGAAAATGACTTGGATCCCAGGTACTGGGCCAAGGGACAGCATCAGCCCTACAGAAAAAGGGATTGTGGATACTGGGATTTTGAACAGAGTGAACCAAGCTATATGGACTGTGGGGAAGCACATGAAAGTGGAAAGGGCTGTGTGTACCACGGAGGTCATGATGGTTATAGGAGTCCAGAAAATGTAGATTATGAGAGTCTCAGCCCTGGGACGAAGGATAATTCACCTACGAGAAGCCCAGATGTGACCTCGAAAGCTGGTGGATACGGGGAGGCAAATGGCTACTCAGACTGTAAGAATCTGAATTATAATCCTGAGGACTCTAAAAAAGCTGAACAGTTGACTGACTGTAGGGGTTTGGATGATTCTTCAGCGAATTTAGGTCAACCTCAGTTGTGGTATATAGACCATGAGAATGTTAACCATAATCTTGAGGATTGTTGGGCAACTAATTTTTATTGTAGAGAACACAGCAATTTATATCATGTTCCTGGGAGTTATCCTGATGGTCAGCCTGTGAGCTTTTCAGATTCGAATGGTGTCAATGAAGATAAGGAATTTATCAAATACCATGAAGGGGACAGGAATGTTCATCAAAATGACAACATGTATCCCAAAGCAAAGACTCATATTATGGATCAGGGTGATTTTGATACAGAAAATAAAGGCTATGATGCTTTATTTGCAAACTGTGCATATAAATCTCGTAATTCCAGAGGGACAGATTCTCTCCATCAAATGGAGAATTTGGAGTATAATGGCACTGACATACCAAGAACAAAGGCACATGGGGGCAGCAGGATCCTTCTGGATGGTCTGCAGACTCAGTGTACCAGGGGAGAACAAGGAGGACATCATTTGGGGATTCCTCAGAGCTCGTCATTAGAGAAGAACATCTGGCATTTAGAGGAAGAGAAAAAATTAAATGGCCCAGAGACTTGGAGAAGGAATAGTTGCCTCCGCCGCACAGCACCCAGCACCCTGAGGCGCTCAGAGTTCGTGCAAAACAGCAAGAAAACCCAAGGTATGAACTCAGCCAGCCTTCTTAAGATAAAGCATAAAGATAGATTTAAAGGGTAGTTATACCAGGTACTAGGAGCACTTGTGTTCTTAAGGAGCCCGGGCCCTGAACTTCTTATCAAGTGCACCTTGAGTGAGAACAACCTTAGAGATTTAATTACTTTGGAAGGCATTGTACAGAGCAAGAGTATATATACAGTGCTAAAAATATGCAACATTCGGATAGCGCTCTCATGGGAACTTTTATTTACGCTTCCTGGTTTTTTCAGATGTCTCTAATCTCAAGTATCTTTCCTTTCTTACTTTCATGTTTTTGTTCATCTTGTCGAGGCAGCAAGTTTATTATCAGGGCATCAAGCTAAAATTCATTTTCCTGGCATGTTTTTTTTTTTTTCTCTCAGTCTCTACACTTCTTTGGACATTAATGGAAAAGAAGACTTGACTTTATTTTTATTTATTTATTTTTTTGAAACAAGATCTCATTCTGTCCCCCTGGCTGGAGAACAGTGGCACGGTCATGGCTCACTGCAGCCTCAAACTCCTGGGCTCAAGAGATCCTCCCACTTTAGCCTCCTGAGTAGCTGGGACTATGGGTACATGCCACCATGCCCGGCTACTTTTTTATTTTTTTGTAGGGGCAGGGTTTCACCATGTTGCCCAGGCTGATCTTGAACTCCTGGGCTTGAGCGAACCACCCACCTCTGCTTCCCAAAGTACTGGGATTACAAGTGTAAGCCACCATTGCCAGGCCTTCATTTTAATTTTTTTTTTTTACCGCTCCTTTCAGAGCAGGGCTACCCCATAGGCAGTGTGCCCAGAGTAGCCCTGATTTGTTTTATAGATTGTTCACTCCTTGACATTCA
Source organism: Homo sapiens (assembly GCF_000001405.40). Classification (NCBI taxonomy): domain Eukaryota; kingdom Metazoa; phylum Chordata; class Mammalia; order Primates; family Hominidae; genus Homo; species Homo sapiens. Next base: position 99,928,748 of record NC_000010.11, on the reverse strand, counting down.
GGAATCTTAAGTGAATGATGAGTACTGACACTCTTGTGGATTCCAGAAGATTATTTCTAGCTTTCAAATCACTTCATCTCACTGAGCCTTAACTACGTTGTCTGTGAAATGAGAATATTAGGAGTCTTTTATCATGTAGAGGTTCTTTCTTTCTTGCCATTATATCTTTTCTTCAGTTCTCATAAGTGAGCTTTATTTCTACTGTGTTATTTTTATAATTACTGAACTCTCTGTTAAACCTTTCGTGTGTGTGTATGCTGTATGTTGTCTTCATGCCAAACGGCCTTTCTGGTTCTGGCCAATTTTGGGGTCCAGGCTGTGACCAGAGGATAAAGGTTAGTCAGAGAATGTGAATGATCTGAAAAATCCATCTCATGCCCTCCCCTTAAGTAGAAAGTTTCTCGTCTAGGTCTCCTTCAGAATGGGCTGGCTGGTTAGATTTGTACTAGGGGCCACCACAGACTGAAAAGATAAGCCTGCTATGGTCCTGGGATGGCCGGTGGTTTACCTGGTGGTCTTCCAACATGGGCTTGACTTAACTTGAATTTCTGGGGCACCATTTTGGACCTAACAGGCTCTTAACCTGCACCTATAAAGACAAAAATGAAACCAAACCCAGCTTTAGTTGGGAGGCTGAGGTTTTTAGCAGCTAGTCATTTTTTCCTAGGTGCATTTTCTCTCTGAAATGATAGGGACTGGATAACTTCTAAATTCCTTCCAGCTAAAAAAGAAAAAAGTCTGATTCTGTGATTCTTTATATTGGTTTTTGTATTGTTCCTCTTCCCTTCCCCCCGCATCTGTTCCTTTGGTGAACTTTGTTTCCTATGTTTAGTTCCTTATTGTATTAAGCCTCCCAACTGTAATCAAAGTGTGTTTATTCTGTTTGACTTAACAGGAGTGAAACCCTTCTCTCTGCAGTGTTGTAATGTGCCCTCTGATCTCCCTGAAACCAGCTCGGTTCCACCCAATATCATTTCCATTTCTACAACTCTCTTTATCTTTGAGGACTTAACTTTTGAAAGTATATTCATATTTAGTTCACCCCTTTTTGTACCCCTAATATCCTTCTTGACCTATAACAAATTCTGTCTTTACTAGAAATCTTTCAGCATTCTAACGTTCTTTGTTAGCTCTCTCACGCCATTGCCCTTCCTGAATATTACAAGGGAACACTGTGTAATTACACAAAGGAACAAGCATCAGAGTTGGTCTGCCCTGAGTTCAAATCTCAGCTCCACCATTTACTAAATGGCCTTAACTTGACAAAAATTACTTAACCTCTTGGAGCTTCGGATTCTCAATTTGTAAAGTGAAGATAATACCTCTCTCATAATGAGATAGAAAAATAAAACAGTCACATATCCGGAACATAGTAGGTGCTCATAAATGGCCATTTCTTTGTGTTTTATCTGCCCACCTCCCTTCCCCTTTATAAGTTGCGCCACCCACCTGTCACTCCATGGTTTCGTCTCTGAGTTCCAGATTGATAGTCCCTGCTCCCTGTTGGACATCTACCCTAGACCGTAAACACTTCAAGTTTGATTGTCTAAGTGGAATGTCCTGTCCCTTCCTCTTCTCCCGTCTTCCCCTTGCCACCCCTCCTCCATCTGAGACAGAGCTCTGTTCAGTGGCTGCTCTCCAGCCTCTCCCCCAGGCAGGAAGCCAAGTTTTCCCCCAGGCTTTCCTTTCTCACCGGCCTGATCAGTCATTCTCCTGAGGCCTCCATCTGAGGTTTTTTTAGGGCAGGTCTGTTAGGGGTTTGCTCTTAGTCCTAGGGTGTGGACCTCTAGTTCTGAGAGGTGGGCCTTATTCCTAAGGTGTGGCCCTTCGGAGGTTTCAACAGAAAACTGGAAGTGTTTATTGAACCTCCTAACTTGGAGGGACTCAAATTTCAAACTGTGTCTTCCCAGAGCCAGACAGTTGGTGAAGATCTATCTGCTGGGCTCTTCTGGCCTCCAGCTTTCCACGGGGTTCCTTGGAGTCTCATCACCTGCATGCACAGTTGAAGGATTGAGAGGCATTTCTGCACAGATTTTGGGGCTCTCCTCTCTGTGGCTTACTGTTTTCCAGGATTTCCCCCTTAATAGCTAATGTCTTCAGAGCCCCCAGACTGGAACCTTTGGCTGCTCAGCCCAGTAAGATTGCCCCATGTGGGCTTTCTTCTTTTGCTTTATTTCCCGGCGTCCTAAAAGACTAGGGAGTGCCCTGAGGGGAGGACTGGAGACAGGTGCATCTTACCTAGTTTGCTTCCCTTGTTTTGAGTCATATCCCCTCCAAATTCTGCCTGCTTTTGATTGCTTTTCAGTGCCTGCATATAGTTATTTTTTAAAATATCTGTCAGAAGGCTGAGGTGGGAGGATCACTTGAGCCTGGCAGGTCGAGGCTATAGTGAGCTATGATGATGCCACTATACTGCAGCCTGGGTGACAGAGTGAGACCACATCTCTAGAAAAATAAAAGTAAATAAAAGTTAAAAAAATAAATCTTGTAAAGTGTTTTTGGTAGTTATAAGTAGGGAGATTAGTACAATGTGAGCTACTCTACCATTACTAGACCAAGTGTGGGCACTAGGGTTTTGCACTTGCTAATAACATACATGGTTATGATGAGAAGGGGACCTGGTGTTTCAAATTCCACGTTACCTGTTTTGCATGTAAATAATATTAGGATATCTAAATGAAGAGCTCTTACAGAGAAAACTATGAAACTAGAGAGGGCTCTAAACAAAACTAGAGAGGGCTAAAGGTTCAGGGTTGGAAGGCTACAAAATAGGAGCCTCTTATGTTATTACTGGAAGGAAGCTTATATAGCCACAATCCCATGTTTTTGTAAATAATGGGTAGCCACTCATGACTGGGTCTTGAAGTCTGTTTGGGGGTTGCAATCAGCAGTTCTGAAAAATAAAAGTAAATAGAAAAAACTTTCATACTACATTCTATGTAGTAAAAGTAAGCATGTAATACTTTGTGTATGTGTATGTGTATAGACATAAATGTATTATGTAAATGTGAGTTACAGCCTAAAGTGTGGGTCAGGCCAGGCACAGTGGCTCACGCCTGAAATACCAGCACTTTGGGAGGCCGAGGTGGGCAGATCACTTGAGGTCAGGAGTTTGAGACCAGCCTTGCCAACATGGTGAAACCCCCTGTGTACAAAAATACAAAAATTAGCTGGGCATGTTGGTGGGCGCCTGTAGTCCCAGCTACTCCGGAGGCTGAGGCGGGAGAATCGCTTGAACCCAGGAGGTGGAGGTTGCAGTGAGCTGAGATTGTGCCACTGCACTCCAGCCTGGGCGACAGAGTGAAACTGTGTCTCAAAAAAATAAAATAAAAAATAAAGTGTGGGTCACAGTAAAAAATGTTTGAAAAACACTTAAATACAACCCATTTATTTTATAAATGAAGAGATAGAGCTCAGAGAAATTGAAATGTGTTTCCAAGGTAACTGGGTCAAGGATTAGGGCAGGAATAGAATCTGGCTCTCTTGACACCTAGAATGCTTTTCCAGCATTACCACATTTGAAGGCAGAAGCACAGCCGTAGATTGAGTCTGCAAAGATGAATTTAGAATATCAGAAAAGTGTTAGGTATTTCTCTGCAGAGTGCACAGAAAAAAAAAGTGTTAGGAAAGTCAGAGGGAGGCTGCCAACAGAGGTTGCAACTATATTATAGACAGCAGAGGTGCAAAGGTGCAAGAGAGGATATGGACTCGGGAAAGACCTTTGCATTTGGTAGGTTGGTGGAGGGTAGGAGCAGGGGCACAGAGCATATGACAGGGAGTTTAGGAGGGCAGTGGTGATAAGGATATGAAAGCAGTCCCTTAAAAGTTGGGACAGTAATTGCTGTGGAGCAGGAAAATCTTCTGTTTTGTCTTTCTCCCAAGATAAGAAAAACCTGCATTGATTTGAAGGCACTTTTGCGAAGTAGTACACAGACAGCTCAAAGTTTTTAGGACTCTGGTATTCAAGATTTCTTTTCATTGCAAACATGTGAACATGATATCTGTTCCAACAGTCTGTATTCAAGCTTATTATTAATATACCAGCACATAGATCCCATATCTCCTTTAATTGCAGTCCACCAGGTGTTTATTAACTAATGTCTGTACTTGGCATTGTACCAAGCATTGAAGGTATCCAGAGAAGGCAACTATACTCTTAAACACCTGCCATGCAGGAGCTTGCAGATCAGTTGAAGAGACAAAATACAAAAGAAGTATGTATAGCATAGACAGTAAATGCTATGGACAGTTGGAAGGTAGACCAGGTTTTTTGTTTTCTTTTTTGTTTTTTGTTTTTGTTATTTTTGAGACGGAGTCTCGCTCTGTCGCCCGGGCTGGAGTGCAGTGGTGCGATCTCAGTTCACTGCAAGCTCTGCTTCCTGGGTCCATGCCATTCTCCTGCCTCAGCCTCCCGAGTAGCTGGGACTACAGGTGCCCGCCACCACGCCTGGCTAATTTTTTTTTTTTGTATTTTTAGTAGAGACGGGGTTTCACCGTGTTAGCCAGGATGGTCTCGATCTCCTGACCTCGTGATCCACCCGCCTCGGCCTCCCAAAGTACTGGGATTACAGGTGTGAGCTACCGCCACCGCACCCGGCCTGGAGCCTTACTCTGTTGCCCAGGCTGGAGTGCAGTGGCACAATCTCAGCTCACTGCAACCTCTGCCTCCCAGGTTCAAGCGATTCTCCTGTCTCAGCCTCCCGAGTAGCTGGGATTACAGGTATGCACCACCATGCCTGGCTAATTTTTGTATTTTTTTGTAGGGACGGGGTTTCACCATGTTGGCCAGGCTGGTTTCAAACTCCTGGCTTCAGGTGATCCACCCATCTCGGCCCCCGAAGTGCTGGGATTACAGACGTGAGCCACTATGCCCAGCCGAAAGACCAGTTTTTGCTTGAGCTATTAGAAAAGACTGTAGGGAAATGTTTGAACTTGGCTGAAACTTAAAGAAATAATGGAGTTGGGATAGGCAGAGAGAAGCAAGGAGAACAGTTCTGGTTGGGGAAACTATGAGAAAGACATAGGGTTGTGGTGACAAAGACGTGGGGAAGGTGGTGAGGAACACAGTGGAGGAAAGAACTAGAGTACTGAAATCTTAGACGCCAGTAGGAGTTTGGGTTGGAGCTCAAGGAAGAAATCAGAGCTGGGCCTGTATGGAGGTGAGCCACCTCCATAGCTGTATCACTGAGATACAGCTCAGGTACAGAGGGAAGGAACAGCTGGGGAGAGGAGCAGGTGCCTGAGAACTGAGCCTCAGAGATGCCCACAGTTACAGTGCAGGAGGAGGAAGGCAGTAAGAGAGATGGGGCAAGAATATTGGAAGAGGTCAGGAGGAAATCAGAATTTTATTATTATTTTTTTTGGAGACGGACTCTCACTCTTTTGACCAGGCTGCAGTACAGTGGTGTGATCTCAGCGCACTGCAGCCTCCGACTCTGGTGTTCAAGTGATTCTGCCTCAGCCTCCCGAGTAGCTGAGATTACAGGCATGTGCCACCACACCTGGCTAATTTTTGTATTTTTAGTAGAGACGGGATTTCACCATGTTGTCTAGGCTGGAGTCGAACTCCTGACCTCCTGATCCGCCCACCTCGGCCTCCCAAAGTGCTAGGATTACAGGTGTGAGCCACCACACCTGGCCCTAATTTTTGTATTTTTAGTAGAGACAGGGTCTTGCCAAGTTGGCCAGGCTGGTGCTGAACTCCTGACCTCAGGTGATCTGCCTGACTCGGCCTCCCAAACTGCTGGGATTACAGGAGATGTCAATGTCTGAAGCTATTTGGTATGCAACAAGATCCTCAAAGTGTCAAGAAAAAGAAAAGGAGAAAATGTTTGAAGATAAATGGGGTAGTTAAGAGGCAAAGGAGAGGGAAAAAATAAATATGTGGAGGCAAGAGGAAATGAATGCAGGGCCATATTTCTTCAAGAGTTGGGAGATAACTGAAGCTTTCGAGTAAATTAGGCACTCCTCTTCCAAGATTGGAATGCTCCAATTTGGCCAACTCTCATCCAGCCTTGCTTCCTGGGATCATGAGTTGTATTCTCAAGAAGCTAGACAAACAAAATTAGCAGGGTATGGTGGTGCGTGCCTGTGGTCCCAGCAGTTCAGGAGGCTGAGGTGGTTAAGATTGCTTGAGCCCGGGAAGTTGAGGCTGCAGTGAGCTATGATTGCACCACTGCACTCCAGCCTGGGCAAGAGAGTGAGATCTTTTTTTTTTTTTTAAGAAAAAAAAAAAAAAAAAAAAAACAGCAGCAGCTAGGTTATGTGTTTTCTTCCCAAGCCATTACCTATGTTATTTTTACATAACATTCCATCAACAATGAAGGAATGTTGGTCTGGGGAGACCCCAGGCCTCTGTAAAAGCGAGAGATATCAAGGAAAGGCAAGATAATGAGTTAGGATGGGAAGATGTACTCTTCTAGGGTATCTTCTTTCATATGGACCTGAGGGTGTTAAGGGGTACAGTGGGAAGGGGGAGTGAATCAAAGCAACTAACTTGCAATATCATGGCATGCTCAGGTGGGACCTCAGATCTCTGACTCATTCGCCCTGATACCACAGTTTTCCAATTTGATATTTCCTGAGAAACCAGGAAGTGCCCGTGGCTGTACATAAATACCAGGCCAACAGGCTACAGGGGTGTGACAGTGCTGGTAGTCATATTTGGGAGGAAGATCCATGTTTGTATTCATAGCTGCACAGCAGACCTGGTTCCACAGTGTCAGACACCCCTTTCTTCTCATCATAAACTGAAAGGAAACAAATCAATGAAATATATTGCATTTCATTGAATCCAAAACATCACAATCATAGCAGAGTGATGCTTAGGGCACTCTGCTAAGTAATACTAGTTGCTGCTTTTTTTTTTTTTTTTTTTTTTTTTTCAGATGGAATCTCACTCTGTTGCCCAGGCTGGAGTGCAGTGGCGTGATCTTGGCACACTGCAGCCCCCACCTCCCAGGTTCAAGCGATTCTCATGCTTCAGCCACCTGAGTAGCTGGGACTATAGGCATGTACCATCACACCCAGCTACGTTTTTGTATTTTTTTTTTTTTTCAGTAGAGACAGAGTTTTGCCATGTTGGCCAGGCTGATCTCAATCTCCTGGCCTCAAGTGATCCACCTGCCTCAGCCTCCCGAAGTGCTGAGACTACAGGCATGGGCCACCACACCTGGTCTCAATTGCTGCCATTTATTAAATGCCATTTGCTGTGCTAAGTACTGTAGGTTGAGTGCATACAGAGTACACAGGTCAGTCCAGTAGAGTCTAAGCTCCATGATAGCAGTGGATGAAGATGGTATTTCCAGAATCTAACATAGTACTTGGCATATAATAGATGCTCAATAAATATTCTACTTTGGGTCCCAGAATGTGTGTATCAGAAGTTAAATAGCAAGGGTTATTACCTGTTGCCGAAGAGGTGAATTTCGAGGAAAGAGCAATCCAAGGACTAGAGAAAGTGTCATGGAGAAGCTGGGATTTGAGCTTTAAAAGACAGTAGGTGAGCAGAAAGGATGGAAAAGGCCCAGAGACAAGCTAGGCTTGTCCTGTTCAAGGACTAATAGGGAAACAGACCATTAAACTTTGTTGTTACAGGTTTCATAATAGTGGCAGGTGCCCAGTTCTCTGGGCTCGCTGAGAGGAAATGACTAACTGGATGATTAGAAAGAGGCCTCCCATAGTAAGTGATGTTCCTTGCGGAACTGGTTAGAAGTTGGTGTACTCATACCCAACTGAGAGGAGTAAATGAAGTAAAAGAGTGGGAAGTCGGCTGGGCATGGTGGCTCACACCTGTAATCCTAGCACTTTGGGAGGCTGAAGCAGGAAGATTCCTTGAGCTCACGAGTTGGAGCCCAGCCTGAGCAACATAGTGAGACCCCATCTCTACAAAAGATTAAAAAAATAACTGGGCGTGGTGGCTTGTGCCTGTGGTTCCAGCTACTTGGGAGGATTGCTTGAGCCCAGGAGGTTGAGGCTACAGTGAGCTTTGAGTGTGCCGCTGCATTCTAGCCTGGGCAACAGCGAGACTCTGTCTCAAAAACAAAACAAAAAAGACTGAGAAGTCGCGTCAGAGTTCAGAGCTGAAAGTGACAAACAGGCCCAACCCCTTTGTTACACACACAGAAGCAACAGCCCAGAAAGGTTGTATAACATGTCCAAGGTCACACAGGTAGGAGGGAGGCAGGGTGAGGCCTTCTGAATTATTGTCTGAGTGCTTTATTCACCACACCTGCTGCTCTCCCAAGATCTAGGAGCAGCTCCACATATATCCCCAAAAGTCGAAGTCTGGGAAGAGATAGGGGAATGAAGTGACTTTACCCCACCCATATCCTAGGTTTAATCAGATTTTACCATCAAAATATTGGAAATATAGGGCTGGGCGCGGTGGCTCACACCTGTAGTCCCAGCACTTTGGGAGGCCGAGGCGAGTGGATCACCTGAGGTTGGGAGTTTGAGGCCACTGTGACCAACATGGAGAAACCCCTTCTCTACTAAAAATACAAAATTAGCCAGGCGTGGTGGCGCGTGCCTGTAATCCCAGCTACTCGGGAGGCTGAGGCAGGAGAATTGCTTGAACCCAGGAGGCGGAGGTTGCGGTGAGGCGAGATCACATCATTGCACTCCAGCCTGGGCAATAAGAGCAAAACTCTGTCTCAAAAAAAAAAAAATGGAAATATAGTAATCCTTATTTTGAGAGATTAGGTTCACCCTTTTAAATAAATAAAACCTAAACACTTACTACCTAAGTTTATTCTATTTTGTCTTATTCTTTTGTTTCATGAATTTATATCTTGCCTGTTAGACTAGATTCATTCACTCAAATGGAACTAACTTTAAAGACCATCTAGTTTAACTCCAGTTATTTTGCTATTCCTGAAGTTCCAACAGATGAAACAACTTGACTGAAACTACAGAATGCTTTAGAGGACATTTCAGCTTTCCATATCCTTGCCCCAGCTCCCAGATGGAGTCTTCCTCTGTCGCCCAAGCTGTAGTGCCGTGGCACCATCTTGGCTCACTGTAGCCTCCGCTTCCCAGGTTCAAGCGATTCTCCTGCCTCAGCCTCCCAAGTAGCTGGTGGCGCACGCCACCACATCCGGCTAATTCTTGTATTTTTAGTAAAGACGGGGTTTTACCATGTTGGCCAGGCTGGTCTCAAACTCCTTACCTCAGGTGATCAACCTGCCTTGGCCTCCCAAAGTGCTGGGATTACAGGCGTGAGTCACAGCACCCAGCCTATAATTAAAACTTTAAACGATTATAATTTAGATCAACTGATTTTTGGGGAGGAAGGTGGGATAGTTGTAAAAGATATATAAAATGTTATGAGAGCAAGTGGAAGGAATAAAAGTAAACCGCCTAATTAATATAAACTGAAGAAAGTGATTTTTATAGAGTAGGAGAGAAAAATAGAGGGTTATGTAGTTGAGCAAATTTTGAACCATCACTGTAGTGTTAATGGAAATATAATGCAGGAAATGGCCATGCTTTTATGGATAAGACACAAAATCCAGAACGGGCCTTGACGTTTAATGGAGAGCACTGGCTTGGGAGGCCAGTTTTGAATATGCTGCTTTATGAGCTGTTTGGTCTTAAACAAGTCATTTTATTCCTCTTTGCCTGTTTCCTCATTTGTAAAACGTGAGCACTATTACCTTGCCTCAAGAGCCTTGGTAAAATAGAACATCGGATTCTGTGTGTATGTGTGTAGAAAATAGAGCTTTTCATGTAAAGTTTTATTGACTGACATAAAAATTTGCTTATTAAACAGTGATAACTTTAATTTTACAAAAATTATCTTTGCTGTGTCGATTATTTTACTTATGCTGCCTAAAGATTAAAAAATAATAATCCCACAGTTTTAAGATTATCAGCATACCATGCTAGGATTTATGTGTATTTGGTGAGTGTTCAGAAATGGTGTTTGAGTTACTCCTAGTATTAAACTCACTATCCTGCAGCATAAGAAGTTGCAGACCATGGTGAAACCTTGTCTCTACTAAAAGAACAAAAATTAGCTGGGTGTAGTGGCAGGTGCCTGTAATCCCAGCTACTCGGGAGGCTAAGGCAGGATAATTGTTTGAACCTGGGAGGCGGAGGTTGCAGTGAGCCCAGATTGTGCCACTGCACTCTAGCCTGGGCGACAGTGAGACTCCTTTTCAAAAAAAAAAAAGAAGTTGCAGACTCCTGTAATTTGGGCACTTGATCCTCATTTGTTGTCCTGTTTGCCTAGATTGGGACCTGGATATGAAAAGGGGAAAGGGAGGCTTTGAGCTGGGTCTCCGAGGTGGAATTTCTCCCAGCAGGGATTTTACTTCAGGCTACTTGCCAAAATAGACCGACATTACAGAGCAAAAGCCACCAGGAACGTTTTTCCTCTTGCTGTTGAGATTTAGGACCTAACTGTAATAGATTTACCTCTGAAGTTTGGTGATCCAGGAAGTCTGCTATGAGCCCTGCAGCTCTGGAAGTTTTACACAGAGCAGGATAAAATTTCTCCAAGTAGAAGTAAAGTAGGTGCTAGAGGAAAAGCAGTGGGGGTTGGGTGGGCTGGCCAGAGTGTTGTGGTAACACGGAAAACCAGGGTTTGTGATTCCTCCAGGCAGGGCTGGGGAGAAGATGAGCACGTGTACAGACAAATCGCCTCCTCTCAGGGTTTGCTGCAGAAAGACTGCTTCTAGATGCGTTGCTAGGCAGGCAGTTGTGTTTTTGCTTTCTATTTTGCATATTATTTCAACAATGTTTTCCTTTCTTTTCTTTTTTTTTTTTTTTTTTTTTTGAGACAGAGTCTTACTCCATCGCTCAGGCTGGAGTGCAGTGGCACGATCTTGGCTCAATGCAACCTCTGCTTCCTGGGTTTAAGGGATTCTCCTGCCTCAGCCTCCTGAGTAGCTGGGACTACACTACAGGTGGGCACCACTGCGCCCAGCTAATTTTTGTATTTTTTTTAGAGACGGGGTTTCACCATGTTGGCCAGGCTGGTCTCGAACTCCTGACCTCGTGATCCACCCGCCTCGGCCTCCCAAAGTGCTGGGATTGCAGGCATGAGCCACCGCGCCCAGCCCCTATTTTCTTCATCCATTTATAGGGATTGATAGGTCAGGAAAGAAACCTCAGATTATTAAAATGTAAAGAACGTTTGAAATGGACTAACGGTAGTTGGGGGCTGACTGTTAGAACATTCTCGTTTTACAGCAAATGTTCTTTTTTCTACTTTATTATTCTTTGTCATAGCAATATTATATATTCATCATAGAAATACTAGAAATGGGAATAAGTGAAAAGAAAGGAAAAACTCGGTTTCTGTCACCTTTAACACTCTTTTCAAATATGTGCATTTAAAATATTTTTCCCTTTTTAACAAAACTACAATTCTTTCATAAACTTTTTTCAGCAATTCACGTTAGATGTCACCCAGGCTGGAGTACATTGGCACAACCTCAGCTCACTGCAACCTCCATCTCCCAGGTTCAGGTGATTCTCCTGTCTCAGCCTCCAGAGTAGCTGGGATTATAGGCGCGTGCCACCACAACCAACTAATTTTTGTATTTTTAGTGGAGACGGGTTTTCGCCATGTTAGCCAGGCTGGTCTTGAACTCCTGACCTCGGGTGATCCACTGCCTTGGCCTCCCAAAGTTCTGGAATTATAGGTGTGAGCCACTGCGCCTGGCCTTATAAGAGTATTTTATTATATGGGCATGCCATAGTTTATTTACCTGGGCCCTTTTGCTCTTTTGGTTTTTTATTGAGACAGAGTCTCACTCTGTCACCAAGGCTGGAGTACAGTGGCGTGATCTCGCTCACTGCACCCTCCGCCTCCTGGAATTAAGCAATTCTTCTGCCTCAGCCTCCTGAGTAGCTGGCACTACAGGCACACTCCACTGCTCTCTACCCAGACCCTTTTGAGGAAATTTTAGTTCTTTCTGTTTAGGTTGCTTCTAAGCTTTTTAAAACATTGACCATCCCTGAATGAACATATTTGTGCCCTTGTCCAATTATTTAGTAGAATAAATTCCTAAAAGCAGGCTTCTGGGCTATAAGGTTTGATTTTTTTTAAAGTAGATAAAGTATTGAGGTTCGATTTTTTTTTTTAAGTAGAAAAAATATTAAAGTTTTAATTTACTCCCCTATCCCTCTTTGCCCTCGATTTTAACTTTTAAAATGAAAAGACTTAATAAAATTGGCCTTTCCCTTCATTTCACATAATTTCTGCCATAAATTACCTGGAATACCGTTGCATATTTTCTGTGTATGACACAACTAGGTTAGATTCTGTCTGAGGGATTTACTTATTTATTTTTTTATTTTGAGACAGAGTCTCGCTCTGTCGCCCAGGCTGGAGGCGCAGCCTCTGCCTCCCAGGTTCCAGCGATTCTCCTGCCTCAGCCTCCTGGGTAGCTGGGATTACAGGCACACGCCACCACGCCCAACTAATTTTTGTAATGTTAGTAGAGACAGAGTTTCACCATGTTGGCCAGGCTGGTCTCAAACTCCTCACCTCAGGTGATCCGCCTGCCTTGGCTTCCAAAAGTGCTAGGATTACAGGCATGAGCCACTGTGCCCAGCCTGTCTAGGTAATTTATGTTATATTGGGTGGCATTTTATAAATGCAATCATATTAATATGTGCAAATATGCTTAAATGTATCATTGTTCACAGTCTTATTGTGGGCAAACTGTGGCTCTAATTATCAGGTTAAATTGTGCTCTAGAATTGCACCACTTTGCTATTAGCTACCAGATGGCTACCAAAACCCAAAAGTGGAATTCCAGGTTAGAATGCATATGGTTTGCCTTCCTGGGAAAAAAAGAGACAGAATAGCTATTGGTAAAGAGCACAGACTCTGGAGCCAAGGTAGGTTGAAATCTCAGCTCTTCTACTTACTGGGGCAGTTACTTAATTTTTCTTCCTTCCTCATCAGTAAAATGGGGACAATAATAGGGTGTTTTGAAGCTAAATTAATATTTGTAAAATACCTAGAACAGTGCATGACACACATAGTGCCATATAAATATTTGTTTTCTTTTCTTTTTGACACAGGGTCTCACTCTGTTGTCCAGGCTGGTGTGCAGTGGAGCTATCACAGATCACTGCAACCTCAACCTCGAAGGCCCAGGTGATCCTCCCACTTCAGCCTTCGGAGTAGCTGGGACTACAGGCACGTGCTACCACGCCCAGCTAATTTTGTTTGTTGTTTGTTTTGTAGAGACTGAGGGTCTCACTATGTTGCCCAGGCTGGTCTCGAACTCCTGGTTTCAAGTGATCCTCCCGCCTCTATCTCCCAAAATGCTGGAATTATAGTCATGAGCCACTGTGCTCAGCCAGTATGACTTTTTTTTTTTTAATTATTTTGTTCCTGTGAGGTTAAAAAGTACTGGTTAAGTTTGAGTCCCCATTGATCTCAACTTCTCCCCCAAATCCTAGGTCCTTCCCTGAGACAAACTCTGGGATGAATTTCGTGTGTTTTCCTTCCAGACCTTTCTCTCTACACTTACATAATTTTATATATATGCGTGTGTGTGTGTGTGTGTGTATGTATATATGTATATGTGTGTATATGTGTGTAGATGTATATATGTGTATATGTGTATATATATGTATATATATGTGTGTGTGTGTATATATATATATATATATATTTTTTTTTTTTTTTGAGACAGAGTTTCACACTTGTTGCCCAGGCTGGAGTGCAATGGTACGATCTCGGCTCACTGCAGCCTCTACCTCCCAGGTTCAAGCGATTTTCCTGCCTCAGCCTCCCAAGTAGCTGGGATTACAAGTGTGTGCCACCACACCAGGCTAATTTTTTTGTATTATTAGTATAGATGGGGTTTCACCATGTTGACCAGGCTGGTCTTAAACTCCTGACCTCAGGTGATCCACCCATCTCGGCCTCCCAGGGTGCTGGGATTACAGGCCTCACGTGAGCCACTGCGCCCAGCCTATATGTTTATATAGAAATATGTATGGGTTTTTGCAGATTTTCCTTTCTTTCGTCTCTTTTCCCCGTTCTCCATTTTCTTACAAAATTGTGCATTTTCTTAAAAAATTGTGGCATATTGTTGTGTGCCTTTCTTCTCCCTGGTTCATTTAAGTGTAAATGTTTGGAAGATGTGAGCGGGACTCCCAGTTCCTGTGAATCACTCCTGCCATCCCTGTTCTTGCTGTCCTGGGACTACCCAGCTGAAATCTGCTCTGTGATGGCTTTAGGGTTCATTGCCTAAAGGAGGGGGAGGTTTGGGGTCCCTTGGCTAAGCTGTGGGTGAAAGACTGCATAAAGAGGCTCAGGAGCAGACTAAACAGGCAACTGCTGCCCACTTCACAGTTTTGCCTCTCATCACAAGAGATGGCTGGGCCTTTGGAATTCTTTCCTCAAAAGGGCATTCCCCATTTCCCACGCAAAACAACAACAAAAAGGCTTAGCATGGGGTAGAAAAGGAAGAGATAATAATCTTAGATTCAAACTCCAGAGGTGGAATTTCGAGGGTTTTAGGACTAGGAAAGAACACCAAATAGAAAGGAAGGTGTTGATCCAGGTACTGCTGGGCCCGCTGGTGCACTTCTCAGTCCAGTACGCTTAGGGTTCCAGCTCCATCCTTTAGGACAAGCCCTGCTGTGATAGCCCGGGTGACTTGCGCGATTCATATGTAAATGTGGGAAGCCTGGGGGAAATGCCGACCCTATTCAAAGGAGTTTGGGGGGTTGTGGAGCATTCCAGAGCTCTGGGAAGATTCTGTCCCGCCTGCTTACCCTCAGGCCCACACCTCCACACACAGCCAGCTCTGGGCACTGCAGGTAGGTCCTGGGGTGTGGGAGCCAGCACAGAAGGAAGTGGAACAGGCAGCCTCTTCGTCCCTGTTCAAGGGCACCTGGGATCTGGCCGGGAGCTCAAAATTTTCCCCATTAGAGATAGATCCAGCTTTCTGAGGCAAGGGAAGGGCGCATGGCTCTGCTCTTTAACTCTGAAGTGTGTGTGATGGAGTTGTGGGAAGCCGTGGGCTAATGACTCCCTTCCTTCGAACTTTAGGAAGTGAGCCTGGTGATAATGTACTAACCGGAAAGGGCTGGGGGTGTCTTGAGAAGGAATGGAATCAGGACTTGGGGTGGGGGGTAAGCCACAATCACTGAAGGAACCCCACAACTAATTGTTTTATCACAGGAAGTAAATTTGTGCAACAGTCCCAGCTCCTTTAACACCTGCCGGGCTATCCTAGGAAGAAAGTAAGAGCTCGTCTGCACATTTTATTGTTCTCATAGAAAAGTGGAATTTTAGAGTCTGCACAGGGCACTTTTCTGCTTGGTACATTTTACCAAGTGTATTTACCATCTATCAGGTGCAGATGGCATATTCGGGCCCATTGTGGGAAAAGGACTTATGTTTGTTGGGTTATTACCTTGTTTAACTCCCTCAACTACTCTGCAAAGCAAGTATTATTATCCTCATTTTATAGATTGGGAAATTGAGGCCAAGAGATAAAAGTGGACATTTCCAAGGCTCCCCAGCTACATAGTGGGGAAGTGCAAGATTCAAAGCTTCTTTTTCCACCACAGCTGGCTGGGGGTGAAGGCCGCCTTCTCCCGCTTTGTTGTCCGGGATACTAAAAATTTAATTTTTTTAGAGACGGGTGTCTCACTATATTGCCCAGGCTGGTCTTGAACTCCTGGGCTCCAGCAGTCTTCCCACCTCAGACTCCCAAAGCGCTAGGATTACAGGCATGAGCCACCACGCATGGCCCAGATACTAAAATTTTAGAGCAGATATTTTTATTAGAATATATGTGGCATAAAGGAAAAAGTTTTTATACTTACAGTCATTTCAAGCCAGACTTTAAAATTTGACTTAATCTTTGAAAACTCTCTTTGAGTGTTAATAAATGTTTGTGGCACCTGAAGGTCACCTGTGTCTTCAGAAATACCTTGGGTTGCCAGGAGCAGTGACACATGCCTATAGTCCCAGCTACTTGGGAGGCTGAGGTGGGAGGATCGCTTGAGAGCCCCAGGAGTTTGAAACTAGTCTGGGTAACAACCCCCTCCTTTAAAGAGAGAGGAAGAGAAAGAGGAGGGAAGGAAACACCTAGGGTTTTATTAAAATTGCGGATACCCCGGTCCCACCCAGGTTTGCTGAATCTGAATCCCAGGGATGGTGTCCAGGAAACTGCAATATAGTGAAAACATCCCACAGGGGTTTTTAATCACACCAAAGTGTTTGGGTTTTTAAAGGCTGCTCAAGAGTTTATAAACCCCATTTTCGGGGGGTGGGGGCACAGGGGAAGGCACGCTGGTAGTTTAAAAGAATTGTTATTGTTTTTCTCCATTTTAAAGAAATAAAAATCTAATACATAGGCTGGCTGGCTTCTGATTGATGAGTAAGTGCTTGCTGGTACTTTGTGTTTTCAACTACTATAATTAGTAGAATTTTGATTCTCAGGAGAGTACACAGTGGTTTCCAGGGAGTTTTTAAGATTTGAAGCAAATAAGCCCCTGACCTTTTCTCATTGAGATTCCAGGCCAGGGAAACCAAATGGTGCAGGATTAAGTGCACAGGATTTGGATTTAAATATATTTAGGTTCTAAATCCACAACTGCCATTTACTCACTATATAACCTCAGACAAGTTTGTCAGCCTCTCCAAGCCTGGATTTTCTTACCTATTAAATGGGAGTAATAATACCTACTTAAAAATTCTGATGTGAGTATTAAATGAGTTCAGGGATATAATCTGTAAAGTACCTGGCATGTGATAGGAATTCAGTAAATGTTCTCCCTCTCCAGAGCTTTTTAGTCTTGTATTTAAAATGAGTTTCTATTCTCAACTTGGCACTAATGAGACCATATTTGGGATTGAAAGTCTGTTGCTTTGAGATCACAAAGAAAATTTAAAACAAGCCTATTAGAAATAAATTTTATATGTAACACAATGAATTTAGAATCATAATCGAACACTGATGAAATCAGGGTTATGCTTCAAGTTTTGCCATTCATTCTACCAAAAAGTTCGAGAAAGAGCTTTTTCTGTTATGTCTTAAGTTTTATTTTGAATAATACCAAATATACAGAAAATTGCAATAGTACAATGAAAACTCCTGTATACATTTTATACAAATTCACCCATATTTAACATTTTGCTGTTTTTATCTCATTCTCTGTCAATCCCCACTCTCCACATGCAGTTTTTTTTTCTTTAATGAACTAAGAGTACATTGCATATATTGTGCCCCTTAGTAAGCTTCAGTGTGTATTTTGTATGAACATGGATTTTTTTTTGAGATGGAGTCTTGCTCTGTTCTCCCAGGCTGGAGTGCAGTGGTGCAATCTTGGCTCACTGCAACCTCTGCCTCAGCCTCCTGAATAGCTGGAATTACAGGCAAAATACAAATTTTTGTATTTTTAGTAGAGATGGGGTTTCACCATGTTGGTCAGGCTGGTCTCGAACTTCTGACCTCAGGTGATCTGTCCGCCTCAGCCTCAGACTCCCAAAGTGCGGGGATGACAGGCGTGAGCCACTGCACCTGGCCAGATTTTTTTTTTACTCAGGCTGGAGTGCAGTGGCATAATCTCAGCTTACTGCAACCTCTGCCACCCAGGCTCAAGCCATCCTCCCACCTCAGCCTCCTGAGTAGCTGGGACTATAGGTGTGTGCCAGTCCATGTGCTGCTAATTTTTGTATTTTTTGTAGAGGTGAGGTTTCACCATGTTGCCCAGGCTGGTCTTGAACTCCAAGCTCAAGTGATCTACCCACCTCGGCCTCCCAAAGTGCTGGGATTATAGGCATGAGCCACCACACTTGGCCTAAAATGGTGATTTGCTGACTCCATTATTTCTTCTCTTATTTATCAGCTGACATTCTACCATAACAAAGAGTTTTCTCTTCTCCCCCATTTATTTATGTACTTACATATTATCAATATGTACTTACAGGTTCTTATTCAGTGGAATAATCCATTGTGCTTTTTCATTTATACTCAAATTGTGCCAGATTGGCCAGTGGGAGCCCCTTCAAGCTGGCCTCTGTGCCCTTTGACCTATCCCCACCATGTTGTTGAGTACTTCTTCACTTTCTCCCACATTTCAGGCTCAGCTATACCTTCTCTGCCCCAGCCCTGGAATTAGCCATTTCTTCAAAGAACCCTGCCTCCTTTTAGTGGAGAATGGCATCTAGAAACCAGAATTTGGGTTGTATTCTAAAACACTGGAATTACTTTTTTGAGACAGGGTCTTTCTCTGTCACCCAGTCTGGAGTGCAATAATGGCACTATCTCGTGTCGCTGCAACCTCTGCCTCCTGGGTTCAAGTGATTCTCATGACTCAGCCTCCCAAGTACCTGGGATCACAGGTGTGTGCCACTATGCTTAGCATTTTTGTATTTTTAGTAGAGATGGAAGCTTGCCATGTTGGCCAGGCTGGTCTCGAACTCCTGACCTCAAGTGATCTGCCAGCCTTGGCCTCCCAAAGTGCTGGGATCATGGGCGTGAGCCACTGCACCCGTCCCAGAATTCCTAACTTCTGAGAGAAAGCAGTGTGGAAAGTGTTTTGGAGAATAAAATCTGCTGTGAAGGCCGACTTTCCTTAAGTAGTTTGAACACTTGTGTTTTTGCTTCTTAAACCTGGGTTAAAATAGTCCTGTAATTGTACTCAGACTTACTAGTATATTTACATACCAAATTTGTAGTTGTTTAATTGGATCATAAAGAATTTGATAGACTAAGCAGAGGCTGATTGTTTCACTGCTGTTCTTTTCCTTTGCTTATTACCATGTTTAATGCTCATTTCAGATGAACAAACGCTGTTCCATGTTTATAGATAACTCTCTCATCCTGTGTATCTAAGTAATAGTCAGATAATTGTAAAAGCTAATGACAGGATACATATTTGTTTTTTAGAATAATGCAGTTTAGTTCTTAGAGATTCTTATACTTGAAAATACCATTGATAAGCTTCATGTTTATAGTAAGTTTGTATCTACTAGGACATTTGAGTAACAAAACCTGCTTGTGAGTTTTGGTTAAGGTTTTCATAGGGAAAATCTAAACAATTTTTTTTACCTATTTCATTATATGCTAGTGTTGACCTACCATTACAGTGACTGGAAAATGATAGGTCCTATAATTATCCAGATCTCAGATGGATAATTTCTTATTTTTTATTTTACCCTTAGTTGGCATTGTTCTGTGTTCCCCATAATATTCTGTTTAATGTGCTACATCTGTATTTTGAACTTCCAGCTTGTTATTTCTGGTGCTTTGATCATGGACCATGTTTTATATCTGATTAAGTGAAAGCAAGTCTTATAAGGTCAGACCCCTCTAACCTCTTTTGCAAGGAGCTTGTAGACATGCTTTGTTCACTCAAAGTGGGCTAGCTACTTCTTTTCAGGACACATTCTCAAAATGGTATTGCACAGGTTGGAGTTCTCTCTGCAGTGATGGCTTTCTAAGCGCTTCAGCTGTCCCTGTTTACAACTGACATGTGCGATCTGATTTCCTGAGGGTTGACAATAGTGAGACCTTTGGTTCTCAGGAAATGGGTTCTGTTTGCCTCAAACTGTGGAAGGGTGCTGCTTTTACACCCAGAGCTGCTAACCAGTTCTCTTTTCCCTTCTAGAAATGACGCTCCTCTCCTCCCAGTCTTCATCACTGGTGGCCCCTTCTGGGTCTGTGTCTGCCGAAA
Organism: Homo sapiens; assembly: GCF_000001405.40. Classification (NCBI taxonomy): domain Eukaryota; kingdom Metazoa; phylum Chordata; class Mammalia; order Primates; family Hominidae; genus Homo; species Homo sapiens. Next base: position 99,909,080 of record NC_000010.11, on the reverse strand, counting down.
ATCCAGAGCAGAGGATGCTGGAGAAGAGAGCCAAGGTCATAGAAGAACTTCTTCAGACAGAAAGAGACTACATTCGGGATCTGGAAATGTGTATTGAGCGGATCATGGTACCCATGCAGCAGGCACAGGTGGGAACTGGGAGACAGAGTTAGTTTGACCTTGAATATGGTCCTCCAGGCCAGAAGCATTAGGATATAGGAGCTTTCGCCACAGATTTATTGGATTTGAAATAGAAACTGTGACTGTGAGTGCTGCTGCTCTTAATCAAGGGCCTCAACATACGTGTGTCATCAGCTAAGCCTTCAGCATCCTTTCACTTGTCAAGTCTACTGTTAACCTACCAGACACTGCAGTCACTCCTAGGACACTTCCTGTTTCTGTGGCTCCTGAAAGCAGTTCCAGGGAGTCTGAATCGTGGCCCTGCTAGAAGGCTGAGTGATGATGTAACAAAACCTGGGGGTGAGCAGTTACATGACTCTAGTACCTGTTCATATAGAGTTTATCCAGGAAACCCTTACTAACATGTGAGTAGGCTAGGGACTTTTCTAGATGCTGGAGGTAGTAAGAAAAGGGTAACAATGTCCTGGGGTTTATAGTCCTTGTTGCTTGTAACTTGACCAGCTGGGCTGGGCTTGGGTTTACACCCTTGGAGCATTCACTCCCAAGTACTTCTGCAGCAGGTAGGCAGTGCTACGGGATGTTGGTTGCGGGTGGGAATTTGTATCCCAGTGCATTTGTAGGCCAAATTGGTTCCATTATCACTTTACTAAAGTGCTGGTTGGGGTGGCAGAGAATAGTTGGATCAAGGACAAAGGATGACACTAAAGATAATGTTGGATATTTCTAGTCTGGAAACTTCATGAAAGTGAGTGAAGAAAGTGACCTTGAGCAATTTTTCTACAATTCTTGAAGAGCTGTTCCTAAGATGATTGAAATGCCATTAAGCTCATTTCCGTGCATTTTTATGTTTTGTTTCCTTTTCTCAGGTACCAAACATTGATTTTGAGGGACTTTTTGGAAATATGCAGATGGTGATTAAGGTCTCGAAGCAATTATTGGCTGCTCTGGAAATCAGCGATGCTGTAGGTATGAGCTCCTGTGTTGTTTCAGAAGCAGCTTTTTAAAAAAACTTCATGGGCAGGAGTAAGTGGCCTTCCTGATACTGAGTAACTATGCCTCCGGGAAGATACAGGTGTAGGTACTTAGTCCAGAGGTTACTTGTCCTCTGCTTTCCTTCTGTCTCAGCCTACTTTGGGGTAATAATAGGATGTTAGCAATAGAAGTAGTTTTGGATGTCATACAGTACAATGTTTTTCCACACTCATGGTTGCAGCCCATTACTGGGTCATGAGATCAACTTATTTTTCAAGAAAATACCAGAATGCGGCCAGGCACAGTGGCTCACACCTGTAATCCCAGCACTTTGGGAGGCCATGGCAAGAGGATCACCTGAGGTCAGGAGTTTGAGATCAGCCTGGCCAACATGGTGAAACCCTGTCTGTACTAAAAATAGAGCTGGGCGTGGTCATGGGCTCCTGTAATCCCAGCTACTTGGGAGACCAAGGTTGGAGGATTGCTTGAGTCTAGGAGGTTGAGGCTGCAGTGAGCTGAAATCGCGCCACGAGCCACTACACCACTGCCTGGGGTACAGAGCAAGACTTGGTCTCAAGAAAAAAAAAAACAAAAGAAAATATCAGAATGCACTGTAAGTTTAACTACCAATTTTTGAAACTTATCTGTTGTTTTTTTTTTGACACAGGATTTTTACACTGTCGCCCAGGTTGGAGTGCAGTGGTGCGAATTCAGCTCACTGCAGCCTCAACCTCCCAGCCTCAAGTCATCCTCCCTACCTTGGTCTCCCACATAGCTGGGAATACAGGCATGTGCCACCACGCCCAGCTAATTTTTGTAATTTTTTTTTTGTAGAGATGGAGTTTTGCCATGTTGCCCAGGCTGTGCCCAGGCTGGTTTCAAACTCCTGGGCTTAAGCGATCTACCCACCTCGGCCTCCCACATTGCTGGGATTACAGGTGTGAGCCACCACATCTGGCTGAAACTTTTATTTTCATTTCAAATATATGTGTACTGAGTCATAATTTAAAATACATTTATGTGGGACATTGTCAAAATGTTTTTAAAACATTCATCTAGTTCTTATAAACAAGGGAACTTATTGGTTATCCATTGCTATTTAACAATTTCACTGAAACTTAGCAGCTGAAAACATTAAACATGTATTACCTCGCTGCTTCTGTAGGTCAGGAGTCTGGAGGTGGCTCCGCTGGGTGGTTCTGGCCCAGGGTCTCATGAGGTTGGAGTCAGTTGTTGGCCTGGACTGCCATCATCTGGGGCTCAGGGATCTACTTCCAAGAAAGCTCACTCAGTTCTTCAGGCGTCAGTTTCTTGCCACGTGAGCCTCTCCCTGGGCTTTCCTCACGACGTGGCATGAGTCATGAGTCACCTAGAGTGACCTGTGAGAGAGAGCGAGAGACAGAATGAGAGAGAGCACGCAAGAGCAAGCACGCCTGAGACAGGAGCCACAGAGTCTTCTATAACCTGATCTTGAACATGACACAGCATCACTTCTGTCATGTTCTGTGGGTCCTACAGACCAGCCCTGGCACAGTGTGGGAGGGGACATCCTATCATTTTGCTGCTTTATTAGAATCCTAATTACAAGAGGCTACCCCAGTTCCAGCCATGACACCATATACAACAACATCCAGCAGAAGGAGTGACCCCTGTGTCGTTTTAAGAGTTTGCAAACCTTTTCCAGAGCTCCCTGATCAGATACCTTATTTCTCGTTGGCCAGAAGTGGGTGACATGCATGCAGCTAAGCTGATGGCTAGAAAGGGGAATGGGTCATGACACTGGCTTACACTAGATGGAATTTACCTGACTCACCTGGGAGAAAAACGGACACAGGAAAAAAATCAGGGTTCTGCCCCCTGAAGGGAGGAGGAAACAGCTCTGGGATGTTGTAGCATGGTTAATGTTTCCTGAGTGTTTCTCTCACCACATACCCTCACAAGATAGGTCCAGCTGGATCTCAGTTGTTCTCTACAATAGACAGCCCTCTGAGGTTTAGGTACTGTTGTTTCTTCTTTTTTTAGACAGGGTCTCACATTGTTATCCAGACTGGACTGCAGTGGCACAATGACAGCTCACCCACAGCCTCGATTACCCAGGTCAAGCAATCTTCTCACCTCAGCTCCCTGAGCAGCTGGAACTATAGGCATGCACCATCAGGCCCAGCTAGTTTTTAAATTTTTGTAGAGATGGAGTCTCACTATATTGCCCAGGCTAGTCTTGGATGCCTGGCCTCAAGCGATCTTCCCTCCTCAGACTCCCAAAATGCTGTGATTATAGGCACGAGCCGCCACACATGTTTTTGAGACAAGGTCTTGCTCTGCTGCCTAGGCTAGAATGCAGTGGTGTGATCATGGCTCACCTCAGCCTTGACCTCCCAGGCTCAAGTGATCCTCCCACCTCAGCCTCCCAACTAGCTTTTTTATTTTTAGTAGAGATGAGGTCTTGCTCTGTTGCCCAGGCTGGTCTTGAATTCCTGAGCTCAGTCCTCCCACACTGCAAGATTACAGGTGTGACCCACTCTGCAGCCAGTTTAGGTACTCTATCCTATTTTACAGTGAAGAAACCGACACTTAGAGGGAAGGTAATTTGCCCAGGTCACATGGCTAGTAATTGATGGGACTGGCATTCAAACTCAAGTCTTTCTGTCGTGCAGGCAAATGCCATTAGCCTCTATACAGAATACAACTGTGTCTTTTGCATTTTCTGGAACAGTTAGAAAAACTGGAACCTGAGGTTCTTGCCCTTAGTCTAACCAGAGAGGTCAGGGAAGTTGAGGAAGGAGATACACACATTGAGTTGGGCAGAAGGAAGTCACAGTGACCCAGTTTTAGTGTGATGGTGAAGCATAAACGACAGTGTATATGATTTTTTAAGGCACTTGAAATAAGTATCTCTGGGTCATTTATTTGTATTAAGAAAGAAATGAGATAAAGTTGGCTGCTATCTAAAAGAGCTTAATTTTAAATTAAGCAGTTACTCATTTTTCTTCCAGTTTATTACCTGTTGTCGTTCCTGGGGCTCTCAGGTGGTTGGAGTTAACCAGCTTCTGCAAGGCGCCTTCTCCCCTTAGGTCTGATTCAAATCAGAAATGAGAGTCTTAGCATCTGTGTCTATAGTGTACTATACCTTAGATTATGACAATAAACTGAGAAATGAAAGCAAATATCCATAGCCCCACCTCCATAAGATAGCACCTGCATTTATTTTTTCTTCTTCCCTTCGCTTCTTGTCCAAAGTCAAACAAGGAGTTGGGTAGCAGGCTTCGATGTGTTGAAGACACACAGAGGTGGCAGAGAGGCCTCAACACTGAAAGGCTGAGACCTAGGCGCAAGGACTAATTTTTAGAGGAGGGATGGTGGGTGGTGGGGCTTGAGGGAGCCAAGACTGAGAGTACCATGCCGGTGGCTCTAACGGAAGGCCAGGCGTGCGTTCAGTGGGGGATTCACAAAGAACAAATGAGGTCTGAAACATCCGATGAGGGAAGGCTCCGAGAAGACCATGAAGGGCAAGTTAAAGCCTTATGGAGCCACGGGCAAAGGGCAGGTGGCTGAGATAGAGAATGATCAAGCAGCACTGGGAGACTCTGGGTACATGGTCATAGGTGGAAAGTACTCGCTTTACCTGATTTTAAACACATCCCGCCGAGAGCTATGTTGTTCATAATGACCCAGGATGTGTGTTTCTGTGTATGTCTGTGCTTAGTTTTACCATGTCCAGTGTTTTCCTTTTTTTTTCGAGACAGTCTCACGCTATTTCCCAAGCTGGGGTGTAGCAGTGTGATCACAGCTCACTGCAGCCTCTACCTTCTGGGCTCAAGCGATCCTCCCACCTCAGCCTCCCTAGTAGCTGGGACTACAGATGCGTACCACCACACCCAGCTAATTTTTATGTCCGATGTTTTCTGATATTTTCTTTTCTATTTGATCAGCCGGGCGTGTTGGCTCACACCAGTAATCCCAACACTTTGGGAGGCCGAGGCAAGGTGGGCAGATCATGTGAGCCCAGGAGTTCTGGACCAGCCTGGGCAACATGGGAAAACCCCGTCTCTACAGAAAAAAAAAAAAAATCCATTCTATTTCATCAAAACAGTGCTGACTGTGACCCATTAAGTATATTTCGTGACCCAGAGTTTGAAAGAGATTATAGGTGTAGCTTTGCTAGTTTGTAATTGATATAGAACAGTGACTATCAGGGAAGTTGAAGAACGGCGAATTGAATGTAAATCATGTCTGGATGGTGAAGATTCTAAGAATGCAACTAGGGAAAGGGCTGCAAAAAGAAGGTGGCAGACTAATGTAGAATGGTGCAACCAGATGAAGACATGGGTGGCTTTAGGAATTCCAAAGTGGCCGTGAAGGCCAGGCACGGTGGCCCACGCCTGTAATCCTAGCACTTTGGGAGGCCAAGGTGGGTGGATTGCTGAGCTCGGGAGTTCGAGACCAGCCTGACCAACCAGGTGAAACACCATCCCTACAAAACATACAAAAATTAGCCAGGTATGGTGGGGCACACTTGTAGTTCCAGCTATTTGGGGGGCTGAGGGCAGAGAATTGCTTGAGCTCAGGAGGTCAAGGCTGCAGTGAGCTGGTTCATGACAGTGCACTCCAATCTGGGTGACAGAGCAAGGCCCCATCTCTTAAAAAAAAACAAAACAAAAAAAAAGTGGCCGTGAAGATGAAAAAGGAGCCAGCCCCACCCCCACTGTTGTGACTGGTAGGTTGCAGGAGTAGACAGAAGGGAAGCTTCTGGCCAGGTGCTGTGGCTCCTGCCTGTAATTTCAGTAGTTTGGGAGGCCAAGGCGGGAGGATTGCTTGAGGCCAGGAGTTCAAGCCCAGCCTGGGCAACATAGTGAGACCTCGTTTCTACAAAAAAAAAAAAAAAAAAAATTGCCCAGGTGTGGTAGCACATACCTGTAGTCCCAGGTTCTTGAGAGGCTGAGGCAGGAGGATTGGTTGAGCCCAGGTGTTGGAGGCTGCAGTTGGCAATGGTCACAACACTGCACTCCAGTCTAGGATGTGGAGTGAGACCTTGTCTCAAAACAATTTTTTTTTTTTTTTTTTAAAGACAGAATCTTGCTCTCTGCCCAGGCTGGAGTGCAGTGGCACGACCTCTGCTCACTACAACCTCTGCCTCCTGGGTTCAAACGATTCTCCTGCCTCAGTCTCCCGAGTAGCTGGGATTACAGGCGCCTGCCACCATGCCTGGCTAATTTTTGTATTTTTAGTAGAGACGGGGTTTTGCCATGTTGGCCAGGCTGGTCTCGAACTGCTGACCTCAGGGGATCCGCCCACCTTGGCCTCCCAAATTGCTGGGATTACAGGCTTGAGCCACTACGTCCAGCCAACAATTTTTTTTTTTTTTTTTTTTTAAAGGGAGGCAGCCGGGTGCGGTGTTTCACACCGGTAATCCCAGCACTTTGGGAGGCTGAGACGGGCGGATCACCTGAGATCAGGAGTTTGAGACCATCCTGGCCAACATGGTGTAACCCTGTCTCTACTAAAAATACAAAAATGAGCCAGGCGTGGTGGCGCATGCCTGTGATCCCAGCTACTCAGGAGACTGAGGCAGGAGAATCACTTGAACTCAGGAGGCAGAGGTTGCAGTGAGTTGAGATCATGCCACTGCACTCCAGCCTGGGTGACACAGCGAGACTCCATCTCAAAAAAAAAAAAAAAAAAAAAAAAGAAGGGAGGCTTCCAGTGAGAAAGGGCAGTGTGAGGTGATATGAAAAAAGTTAAGTTTCTCTTACAGAAAGGAGTTATACATTAAGGAAAATAATTTAAATAGAAACTTTTTAGGCCAGGCATGGTGACTCACGCCCGTTATCCCAGCACTTTGGAAGGGCCGAGGCAGGTGGATCACTTGAGCCCAAGAGTTTGTGACCAGCCTGACCAACGTGCCGAAACCCCGTCTACCAAAAAATGCAAAAATTAGCAGGTGTGGTGGTGTCCCAGCTACTCAGGAGGCTGAGGTCGGAGGATCACTTGAGCCCAGGAGGTGGCGGGTGCAGTGAGCCAAGATTGTGCCACTGCACTCCAGCCTGGGCAACGCAGGAGACCCTGTCTTAAAAAAAGGAAAAAAAAAAGTTCTGCACAAGAACAGGGACTTCCATGGGACACAACAGTGAGAGAACAGAGGTGAGTCCACAGAAGCAGCGATAGGCTCCCTGAGGGGAGGGGTCGTGCCTGGACAGCTGGTAGGGATGGTTGGTTGTAGGGAAGCAGTAAATAGTATCATATTGGAGGGAGGAGAACAAGGATGAGAGCTCTTTTTTGTGGAACATGGAGCTGAAGAAGGGAGCACCAAATACACTGAGAGGAGGAAAGAAGGGCAAGAGGAAGAGTCATCATAGTAAGCCAGGGACCCGCACGTTCAGGCCACAGCTCTGAAGGCAATTGTTCTGTAGAAGTTTGCTTAGGAACTGTTCCTATGCCTAACTGACTTTAGATGAGGGGTCTGGGGATAGGGAAAAAAATGACCTCTTTATTTTTTTTACTAGTTTTTAACTGAAATATAGCATTTATTTAAAGTATGAATGTAGGGAATAAGTCACATAGTAGTAGCTGTGACTTTGTCACCAACAGAAGTCACATGTTTCTGTCAGATTAGGTCGTTGCAAATGTCTTGAAATTTCAGTAACCCTCAACCAGAGGCAGCCAATGTTACCAGTGTGTGTCACTCCTCAAGCTGTGACAGTATGGGGATTGTTAGACTCAGTGCTACATTTGGTTATTTAATACCTTATAAAGAAGTACATATGGCTGGGGCTCACACCTGTAATCCCAGCACTTTGGGAGGCCCAGGCAGGTGGATTGCTTGAGCCCAGGAGTTTGAGACCAGCCTGGCCAACATGGCAAAACCCTGTCTCTACTAAAATTACAAAAATTAACCAGGTGTGGCAGCGCACATCTGTAGTCCCAGCTGCTCAGGAGGCAGAGGTGGGAGGATCACTTGAGCCTGGGAGGTGGAGGTTGCAGTGAGCCAAGATCGTACCACTGCAGTGGAGCCTGGGCAACAGTGAGACCCTGCCTCAAAAAAACTAAAGTAGTATATAGGTTACTATATCATAAGTTGGGGATTTATCATTATAGGTATTTTAATGTAATATACTTTATCCAGTCTTATTTATGCACAAAAATGTTAGAAACTGCTGCTGTAGAAGAACTCCGTCTCTACTAAAAATACAAAAATTAGCTGGGTATGGTGGTGTGTACCTGTAATCCCAGCTACTTGGGAGGTTGAGGCAGAGGACTCACTTGAACCAGGGAGGCGGATGTTGCAGTGAGCCGAGATGTGCCACTGCACTCCAGCCTGGGCGACAAGAGACTCCGTCTCAGGAAAAAAAAATAAGAAACTGAGGGGGTCCTCCTTATGGGGTTCTCATTACATCCCTACATGGAGAACGCTCTCAGATGTCTGACTTGGCTCGACTGCAAAGGGACTGGAGGCTCTGTTTCAGAGGCCAGTCACATTGTGTGTGTGTGTGTTTGTTCTAAAACAAATACATGAGCCTGGGCAACATGGCGAAACCCCCTCTCTACCAAAAATACAAAAAATTAGCTGGGCATGGTGGCATGCACACGTGGTCCCAGCTACTAGGGACCGACCTGAGTCTGGGAGGTCGAGTCTGCAGTGGGCTGAGATTGTGCCACTGCACTCCAGCCTGGGTGACAGAGACCCTGTCTCAAAAAAAAATGAATACATACATATACGGATGACATGGCTTTCTAAATTTTCCTTTAAATGATTACAACTTTAAGCTGTTAGATGGAAGTTTCTTACTATTTGATGGATAGTCTTAGTATCATTTCTTGTAATAGGTAGGATTTAGCTGGTACTAAAGTTTGGCTGTGTACCTTACATTTAGTATACTGAGAAGAAAGTTTACTAAAAACACTGTATGTTTGTGTGTATTCCAAAGGACCTGTGTTTCTTGGTCACCGGGATGAGCTTGAGGGAACATACAAGATTTACTGCCAGAATCATGATGAGGCCATTGCGCTGCTTGAAATCTACGAGAAGGATGAGAAGATCCAGAAGCATCTTCAGGACTCCTTGGCAGATCTGAAGTAGGAGTTTTGACCACTTAACTTCCATTACAGCTCTTTAGTTCTCTAAGTTATACCTGTGTATATGCCTGGACTTGATGATGACATCTTATTTTAAACATAAGATATCCATGATATATATCATTTAAGTGGTTTCCTGATTGTATTTTTGTCCATGTGAATAAGTTTTATCTGTATAGAGTATTAGGTTAGCGTTATCAGGTTAAAAAGCAGCCAGGAGAGGATGGTTTGGTCCAAATAAGAGCATAGGTGAGAAGACTAAATACAGGGTTTTTTTTTTTGAGACGGAGTCTCACTCTCACCCAGGCCAGAGTGCAGTGGTGTAATCTCAGCTTATTGCCCAGGTCAGCATGCAGTGGCACAATCTTAGCTCACTGCAACCTCTGCCTCCCGGGTTCAAGCGATTCTCCCGCCTTAGGCTCCCAAGTAGCTGGAATTACAGGCACACACCACCATACCTGGCTAATTTTTGTATTTTTAGTGGAGATGGGGTTTCACCGTGTTGGCCACCTTGGTCTCAAACTCCTGACCTCAAGTGATCCGCCTGCCTCGGCCTCCCAAAGTGCTGGGATTATAGGTGTGAGCCACCATGCCCAGCTAAGGTATTCTAGACATCAGGTGAGATTGTCCTGGTCTTAGGGAAGCAAGGTATAAAGATATATGGATAAGTAGATCAAAGAGAAGTTAGGGGCTAACTTTTTTATTTTTTATTATTTTTTTATTTTTTGGAGAGACAGAGTCTCACTCTGTCGTCCAGGCTGGAATGCAGTGGTGCTCTCAGCTCACTGCAACCTCCACCTCCCGGGTTCAAGCGATCCCCTGCCTCAGCCCCCCAGTAGCTGGGATTACAGGCACGTGCCACCATGCCTAGCTAATTTTTATGTTTTTAGTATAGACGGGGTTTCACCAGGTTGGCCAGGCAGGTCTTGAACTCCTGACCTCAGGTGATCCACCCGCCTCGGCCTCCCAAAGTGCTGGGATTACAGGCGTGAGCCACCATGCCTGGCCGGGGCTAACATTTTTTAGTAGACTAAATATGTTACCATAAACATTCATAATTTTTTGTCCCACATGATTTATGTTCTGAGAAAAATGTGAAACTCAAGATTCTCTCTCTAATAAACTGTCTCTTTTCTTTTCATGCCCACTGCCTTGCAGGAGCCTATACAACGAATGGTAAGTTCCATTGCTGCTTGATGTATGCGCTCATTTCTTCTGTGGATTTTTCCTAACTAACTCTTAAGCAACTGTATTTTCTTCCTTTATAGACAAACCTAGAAGTAGACTCACCTTGCTGGGTTTTCTTTCGTAGCACTTATCCCCAAGGGAACACTTTACTTATCTGTTTATTGCCTATCTTCTCCTACCAGGACAGGGACTTTTGGGGTTACTATTAAATCCCCAGCACCTAGAACAGTACCTGGTGTTTATTAGATGAATACATGTTGAATGACTGAAATTGGAAAGTAGGGTAAAAGAATAGAGAGCAATATTTAGGAACAAATCCTGCCCATAGGTGTACATTATTATTATGTTAAAAAAAAGTTTTTTTTAAGGTGGGGTCTCACGATGTTCCCAGGCTGGGCGCTATATTATTGATAGCTTACTAAAGTCTTTTTTCCTTCTCTTACAGGGGATGCACAAATTATATTAACCTGGGCTCCTTCCTCATCAAACCAGTACAGAGAGTAATGCGTTACCCGCTGTTGCTAATGGAGTTGCTGAATTCCACCCCAGAATCCCACCCAGATAAAGTGCCTTTAACCAATGCAGTCCTTGCGGTCAAGGAAATCAACGTTAACATTAATGAATATAAACGGCGAAAGGACCTGGGTAAGAACAGCATAATTGCTGAAAAGGAGGTATGCCCTTTGAGAATGCTTTTCTTCTCAAAACAATTCATTACTTCGCTAGAGTTGGACAAGGCAGGTGGTAGGTATAATAGGGCTGTGATGAAGAAATGGTAGAATTTGGGGGAAATATGATATTTTATTATTATTTTTTTTGAGACAGAGTCTTGCTCTGTCCCCCAGGCTGGAGTGCAGTGGTGCTATCTCAGCTCACTGCAACCTCCACCTCCCATGTTCAAGCAATTCTCCCACTTCAGCCTCCCAAGTAGTTGGAATTACAGGCATGTGGCACCATGCCCAGCTAATTTTTGTATTTTTAGTAGAGACAGGGTTTCACCATGTTGGCCAAGCTGGTCTGGAACTCTCAGCCTCCCAAAGTGCTGTGATTATAGGCGTGAGCCACTGCACCCGGCCCAAAATGTGGTATTTATTAAAGGCAGAAGTAACGATAAAAAGCGGAAGTATGGTATATTGGAAATAAGGCATCTGTAATAAAATATATAGCAATAAGAGCCTTTCTCAAGAGATATGAAGACAGTGGAGACTAGGTGATGGGAAGTTTTATTCGAGCACGGGCAGTTTCCTCCTCACCTCATTTATGGAGCTCCTCTGGAGTCCATGCATAGACTTTTTTCTAAGTGTCTAATTGGATGTCTTACTACCTCTACTAAAGCTAGGACTTCTTGTCTTTTAGAAAACCCCAATCTGCTCACCTTTCTTGTCCTGTCTTCACTGCCCATGCCCAGTGACCTCTCTGGGTTGAGTCCCTCACCTCCCCTCCTAAAACAGTCAGTTGCCCACCCACCCACTCCTTCTTCATAACACTGAATGCACTCATCAGGTCTCTTGAGGCCCTAACTTGAGCATTCAGTGAGTATATATAGCACAGTGACTGTGCTGAGCTCATTTATTATTCATATCAAGATATAATACAGTGTAACCTTTTTGTCTTTCCATTCTTCTCCACACTTTAAAGTTATCTAAAATCATTTCTCTGCCTTCTACTTCAACTGTGTCACCCGCATTAGGATGGGATGTTGACTGTGGCTTCTAAAGCTCTCTGGTCATCCAGCCCTTTCCCTTGGTTCAAATCTCCTAATGCGATGTAGTCTCCAACTTCTACAACCAGGTATACCTTTTTGCTGCCTCCCAGTCTTCCCCTTGCCACCCTTCTACTTTTATCTCTACACTTTTCTGTAGGTTGTGCCTAATGTTTAACATGGTAATTAAATTACTGCTGTATAGCATTTTACTATGGGAGACGATTGGATATCAATATCTCATTTGTGTATGGCACCATTTAAGATGGCCTTACAAGTATTGCTTTCTGCATTTTATTGAAGAGGAAAATGAGACTCAAGGTAAAATGACTGATTTAATGCCATACCTTAAGTGGCAGACCCAGGCATTGACTTCAGATTTCCTTAAGTTCTTTCCCTTAACACCCTCTGCTGTTTTCCTCCTTGTCTCTGGCCCCTCTCCTGGCTGCCCATTGTCTCTCTGCTGTGCTTCAGATATCATGTCTGTCCATAAATCATTATTTGGATTAATATTTTGTTATAAGCTCATTGAAGACAAGGACTAGCTCCCGTTTGGGTGTTCATCTCATTTTATGGCTCATTTTGTAGTATGCCCATGCTGAGGAAAGTGCTTTTCTGACTTACTCCCTAGTCCTCAAGTACCGTAAGGGTGATGAAGATAGCCTTATGGAGAAAATTTCCAAACTGAACATCCACTCCATCATCAAGAAATCCAACCGAGTTAGCAGTCACCTGAAGCATCTCACTGGCTTTGCTCCTCAGGTGAGATCCCCATCCTGGAAGGCTTAGCGCATCTTTGACAGCTTTTCAGGGCTCCATGAGACAGCCTGCCTGGCGTCAATTGGCGTGGTTCCCTTCCTCAGACGTCCTCCGGTTTTACGAGCTGGTGGAGACAGGGCCCTCCAGCTGCTGGTTACAAAGGCAAATTAGAGGGTCAGATCAGTTGACATGTAATAATTATGGTAGTTTTCACCACCTCTAAGGAGCTTATAATTGATTTGGTGGGACAAAACTATAGTTGTAGACTTACTAAGCTAGCAGGAATTTAAGAGATCACCTAGTTGGATACATGATGTTACAAAGAAGGAAACGTTAAGTGTAAGAGATTGAATGGATTGAAAAACAGTTTATCGGCGATGCTGAAAGTTGACCTGAAGTCTGCAGACATCATTCTGCTATACTATATATATTAAGGTACAATTCATGGAAAATATAAGCCAGAAAATAGTCCATTGTTAGGTTTTGTATTTTGTTCTCCAAATGCTGTAGTATTTTAGAAAAACAGTTCAGTGAGAGCAAGAGTCATGTTGACCTGAGCCTTATAGGAAGGGGGCAGGCATGCCACAGGGAGGGAGAAGACCTGCCAGGCAGGGGAACCTCATGAGGAACAGTCCTAGGTTCAGCAGACATGGCAGTGCTGGGGTGAAGAGGGCAGCCTGGCCAGAGCAGAGGGCTTGCAAAGAAGGTTTAAAGGAGGGCCTGTGTGTATTTTGGAGGTCTTTTGAAACCACATGCAGGTGTTTAAATCAATTCACTATGATTCAGGAAAACATTAAAGGTTTAAAATTTGAACAAAAGATGTTTTTAAGGAAGCTACTTTTGGCTGGGCGTGGTGGCTCATGCCTATAATCCCAGCACTCTGGGAGGCCAAGGCGGGGTGGATCACCTGAGATCAGGAGTTCGAGACTAGTCTGGCCAACATGGTGAAACCCCATCTCTACTAGTAATACAAAAATGAGCTGGGCGTGGTGATGCAAGCCTGTAATCTCAGCTATGCGAGAGGCTGACGCAGGAGAATTGCTTGAATCCAGGAGGCGGAGGTTGCAGTGAGCCAAGATCATGCCATTGCACTCCAACCTGGACGACAAGAGCAAAACTCCGTCTCCACAAAAAAAAAAAAAAAAAAGCAAGCTACTTTTGCCAGTAAGATTAAAGGAGTGTCCAGATTTGCTAACAGCACTTGTTTATTTTTGAACAGATAAAAGATGAAGTATTTGAAGAAACAGAAAAAAACTTCCGAATGCAAGAAAGATTGATTAAGTCTTTTATCCGAGACCTGTCTCTCTACCTCCAGCACATCCGGGTGAGCATCAACATCACTGTAGTTAGATTAACATACGATGTAATTCTGTCCCCTTTCCTGTTCATCAGTCATATTGTTTAATGAATGCTGAGTAATCTGGACTCAAATTACTATTATGCCCCATCATACTTTTTGTTGAGATGCCAGTAGGTTATTTAACAGTAATAGCATTTAGATCAATGTTGTCACATTCATTTCAAAGCAGCCCAACTTTTTCCACCCTCTTTTTGGTCTTCATCACCCTTCATCCCACACACACCTTATTTTTCTTTTACTTATTACAGTTCATTTTATCAAAACCAGTTTGAAAATCAAATATTGAATGCAAAAGCTAGGAAGCTGTAAACAGGAAACGTAAACGAGAAAGAACAAGCAGTGAATACGAGTAAGAGAATGTTCCTATGTGGTATGCTTTCTGATCACTTCAGCTCCCAATTTATTAATATTCAGTTGCTATAATAAGGCCTCTAAAGGTATTAGAGCCATAAACAGCTTTGAGATCTAGAGAAGCCAAGGAGATCAGGTGAGCCTAGGTCTTTCCTTGCCTCAAGCAATGCTTCCTCCCTGAGGTCAGAACCAGCACCACCATCCTTTCTATTCTTGTCTCTAATTTCTCTATTGATTTAATATAGGATGCTGTGAGTGTACTGGATACTCCTGTCCCTCTGATCTTTTAGAGACAGAGTCTCTTTCTCTCACCCAGACTGGAGTGCAATAGTGCCATCATAGCTCAGTGCAGTCTCCAAGTCCTGGGCTCAAGCAATCCTCCCACCTCAGTGGCTGGGACCACAGGTGCACACCACCACACCTGGCTAATTTTTTTAAGCAGAGATGAGGTCTTACTATGTTGCCCAGGCTGGTCTTAAACTGGCCTCCCGAAGTGCTGGGATTACAGGCATGAGCCACCATGTCCAGCCTGAATATCTGATCTTATAAAAGAATTTCCTTAAAAGGGATCCTTAACTTTTTTAAAAAAAAAGTTTTTAAACTGAATAAAATGGTATAAAATTTAAAGGTACCAAAGGGCTAAGTAAAAATAATTATTCCTCCTACCTTGTCACCTTCTGTAGAGACAGTCACCATCCATTAAGTTCTTCCCTCCTATCAGAGATTTCATGTGTGTGTAGGTGGGAGATACACTAGCATCTTGGGTTTCACACTTAATCAAATTTCAGAAGTGATGTAGCCATACACACAGAGGCCCATTGTTCTTTTTTCCTTTGAGACAGAGTCTCACTCTCGCCAGGCTAGAGTGCAGTGGCAGAATCTCAGCTCACTGCAACCTCCGCCTCCTGGGTTCAAGTGGTTCTCCTGCCTCAGCCTCCCAAGTAGCTGAGGCGTACACCACCACGCCCAGCTAATTTTTGTATTTTTAATAGAGACGGGGTGTCATCATGTTGGCCAGGATGGTGTCGATCTCTTGACTTCATGATCCACCCACCTTGGTCTTCCAAAGTGTTGGAATTACAGGCGTGAGCCACCGCGCCTGGCCTTGGTCCATTGTTCTTTACAATTGCGTAGTATATCACTGTGGACAAGTCATAATATATTTAACTAGTCCCCTGTTGGCAGATATTTAAATCGCTTGTAGTTGGAAAAGATTAGAACTAGTCATACAAGGAATATCCTTGTGGATACATCATTTTCTGATCTATGTGAGTCTGTCTGAAGGCCAGTGTACTTCTGAGCCAAATCTTGTGGCAGTATAAATTTTGACAACTACCGTTAAATGTCAGAGATGTTGTAAAGGTGAAAAGTTCCACAAGCAATATCCCTTGCTAACTCAGTGTTATCAAAACCAGTGGGTTTTATCTTTGCCTGCAAGAGAGGTAAAAAATATTTCAATATAGTTTAAATTGTCATTTCTTATATTAGGAATGGAGTTGAGAATATTCTTATATGTCTATATCATTATATTTTTCTGTGACTTACCTATATTCTGGCATCTTTATCAGTTTGTTGATCTCTGTATCTATTGGAGGATATAGTCCTTTGTCTGAGATGGTTTGCAGATGTCCTCCCCCTACCTCAGTTTATTGACTTCTGAGTTTGCTTAAAGTGTTTTCTCCGCTTAAGAGTTTAAACTTGCATTTTATGGCTTCTTAGTTTTGTGTCATATGTAGAAAGGACTTTGCTGTTCCAACATTTAAAAATTCTCGTGTTTTAGTATTTTTTTTTAATTTATTTTTTTATTGATAATTCTTGGGTGTTTCTCACAGAGGGGGATTTGGCAGGGTCATGGGACAATAGTGGAGGGAAGGTCAGCAGATAAACAAGTGAACAAAGGTCTCTGGTTTTCCTAGGCAGAGGACCCTGCGGCCTTCCGCAGTGTTTGTGTCCCTGATTACTTGAGATTAGGGATTGGTGATGACTCTTAACGAGCATGCTGCCTTCAAGCATCTGTTTAACAAAGCACATCTTGCACCGCCCTTAATCCATTTAACCCTGAGTGGACACAGCACATGTTTCAGAGAGCGCAGGGTTGGGGGTAAGGTCACAGATCAACAGGATCCCAAGGCAGAGGAATTTTTCTTAGTGCAGAACAAAATGAAAAGTCTCCCATGTCTACTTCTTTCTACACAGACACGGCAACCATCCGATTTCTCAATCTTTTCCCCACCTTTCCCGCCTTTCTATTCCACAAAGCCGCCATTGTCATCCTGGCCCGTTCTCAATGAGCTGTTGGGCACACCTCCCAGACGGGGTGGTGGCCGGGCAGAGGCGCCCCTCACCTCCCGGACGGGGCGGCTGGCCGGGCAGGGGGCTGACCCCCCCACCTCCCTCCTGGACGGGGCGGCTGGCCGGGCAGAGGGGCTCTTCACGTCCCAGTAGGGGCGGCCGGGCAGAGGCGCCCCTCACCTCCCAGATGGGGTGGCTGGCCGGGCGGGGAGCTGACCCCCCCACCTCCCTCCCGGACGGGGCGGCTGGCCGGGCAGAGGGGCTCCTCACTTCCCAGTAGGGGCGGCCGGGCAGAGGCGCCCCTCACCTCCCGGACGGGGCGGCTGGCCGGGCAGGGGGCTGACCCCCCCACCTCCCTCCCGGACGGGGCGGCAGAGACGCTCCTCACCTCCCAGACGGGGTCGTGGCCGGGCAGAGGCGCTCCTCACATCCCAGATGGGGCGGCGGGGCAGAGGCGCTCCCCACGTCTCAGACGATGGGCGGCCGGGCAGAGACGCTCCTCACTTCCTAGATGTGATGGCGGCCGGGAAGAGGTGCTCCTCACTTCCCAGGTGGGATGGCGGCCGGGCAGAGACGCTCCTCACTTTCCAGACTGGGCAGCCAGGCAGAGGGGCTCCTCACATCCCAGACGATGGGCGGCCAGGCAGAGACACTCCTCACTTCCCAGACGGGGTGGCGGCCGGGCAGAGGCTGCAATCTCGGCACTTTGGGAGTCCAAGGCAGGCGGCTGGGAGGTGTAGGTTGTAGCGAGCCGAGATCACGCCACTGCACTCCAGCCTGGGCACCATTGAGCACTGAGTGAACGAGACTCCGTCTGCAATCCCGGCACCTCGGGAGGCCGAGGCTGGCGGATCACTCGCGGTTAGGGGCTGGAGACCGGCCTGGCCAACACAGCGAAACCCCGTCTCCACCAAAACCAGTCAGGCGTGGTGGCGCGTGCCTGCAATCGCAGGCACTGGGCAGGCTGAGGCAGGAGAATCAGGCAGGGAGGTTGCAGTGAGCCGAGATGGCAGCAGTACAGTCCAGCTTTGGCTCCGCATGAGAGGGAGACCGTGGAAAGAGAGGGAGACGGTGGGGAGAGGGAGAGGGGGAGGGAGAGGGGGAGAGGGAGAGGGAGTTCTAGTACTTTTATCATTCCATTTTTTAAGATTTTAAAATCTTTTTTTAAGTTTTAAGATTAAATCATTGCTCTGTCTGGACTTTAGTAAATCAGGTTTGAAGCAGGGATTCAACTTTATTTTTCCAGCTGGTTACCCAGTGGCCTATCATTTATTGAGTAAATAGCCAACTTCCACCCTTGTGTTTTAAAAATGTAACTAGGGCCGGGCACAGTTGCTCATGCCTGTAATCCCAACACTTTGGGAGGCCGAGGTGGGCAGATCAGCTGACGTCAGGAGTTTGAGACCAACCTGGCCAACGTGGTGAAACCCTGTCTCTACTAAAACTACAAAAATTAGCTGGGCATGATGGCAGGCACCTGTAATCCCAGCTACTCAGGAGGCTGAGGCAGGAGAATTGCTTGACGCCGGGAGGTGGAGGTTGCAGTGAGCTGAGATCATGCCATTGCACTCCAACCTGGGTGAGAGTGAGACTCCATCTCAAGAAAAATAAAACACACAATTGGGGCAGCTACTGAGTATGTTTCTTTGTCTTGCTGCTTCATAGGACTTTCCCCTAATATCCCTCTCATGCTGATATCCCTCTGTTGGCCATTTTCTCCCCAGGTTTTCTAAAGTGTGACACTATATACCTGAGCCCTCAGCCCTTAAAAGGCTCACCTCCATAGCAGTGACTGATACATTTTGGGTTGGGATATATGTAATGTTGAAAACCATCTGATGGAAGTATCAATTTAGTTCTGACTGCTGACAGAAATTGAGAGAAAATGTTGAATAGTTTTGTCATGCCACAAAATGAAAAGCCTGCCCAATAATAAAATTAGATTGACTAACAGCGAGAAAACCAGCAAGAACATAAGCTGAGGGCCATTGGCTGGATAATTTGGTATCTACATTGGCATATGGGCTGATATTTGGGGACTTTATAACATTCCTTTAAAAGAAAACAAGAGGACATCACTTTTCACATTAGATCTCCCACTCAAGAGGAATTAGCAACATTCCCTGGGTTATCTTACTGACGAAGCCCTGGCTTTATATATACAGATATAAATATTAAAGACAAAAGGTCTAAAAATGATATAAAAATAAAGCATCAAACCAATGTATGAGGCACTGATGGTTTTGCTTAGGGACTTTGCTTAGGAATGGGAAACCAGGTTGTGATGATCAGTAGCATGGCAGGGCAGTTGTCTTTGAGACGGTGACAGCATGAACCAAGACTTGAGGAAGGAGAGGTAACTGGTCATTATCCTAATCCTATAGGAATCATCTTGGTTCTAATTTGATAATTTACTTTTTGTTAAATTAAGAATCCCTATTAGGGACATAGGGGAATGCCAAAGAGATGATAAAAGCCCTCAACAGTTTTTTAAGAATTAAAAGTCTTAGACTTTTCTCTTTTTGCCCTTGAAATAGACTAATGGAGTATTTAGTTTGTTTGGGTTACAGCCCAGCATTGTAGAGATGGGGTCTCACCATGCTGGCCAGGCTGGTCTCGAAAGAAAGCCTGGAAAACCAACCTGGAGTTCAAACTCAGTCACTGTCAGGAGGAGTTGACTATGTGATAGTGGAGTCAGCAAACAAAACAGACAAAAGTCTCTACCTTTGTGGAGCTCGCATTTTTACTAGGAGGGTGGGTGAGGGAGATCATGACAATAAGCAAGCATTAGTCAATTCTAATCATGTGAGAGAGTATTTTTTTGCAAAGACAAAAAAAGGAAGCAGCACAGCAGGAGCTATTGGGAGTGCCAGGGTCGGATGGGAAACCAGGTTTTGAGGATCAGTAACATGGCAGGACAGTTGTCTTTGAGATGGCGACAGCATGAACCAAGACTTGAGGAAGGAGAGGTGACTGGTCATTATCGTAATCCTATAGGAATCATCTTGGTTCTAATTTGATAATTTGCTTTTTGGTAAATTAAGAAACCCTATTAGGGACATAGGGGAATGCTAAAGAGATGATAAAAGCCCTCAACAGTTTTGTTAAGAATTAAAAGTCTTAGCCTTTCTCTGTGCCCCGTAAGTCATAGTTTATGAAAATATGCTTATTTCAAAGCTAAAATACCAGACTAGTTAGAAAATTTCAAATTATGGAACTCATTTTTCCAAGACTGCTATTCAGTCTTGGAATGTATGACAAAAGCTGGAAAGTTCTGTCTGTTCTGACTTGTGTCTGTCCTAACTGGCTCCAGGAGTCCGCATGTGTGAAAGTGGTGGCTGCTGTGAGCATGTGGGATGTGTGCATGGAGAGAGGACACCGGGACCTGGAGCAGTTTGAGAGGGTGCATCGCTACATCAGTGACCAGCTCTTCACAAACTTTGTAAGTAACTTTTTCTTCAAAAGTTGGCCCCCTTCCCAGGGTCATCTCAAATACATCAGCTCATGCAAGTCAGTTCCACGGACACAGGCCCTGGGCACCAGGCATATTAGTCATCCTTTAGCTATATTCATATTGGGGTTTGATATTCACAACATGACTTTCAGTTAGTTAAAGGGAGATGTAGGACCTGTGTCTGTACAAACAGGTTTTTTAAAAAATAGCTTGTGATTAATTTAGTTTCAGAGGACAAAGGAAAACTAGGCAATGAACTCTGATCAAATAAAAGCAACTATAGGAATAATAACTTGAAGAGGGTCCAGGCACAGTGGCTCATGCCTGTAATCCTAGCACTTTGAGAGGCAGAGGCAGGCAGATCCCTTGAGGTCAGGAGTTCAAGACCAGCCTGGCCAAGGTGGTGAAACCCTGCCACTACTAAAAATACAAAAATTAGCAGGGCATGGTGGTGGGCACCTGTAATCCCAGGTACTCAGGAGGCCGAGGCTGGAGAATAGCTTGAACCCAGGAGGAGGAGGTTGCAATGAACCAAGATAGCACCACTGTACTCCAGCCTGGGCAACAGAGCAAGACTCTGCCTCAAAACAAAAACAAACAAACAAACAAAAAAAAAACCTTGAAGACAAATATTTAGGAATATAGTTAATATGTTACCAAAGAGATTTGAGATGGTAAAAACTACTTTAAGTCCGGGCATGGTGGCTCACGCCTCTAATCCCAGCATTTTGGGAGGCCGAGGTGGGCGGATCACCTGAGGTTGGGAGTTGAGACCAGCCTGACCAACATGGAGAAACCCTGTCTCTACTAAAAATACAAAATTAGCCAGGTGTGGTGGCGCACACCTGTAATCCCAGCTACTCGGGAGGCTGAGGCAGGAGAATTGCTTGAACCTGGAAGGTGGAGGTCATGGTGAGCCGAGATCATGCCATTGTACTCCAGCCTGGGCAACAAGAGCGAAACTCTGTCTCAAAAAAAAATTGCTTGAAGTACTGAAGACCAAATTTCTTGAGAAATTCTAAATCCATATATATGGGATTGTTTAATCCCTTGTAGAAAAAACTGGATGGGGTTTGATAGTTTTGTAGGGATCTATAAGTGGCCTGAGGGTGAAAAAGACATGCCCACCTGGGGAGCTGACAGGTGTTCTAATTGTACATTATTTTTAATAAGATGCTACTAAGTACTACTAAGTACCTGTTTATGTTCTTTATGTATTCATTGCCTTACCCTTAATGTCTGTGTGTTAGAAAGAATTAAAGAGAAAAATTTATAATTTTTGTTTTGAGATGGAGTCTCACTCTGTCACCCAGGCTGGAGTGCAGTGGCACAATCTCTGCTCACTGCAACCTCTGCCTCCCAGGTTCAAGCGATTCTCCTGCCTCAGCCTCCCAAGGAGCTGGGACTACAGGCATGCACCACCATACCTGCCTAATTTTTGTATTTTTAGTAGAGACGGGGTTTTGCCAGGCTGGTCTCAAACTTCTGACCTCAAGTGGTCTGCCCACCTTGGCCTCCCAAAGTGCTGGGATTATGGGCATGAGCCACCGTTCCCAACCAAGAGAAAAATTCTTTGGAAGATAAAAATGGGGGCTGTGTGCGGTGGCTGACTCCTGTAATCCCAACTTCTTGGGAGGCTGAGGCTGCAGTGAGCTGAGATTGCGCCACTGCACTCCAGCCTGGGTGACAGAGCAAGACTCCGTCTCAAAAAAAAAAAAATGGGTATTACCTAGTTATGATTAAAGGTTTATGAGTGTATGAAAGTTATTCCACCTCAGATTTATGTAACAACTAACTCTGGAGTTAAATTCAAGCTATGTAGACATGTACACATAATAAATGTTACCAGGTAAACTTCACGGCTGGTTTCTAATGCACACATCATATCAGTGTGCAGCTTAGCATTTATCACCTCAAGGAGGTCAAGTGAGATTAGTGTATTTTACATACTCCTTGATGTGGGAATTGAAGGTATCTAGTGAGAAGTCTTGTGGAGTATTTAAGTAGAGGCTAGTGATGGGTTAGTAGAATACTGTTGTAGATCTGTATGGGTTTAGCTTGTGTACTAGAAACGAAGTAGGTGGTTCAGGACACAACAAAGTCAGCCTTAAGAGTGACTTGGATAATCACAAATGTGGGATGCTGTCCAGCTGAGCAATGTGCCTTTCTCGTCCCTACAGAAGGAGAGGACAGAGCGGCTTGTCATCTCCCCCTTAAATCAGTTACTGAGCATGTTTACAGGGCCCCATAAGCTGGTACAGAAACGCTTTGACAAGCTCCTGGACTTCTATAACTGTACAGAACGGGCAGAAAAGCTAAAGGACAAGAAGACCCTGGAGGAGCTGCAGTCGGCCCGGAACAACTATGAGGCCCTGAATGCACAGCTGCTGGATGAGCTGCCCAAGTTCCACCAGTACGCCCAGGGCCTCTTCACCAACTGTGTCCACGGCTATGCTGAAGCCCACTGTGACTTTGTGCACCAGGCTCTGGAGCAATTAAAGCCACTGCTTTCGGTGAGTTTCTTACCTGTTCAGTGGGATGGTCATCTATAGCCTTTGCCTGGTATTTTTCTGGGAAAAATGGTAGCATGGTTTGAAAAATTATCTGAATTAGATAAACTGAATGTGTCGCTAGTTCATCCCTCAGGAAATCTTAATCCCTTGATGGTGTCATGAAGCCTGTGGCTTCTGAAACATCTTTTCCCTCTTGAGCAGTTCCCAGAAGAGCCAGCCAACCTGGCCCGCAGGCAGTGCCCTGGAGAACTTGTGTCTTGCATCAGGCTGCTGTGTCGGTAGCTCAGAGAATGAGCTGCAGCTGAACTTTAGCTTCCAGTGGTTCTAAGGAGACTGTCAATCCGGGATCTTTCATCATGTTTTCTTCTTTTCTCTGGGATCTTTTATCGTGTTTTCTTCTTTTCTCTATCTCTGCTCTTCCCATGGACCCCAGTTACTCAAAGTGGCTGGCAGAGAGGGAAACCTTATTGCCATCTTCCACGAAGAGCACAGCAGAGTTCTGCAGCAACTCCAGGTTTTTACCTTCTTCCCGGAGTCTCTTCCAGCTACCAAGAAGCCATTTGAGAGGAAAACCATTGACCGCCAGTCTGCTCGAAAGCCACTCCTGGGCCTGGTGAGTAGGGAACTGAGAGCAGCAGCCCCGCCTCGGGGTAAAGAGGGGGAACCCTGCAGCCAGGCCCCCAGGCCCAGATCCCACTATTGGAGTTTCTGTATTTCATAATAAATGGAGAATAGTGTTGCATTCTCACCCATCATGGGCTCATGCATTCGCCATTTTTTTTTTTGAGACAGAGTCTCATCTCATTCTGTTGCCAGGCTGGAGTGCAGTGGTGTGATCTTGGCTCACTACAACCTGCGCCTTCTGGGTTCAAGTGAATTCTCCTGCTTCAGCCTCCCAAGTAGCTGGGACTACAGGCACACGCCACTACGCCCAGCTAATTTTTCTATTTTTTAGTAGAGATGGGGTTTTACCATGTTGGCCAGGGTGGTCTCGATCTCTTGACCTTGTGATCTGTCCGCCTCAGCCTCCCAAAGTGCTGGGATTACAGGCATGAGCCACCATCCCCAGGCTTTTTTTGTGGGGGGGAGGGGATTAACCCAGTATTAATTCATTGGTTCATTAATTCAGGAAACTGATTTAAGGGTATATTAATTCTGCCAGGCCTATTTTTTATGATGTATTCATAAAAGTAATACAGCTAAACAGTTAATGGTTGGCTGCCTTTTTTACCTGGAGTTAGTCTTTTTTAACCTCAGTTCTTCCATATTTTAAAAATTAGCATAAGGCACACCAGCTAGAGGACTGCTGATACATCTTTGCTTACAATATTTTTGCCCCATATGATCCCATAGACATTAATTTATATTACCTTAAAAGGGAGAATTATGATTTTTTGAGACAGAGCCTTGCTCTGTCACCCAGGCTGGAATGCAGTGGTCTGATCTTGGCTCACTGCATCCTCCACCCTCCCAGGTTCAAGTGATTCTCCTGCCTCAGCCTCTTGAGTAGCTGGGATTACAGGCATGCGTTACCATGCCTGTATTGTATTTTTAGTAGAGACAGGGTTTCGCTATGTTGACCAGACTGGTCTCCAAGTCCTGGCCTCAAGTGATCTGCCCACCTTGGCCTCCCAAAGTGCTGGGATTACAGGTGTGAGCAACCATGCCCAGCCTGAATTTATTATTACCTTTTTTCTTATGACTTCCTTGCTTTCACAGGTGGGGAAGTCAAGATAGATGAACCTAACCGAGAATGTCCCTAACAAAATACAAGAAGACCTACTAATATCACTTAGATATTTTGATTTTTTTTAAGTGGCATTTTAATCACGTTTGTCACAAGAAAACAAATGTAAGAATAGGTGTGTGTTAAATTTTCTTAACTATAAAGGCATCAAACATTGCCTAAGGGCTCTTGATTTTTACCTAGCCACATGGGCTGGCTTCATCACAAAAACATCTGATGGGAGTGAGATGGGCAGTGACTGACTGTCCCTGCCTCATTTCTGAGACTGGCCACATGTTGGGATGAAATATGGCTGCTGGGGTAGTGGCCACTGAGAGATTTTTGTTAACGTCTTACCTTTCAGCCAAGTTACATGCTACAGTCAGAAGAACTCCGGGCCTCCCTCCTGGCCAGGTATCCCCCTGAAAAACTCTTCCAGGCAGAACGGAACTTCAATGCTGCTCAAGACTTGGATGTCTCACTTTTGGAAGGTGACCTGGTGGGTGTGATTAAGAAAAAAGACCCCATGGGCAGCCAGAACCGCTGGCTGATTGACAATGGAGGTAAGAATTTTAAGCAGCAGAGGACTGTAACTGGAAAAAAAAAATAGTAGTTTTGGCTGCACCCGAATCTGGACTAGGCCAGGAAAAAAAAGCAAAAAGTATCTTTGATTAAGGGGAAAAATAACCTGAAAAATAACCTTAACCTTCTCTAGAGAGTGAAGATCATTACTGAAACAAAACCTCTTTTTGTTTTGACAAATTCCAGAGGAGACACCGTTGCTTATCATGCAAGCTCTTGCCATATCTTACAGCACTTACAGGCAGGAAGTCCTGCCTCACGGAATCCTGTTCCTTCTTAGCCTGTTCCCAGTATGCCACAAAATAAGCTGCCCTCTTTTCAAATTTTTTTTTTTTTTTTTTTTTTTTTTTTTTGTGGCAGTCTTGCTCTGTTATCCAGGCTGGAGTGCAGTGGCACAATCATAGCTTATTACTCCTGGGTTCAAGGGATCCTCCTGTCCTAGCTGGGACTACAGGTATGCCATCATGCCCAGCTAATTTTTTAATAATTTTATAGATATTACGTCTTGCCATGTTGTCCAGGCTGGTCTCCAACTTCTAGGCTCAAGCCGTCCTCCTGCCTGGACCTCCTAAAATGCTGGGATTATAGGTGTGAGCCACCGCACCCAGCACCTCTTCCAGTTTCCATGAATTTGTCTTGTGGAAATTAAAAACCTGTGGGATTTCATTTGCTTTCTTCTCCCCATGACAGTTTTACCTCATGACTATTTAGGGAATTACTTTAAAAACAGCTTACAACTTTTTTGGAGGGAGAGTGATTTACAGAATTTAAGTAAGTGTACAAGGGATAATACTGATCTGTAATCCCTTTTTCCAAAATCCAAAAAGCTCTAAAAACACTTTTGCCAAAACCTGAATGAAGGTGATGTGAGACTATTTATAATTGTAACTTATCCTTTTGGTGTGAATAGTCATGTGTATGTATTTTTCATTTTTATTATTTTTTAAGACAGGGTCTAGCTCTGTCACCCAGGCTAGAGTGCAGCAGCACGATCTCAGCTCACTGCAACCTCTGCCTTCAAGCGATTCTCCTGCCTCAGCCTCACAAGTAGCACGCACCACCACACCTGGCTAACTGTTTGTATTTTTTGTAGAGACGGGGTTTCACCATGTTGACCAGGCTGGTCTCCAACTCCTAACCTCAGGTGTTCCATCCCGCCTTGACCTTCCAAAGTGCCAGGATTACAAGCATGAGCCACGGCACCTGGCCTTATTTTTTTTTAAATGCTTGATTGCAATCTGATTCAGCCAAGAGGTTGCTCACATCATGGGTGGATGACTACATCTCCAACATGAATGACACAAAAACATCAGAACTTTCCTATTTGCAATTATGTGAGATACTTTAAGTTTTAGTTTATAACTGACACATACTTGTTCATATCTATGGGGTACGGTGCGATAATTTTGAGATAGGGTCTAGCTTTGTCACCCAGGCTGGATTGTAGGGGCACAATCTTGGCTCACTGCAGCCTCCACCTCCCAGGCTCAAGCAATCCTCCTGTCTCGGCCTCCTGAGTAGCTGGGACCAGAGGCATGCGTGACCATGCCCAGTTAATTTTATTTTAGTAGAGACAGTCTCCCTGTGTTGCCCAGGCTATAAACTTGTCATTTCTTTGCAGAGATATCATTCAGAATCCTTGGCTTCTAGCCATCTTGAAATATACATTATCATTAGCTATAGTAACCTTACTGTGCAATAGAACACCAGAGCTTATTTCTCCTAACTTTGTACCTGTTGAGCAACCTCTCCCCAGACTCACCTCCCCTTCCACCACCCCCAGCCTCTGGTATCTAGCATTCTACTCTCAACCTCTATGAGATCAACTTGTCTAGATTCCACGTGAATGAGATTATATGGTATTTGTCTTTCTGCGCCTGGCTCATTTCACTTAACGTGTCCTCCAGGTTCAACCATGTGGCCGCAAATGACAGGATCTCATTCTGAATATTCATTAACAGAATTGATTACGGGGTGCTGACCCTGCTGGGGGGTTTTACAAAATATGTAGTATGGGTACTTGACTACCTTCCCAGAATTAAAAAGAATCTGAATTCCAAAACATATCTGGCCCTAAGCATTTTAGGTAGGGATTGTGGTCCCTATCTAGACAGACATTATGTATTCACCACCCAGAACTGAAAAATGTCACATTTCTTGGTTTCTTTAAAAGCATCTTGTGGATTTTTTTTCTCCCCACTTCTGCTTACACAGAACGAGAGATTAAAAGTGGGACACGAAGGACAGAGGATGGAGCCTGTTAGGGTGACATCAGGTGACAGCTACTGCTGGGGTCAGAGACAGATGGACCTAAAGTCCCAAGCTGTTTAAGAAACTGCTCCATCCTTCAGTTTTTATCTACTCAAACTTGAGAAGTGGTAGCAGGAAGCCACAGTATTCAGATCAGCTGTCAGGTACAGGAAATGCATCAAAGATCAATAGAGTAATGGCCATTGTTCTCATGGAGGCTACATACTCTGGGTCTGTGCCTTGACAGTGTTATGAAAAATTGTCACGTGGATGCTCACGCAATCCCTAATTTATACTTGAGTTTTAGCTGAAAGCCCCCTTGGTCATCTTGGGCAATTTATTAAAGTGAACCATGTGCAGTACACGTTACGTGTATATTCTAACAAACAGTTTCCTACGTTAGAACATCCTTCCAGTATATCCAGACTCTCAGAGCAAAGGATTCACGTGTCCTGGTGGGAAAGAGGGCAGGGAGGTCTATGGAGGGGCTTCTTGAGCTGAGGCTTTTTTTTTGAGACGGAGTTTCGTTCTTGTTGCCCAGGTTGGAGTGCAATGGCATGGTCTTGGCTCACTGCAACATCTGGCTCCTGGGTTCAAGCGATTCTCCTGCCTTAGCCTCCTGAGTAGCTGGGATTACAGGTGCGCACCACCACATCCGGCTAATATTTTCGTATTTTTAATAGAGACGGGGCTTCACCATGTTGGCCAGGCTGGTTGTGAACTCCTGACCTCTGGTGATCTGCCCTCCTCAGCCACCCAAAGTGCCTGGATTACAGGTATGAGCCACTGTACCCAGTTTGTTTTGTTTTGTTTCAAATAGAGATGAAGTCTCGCTGTGTTGACCAGGGAACTGGGCTCAAGCAATCCTCTCATCTCAGCTTCCCAAAGAGCTAGGATTACAGGCGTGAGCTCCCGTGCGCTGCCGAGGCTGGTTCTTAACTCGGTCTTTTCCACACTTGCTGTATTTGAACATAGGCTTCATCAAGCCTTCCTCTTAGGCATGATCTCAGTGTCCTATGACATTCTCTTCCCATGCCGGTTCCCAGACATGGATTGTTTTCATTGCTGTCTTCTCAGTTGGCCATGGGCCTCCTGAGCATGCATCTGTTGTGAGGTTGTGAACATGAATGAACCGGCAGGCAGCTGCGGCTCTTCATCTCTACCTACACACATCACATCCTGGGACTGAGTGTTCCAAGCCGCTTTGTCACTAGGCATTTTATTTTGTGTCTCTCACTATTGGCCTGGCTTTTGAGTTTTTGTTTTACTCTTCATTTTACAGATGAATAACCTAGATCAGTTTTTTTTCTCTCAATGCTCCCTCTGTCTGTCCAGCCTTCTGCTAAGAGTTCTTGTTTATATTTCCTGTTTCCTTTGTAGTCACCAAAGGCTTCGTGTACAGCTCTTTCCTAAAGCCCTACAATCCTCGCCGCAGCCACTCCGATGCCTCCGTGGGTAGCCACTCCTCCACAGAGTCTGAGCACGGCAGCTCCTCCCCCAGGTTCCCACGCCAGAACAGCGGCAGCACCCTGACCTTCAACCCCAGCAGCATGGCTGTATCCTTTACCTCGGGGTCTTGCCAGAAGCAGCCTCAAGATGCATCTCCTCCGCCAAAAGAATGTGACCAAGGAACTCTCAGTGCATCCCTAAATCCGAGTAATTCAGAGAGTAGTCCTTCCAGATGCCCTTCAGACCCAGACTCCACCTCCCAGCCAAGGTCAGGGGACTCTGCAGATGTAGCTAGAGATGTAAAGCAACCCACTGCCACGCCGAGGAGCTACCGGAACTTCAGGCATCCAGAAATAGTTGGCTACTCCGTACCAGGACGAAATGGGCAAAGTCAAGACCTCGTCAAAGGATGTGCAAGAACAGCCCAGGCTCCGGAAGACAGAAGTACAGAGCCAGATGGCAGTGAGGCAGAAGGCAACCAGGTGAGTGCGTAAGAGGCCTGCCACTGTGGCACAGGCGGCAGCAGATGTGTTGTGGGTACCAGCGGGGGTGAGGCAGAAGTGGCTTGCCTGAGGCCTAGGGGTGATCTGAGATGAGCTCACAGACACACCTTTCAAGCACACAAGGAATCTCTGCCATCAGAGCCTTCTGAGCACCTTCCCCTGCTGATACTTCACAGGCTATTCCTGGACCCCTCTGTGTCACTGGGTGTTTAAAAGGTGCTATAATGACAACTTCATTATTCTTCCAGTTCACTAATTCTTCAGTTGTATAACATCCATTTAATCCACTTGTTTGGTTTTTGATTCAAGTAACCATACTTTATTTTTTTTTTGAGGAGTTTGTCACCCAGGATGGGGAATGCATGATCTCAGCTCACTGCAACCTCCACCTCTCAAGTTCAAGCAATTCTCATTTCTCATGCCTCAGCTTCCTGAGTAGCTGGGATTACAGGTGTACACCAACACACCCAGCTAATTTTTGTATTTTCAGTAGAGACAGTCTTCACCATGTTGGCCAGGCTGGTCTGGAACTGCTGGCCTCAAGTGATCCGCCCACCTCGGCCTCCCAAAGTGCTGGGATTACAGGCGTGAGCCATTGTGCCCAGCCCCAGTTTTTCCTATTCTCTTTGTAATGGCCTGTTCCCGTTTATGAGTTTGATTGTAGGCTTTGTATCTCAAACGTTTTGGGTTTTTTTTTTTTTTTTTGAGACAGAGTCTTGCTCTGTCGCCCAGGCTGGAGTGCAGTGGCGCAATCTCAGCTCACTGCAACCTCCGCCTCCCAGGTTCAAGCGATTCTCCTGCCTCAGCTTCCTGAGTAGCTGGGACTACTTTATTAGAGACAGGGTTTCCCTATGTTGGCCAGGATGGTCTCGATCTCCTGACCTCGCTGCCTGCCTTGGCCTCCCAATTTGCTGGGATTACAGGCGTGAGCCACCCACAGCTGGCCATATCTTGAACTAACCTGTATGCTTTAAAGCCATTTTCAGATTCACAGCTGCAGAGTCTTTGCTGCACCGTTTGTTGCCTTTGCTCGCTCTTCAGTGGAGCATCTTCCTGTGTTGACTGTCAGGTTTGTCTGCGAGCTCATCTCCAGAAGGATTTGCCCTCATGGGAAGGCCCAGTCGTGTCCTGGGTTGTAGAGGTGCTGCCTCTGCCACTGTCTGGATTCTAAGAGTCCAGTTTTTACCCACTTTCTCAGTTCAGGCTTCCCATAGCACATTCCTCAGTGCCATAGCCGAGCTTTGTGCATGCTCGTTTTTCTGGTGATTTCTCTTACTACCTACTTCCCGGGTCAAACATCCCCATTCTGGGCCTACCAAGCAGACAGTTATTATAGACACATCAAAGGGAAAAGAAGGACCTTTCTTAGATTGAGTTCGAGCAGGGAATGTAGTTGTAGTCTCAGCTCCAGTCCCTGACCAGGTCCTAAAGCTCCAGCCCTTGGGGCACGTGTCCCTCCCTCTGGCCCCCATGGGCCTCATGGCTTCTCCTCCTCCCTGAGCTCCTCCCTTCCATGGGCATTAGATCATGAGATCTTTGTTTGTGGCATCTAAAGATCAACTTTTCTTTGAAGTTGGTTGTGGTTTTCTGGTTTTTCTTTTTCATAATTTGTGTTGGAGGTATGGAAGAGTATGCTCGTCTTCCACCCTTTAAAGCAATTCTAAAAGACTGAAAAGGTAGTTTTTTTAAAATGGAGTCTTGCTCTGTTGCCCAGGCTGGAGTGCAGTGGTGCAACCTCTGCCTGCTGGGTTCAGGCAATTCTCCTGCCACAACCTCTGGAGTAGCTGGGATCACAGGTGTTCACCATCATGCTTATTTTTCGTGTTTTTGGTAGAAATGGGGTTTCACACCATGTTGACCAGCTGGTCTGAAACTCCTGACCTCTAGTGATCTGCCCTCAGCCTCCCAAATTGGTGTTTGTTCCAAGACAGAGTCTCACTCTGTCGCCCAGGGTCTGGAGTCCAGTGGCGCGATCTTGGCTCACTGCAACCTCTGCATCCTGGGTTGGAGCAATTCTCCTGTCTCAGCCTCGTGAGTAGCTGGGATTAGAAGTGTGTGCCACCACGCCCGGCTAATTTTTGTATTTTTAGTAGAGGTGGGGTTTCACCATGTTGGCCAGGCTGGTCTTAAATTCCCAACTTCAGGTGATCCACCCATCTCAGCCTCCCAGAGTGCTGGGATTACAGGCATGAGCCACCGTGCCCGGCCAAATTGGTGTTTTCTTTTAATCATCCCTATTATGGTAGCCATCATCCGTATGTACCTATTTAAATTTATTTTAGTTAAAATTAAATAAGATTAAAAATTCAGTTCCTCTGTCTCACTGGCCATATTTCAGGGGCTCAGTAGCCACATGTGGGCATGTGGATGTGGAACCCTCCCCAACACCGCACGAAGCTGTTGGATGGCATTGCTCCCAGCAATTTCCCATTTTCTCTCTCTCCCTCACACAGGTCTATTTTGCTGTCTACACCTTCAAGGCACGAAACCCAAATGAGCTGAGCGTGTCAGCCAATCAGAAACTCAAGATCCTCGAGTTTAAAGATGTTACAGGAAATACAGAGTGGTGGTTAGCTGAGGTTAACGGGAAGAAGGGCTACGTTCCCTCCAATTATATCCGCAAAACCGAGTACACCTGAGCCCACGTTGCCTGCCACCCAGCCTTGCTGCCTTTGCTTTCAGTCCGCCGAGGGTTCTGGCGGCCCACCGAGAGGGCGCCTGCTCCTGAGACACAGGCCCTGTCTGCGTTGCTTAACCATGGCATGGTGGAGCACACCACAGATCTTGTTCTCCTCGATTGGGTTGTAAACCTTGATGCTCACTAGAATCTCTAGAATTTGAAATGGACCCTGGGGCTTTGCAAATGACTTAGTGACTATGAGAAGAGAGACAAGTCTTAGAGCTGGCTTTTGGAAAGGAGAAACTTGCAGTCAGAAGCCCAGTGTCCTATGTATGCAGGAAGCTGTGCTCTAGCAATAGACAGTGTTGGTAATGGTTGTGCTGTACGGCGTTTGGGGTGGCCCCATGTTCCATGCTCAGCTGACCGGATGCCAACTCAGATGAAAAGAATTCATGGCTCTGGGCACCCCGTGAGGCAGTGCTTGCACATGGCTGGGAGTTTGTCGGGATTGAACCAAACCTAGTGCTTCAAAGCTCCTGGGACACCTCCAGTGTCCAGCACACATTCTCATACATACTGCCCCTAATTTCTAAAGTCCCTAAAGCACTACATTCTGTAACCTTGTTTCTTTTACTCCATTCCCAGATTAGTTATGCAAAATTCAACTGCGTTCTACTTTTAGAAGTGTTTAGGGTCTTTATTTTCTGTTGACCCTTCATCTGAAAGATTCTCTTCCCTTGTTAGGTACAATCACTGCCCCCCCGCTTTTTTTTTTGAGATGGGGTCTTGCTATGTTGCCCAGGCTGGTCTTAAACGCCTGGGCTCAAGCAACCCTCCCGCCTCCCTGCTGAGATTACAGGTGTAAGCCACCATACCGCAACCTCAATGACACCTTTCTGATGGTCTTTACACAGTCTGTGATGTCTGGTGGCCCCCCTGCCCTGGACTCAATAATTGATAGATTTTCCTAGAGTAACAGTATGAGAGCTCCAGCCATTCCATTAAAAGTATTAGTTCTGCTTTGAGCTGAAACCAGTTGAGCCTAATGGAAGACTGGATGTCTTTCTTCTTCATCCAAGCACCCTAATGACTGTTTAGTTACATCCATAGATGCAGACAACATAACACCTGTGACTTACTTGAATTGGGATAAGCCATTCCAGAAGTAGCTTATCCTAGACTTGGAAATAAGATTTTTTTCACCACTAACTTCCATGCTTCAGAGATGACATTCAAAGCCAGATTCCCAAGTGCCTGATCATACCTCCCAGTCTCAGGAAGATATTTGCTTACCCCTTAGACCAAGAATCTTAAGATCTTCCCCAGCTATGAAGCCTATCTTGGAATGGGAAACCATGAAATTTGTCTTTTAAAAGAAAGGGAAGAAATAGCCTTACAGCCCCTGTTCCTCCAAGTGCACATTTAGCCTTAAAATCCTGGGAGTCGGGAGACACCGTGGAGTCCTAACATCCACAGTGTCTGCTGGTCGTGGTCAGAAGGCAGTAATGCAAGAGTCCTTTTGTGAAGAGTGTTTCTATGTAGAGATGTTTATATTTAAGTAGTTCTTTTATAAATAAAAGCATTTCTAATGGCCTTGGATGTTTTCTTGATTTCCATGTTTAAGCTGAACGGGTTTTTTTGTTTGTTTGTTTAAGCTGAACGTTTTTCCTGGGCTTCTGGGGAGGCCTTCTTGACAATGAGTGATGTCCAGATCTGGGAGAATGGGAGAGGCTAACTGAAGAAATGCAGGCCCAAAGTCATTCTGTCAAAGATTCCAACAATCTCTATATACTCAGGCCGAGTGTGGTGGCTCACACCTGTAATCCCACCAGCACTTTGGGAGGCCAAGGTGGGCGGATCACTTGAGGCCAAGAGTTTGAGACCAGCCTGGCCAACATGGTGAAACCCCATCCCTACTGAAAATACAAAAATTAGCCGGGCATGGTGCTGCATGCCAATAGTCCTGGCTAATCAAGTGGCTGAGAATTGCTTGAACCTGGGTGGCAGAGGTTGCAGTGAGCCAAGATCACACCACTGTACCCTAGCCCGGGCGATAGCAAGACCCTGTCTCAAAAAAAAAAAAAAAAAAAATCTCTGTATACTCAAAATATGTCCATGCTGCAGGTGACTGCCTCTATTTTCATCTTGTCCTGTGAAATTCTAACGAAACAGAAGAGCTGGGATCTCTAGGGGATAAGTATTTCCCTGATATTGCAGATGTGGACACTGATACACAAGGTTATCTAACAAGGTCACGGAGCAGCAGCTCAGGCAGTTGGGGGCAGGGAAGGAAGTGGCAGGGCTAGTGGCAGAGGTGGGATTGAGGACAGTATGGTGGGTGACAGTAAAGCGATCACCCAGTGTTGTTAAGGAATAGAAATCACTGAATTGGGTAGGCTGCAGGAAAGCAGCTGATAAGTCACCTATGCTACTCTCATGTGATAGACTAGGAAAATGGGGTCCAGAGACATTCGTACTCACCCAAGTCATATATCAAGTTTTTGAGGGGTTGTGAATTGAAACTCGGGCCTGCAGGCTCAGGCTGAGTCTGTACACCTTGTTCTGGAGCCAGACTGTCTGGCTTCTGACACTTGGCAGCTTTGTGACCTTGGCAACGTACCCACCTCTGTCTCAGTTCCCTGGTTGAGGTAGAGATAGTAATAGCATCCACCTTGTAGAGTTGATAGGAAGATTCCGTGAGTTAATACATGCACCATGCTGCAACAGGACAGCTGCGAGATACTGGAGGAGGACTTTCAGTGCTTGTCCCCCCATGGAAACATCTTAAACTATCTGTGCATGAAAATACCCTAAGCGCTAAGAAAACCATGTGAGAGATGACAGCACCTGGGTGTTGCATGCAAATATTAAGAAAAGATGCATTGGAGAGGGCAGGGAGGACATGTTCACAGGACCTGTGCCAACCCCTCCCTCAGCCGCAGGCAGCGCAGCACACATCGGAACACCCTCTGCATGGGGGGAAGAGAGGGAAGCGAGTCCCAGATTCAACCTTGGACCTCAGCACTACCCCAGTAAAACCCAGTGCCCAGCAGGTCCTCACAGCCCCAGACTCCAGGCTGGTAGCTGCACACTTGCCCCCAGGCCTGCCTGTAGCATAGAAGCTTCACGAGAATGCCTGAGACCACTGTGGACACTCATGTGACTAACATTTGCTCAAGGCAACACACCTGCCCATTCTTGATAGAGGAGTAGTAAGGGCCTAGGATTACAAGCCCTTACTATTCTAGATAACCTATCTATGTATCTAGGATATATGGATCCCAGGTTTCTAGCTTAGGAGACAGCAGAGAAGTGATGGGTGCCAATGGACCATCCAGCCGGAAAGGGGAAAAAATACATGCAAAGCATTTCAGCAGGCTTGGTGCTTACTACTGAGTTCACTGTGGGTCAAATCATTGACCCCTTATGTTCCCCTCTTGATTCAAGCCACGAGGAAGAAGAACCCGGAAATACAGTCCTGGATGGAGTTTGTGTCTTGTAGGAGCTGGTTGTTACCAGCTTGTACCCACTGCTCCCACAGCACCCTCTCCACCCAAAGCACCCACCGTCAAATTACCCTTCCAGCTCTGCAGATCCAGCAGGAGGTTAGCGTGAAGGAATCACATCAGATATAGGTAAGAAAAAGATTCAGCCACTGTCCTCTTGCCTTACTGTCCTATCTCAACATCTCTATGCATCCAGAACACTTTCTTAAAGCACAAAACCTACTTCAAAGCCATGAAGAGTAGTACAGACCTTTACGGAAGATTTCTTGTGGGTATGAAAGACGACAACCCCACCTATGACATCTAAGGCAGAACTTTCTGGAAATATTGCTTTTCAACATCGACACAAGACTTCTACTTCTTCCGGCATCAGTCCAACTCTCCCTCAATATTCCTCTCCGCCCATTTTTCTACTGCCGAGCTTTCCCCTCTTCCTCCCTGTCCCCTACTCCCCTTTTTAAGTCAAATGACTGAGTTCTTGCACTGGCATCTACCCCAAGTGCCAGCATCATCACACCAGAACAAAGGCCTCATGGCCACACAGTGCAAACAAACAGAAGACTCTCAGAATATGAGGGAATGGCCAGACGTTTCTACTTAGTTATTTTGTATTATATATGATGCTAATATGAGTGCCTTGGTTCCAAGGAACATCCCATGGCACACAATGTCCTCAAGAGAGTCTGTAAGCTTTCTGGGAAGCTCAGGGTTCTGTCCAAAATAGCATCTTCCACTCACTGAGCCACGCACTGTGCCAAGGCTTACCCTGCATTATCCTATGTCACCCCCTACCCCCGCCCAACAAAAGAACACTACAAGGTGTGTAGAAGTAACAAAACTGATGCTCAGAGCCCAGCAGGTTGAGGCTGCAGGAAGCCGTGATCACACCACTGCACTCCAGCCTGGACAGCAGAGTGAGACCGTCTCAAAAACAGAATGACTCATGCTCAGAGGATAAGAAACTCAACCAGGTTTACCCAGATAGAAATAGTAAGACTCAGATTTCAATCCCAGCCCTGAGAGCAAAGCTCATGTATTTAACCCTTTGCTATATACCCACTTGAGAA
This sequence comes from Homo sapiens, assembly GCF_000001405.40. Classification (NCBI taxonomy): domain Eukaryota; kingdom Metazoa; phylum Chordata; class Mammalia; order Primates; family Hominidae; genus Homo; species Homo sapiens. The sequence continues at coordinate 99,872,596 of NC_000010.11, read as the reverse complement.
CACACCAGCTCATGTGTACAACCAAAAGGACTTTGGCCCTAAGCCATTGAATGGCCCTTCCTAGTCAGTTCTGTGGGAGCCTTCATCAAAAGAGGACACTGGCCCTTTAAAGGAAGGATTGAATAGCAGTAAGAGTCTAAGCCAGTCTCCATTGCTTTAGGTCAATGTGGAAACAACACATAACCTTCAACTCTCCTCCAGGGCCTGGTCTACATAGAGCTGTCTGGAGTCCTGCCCTGGCTGCCTCTGTTCCTGAACCTTTGGATTTCTTGGAATTCTAATCCTCTAAATCCAGTCTTTTGACTGAACCATTTGGAAATTGAGGCCTGCATGGCAGTAGGGAGTACCCTCACCCCCAGAGGTAACAACTCTTTAGGAAATTTCCAAAATACACCTAGTACCAGTAAATAACCTGCCTGGTTCCCTAATCTTTCCTTCACCATGTAGAGGCTTCTGGATAATTTTGGTCCTCAGTTCACTATTGGGAGTCTTCTATAGCATCTGCTCCAAGTTAAGAAGATTCGCACACTGATCCTAAAATTCATATGGAAACGCAAGGGACCCAGAGTAGCCAAAACAATCTTGAAAAAAGGAACAAGATATAAAACTACAATAAGTAAGACTATGTGAGACTGACATAAGATAGACATAGATTGAGGGTCTAAAACTTTGGCCAGGCACAGCAGGTCACACCTATAACCCCAACACTTTGTGAGGCTGAGGTAGAAGGATTGCTTGAGCCCAGAATTCGAGACCAACCTAGGCAACATGGTGAAATTCCATTTCTACAAAAATACAAAACTTAGTTGGGCATGGTGGTGCACACCTGTAATTCCAGCTACTTGAGAGGCGAAGTAGGAAGATTATTTGAGCCTGGGAGGTTGGGGCTGCAGTGAACAGTGAACATGCTACTGCACTCCAGCCTGGTGACAGCGTGAGACCTCGTCTCAAAAAACATAAAAATAAACCTTTACATGTATTGTCAAATATGAATTGACCAAGGTGTCAGAACAACTTAATGGGGAAACAACCATCTTTTGCACAGATGGTGCCAGGACAACTGGATATCCACATGCAGGAGAATGAAGTTAGACCGCTTCCTAAACCACACACGAAAATTCACTCCAAATGGAGCATAGACCTAAATGTAAGAGTTAGAACTACACAATTCTTAAAATGGGAAAAAGTTCTCACAACCTTGGATTAGGCTTTAGTTTCTTCAAATGACAACAAAAGTGACCAAAAAAAAAAAAAAACCAGATAAATTAGACCTCATCAAAATGGAAAACTTTTGTGCTTATAATGCCATTGGCCAGGCATGATGGCTCACACCTATAACCGCAGCACCTTGGGAGGCCAAGGCAGGATTTCTTGAGCCCAGGAATCTGAGACCAGCCTGGGCAACACAGGTAGAACTCGTCTCTACAAAAAATTTTTTTCAATTAGCCAGGCATGGTGGTGTAGTCCCAGCTACTTGGGAAGCTGAGGTGGGAGGATTGCTTGAGCCCAGGACGTAGCAACTGCAGTGAGCCATGATTGTGCCACTGCACTCCAGCCTGGGTGACAGAGCAAGACCCCATCTAAAAACAACCAAACAAAACAAGAAACACACTATCAAAGTGAAAAGACAACCCACAGAATAAGAAAAATATATTTCAACTCATACGTCTGATAAGAGAATTGTATCCGGAATATATAAAGAAGTCTTATAACTCATTGAAAAGAAAATAAACACCCAATTTAAAATTGGGCAAAGGGACCAGGCCTGTTAGCTCACACCTATAATCCCAGCACTGCGTGAGGCTGAGGTGGGAGGACTGCTTTAGCCCAGGAGTTCAAGACCAGCCTGGGCAACATAGAGAGAACCCACCTCTGCCAAAAATAATAATAATTAGCTGGGAGTGGTGGTGCCTGCCTGTCTGTGGTCCCAGCTACTTGGGAGGCTGAGGTGGGAGGCTTCTGGCTTGAGCCCAGGAGGCTGACGCTGCAGTGAGCTATAATTGAGCTACTATACTCCAGTCTGAGTAAGAGTGAGACCTTGTCTTAAAAGAAAAAAAAAAAAAAGCTCAATATCACTAACCAGATAAATGCAAATTGAAACCACAATGAGATATCATCTCACCACAGTTAAAATGGCTTTTATAAAAAAAGACAAGAAAGAGGGGAGGGGCCAAGATAGAATAGGAAGAGCTCTGGTCTGCAGCTCCCAGTGAGACCAATGCAGAAGGCGGGCGATTTCTGCATTTACAACTGAGATACCCAGTTCATCTCACGGGGGTTAGGCTGTGGGTACAACCCATGGAGGGTGAGCAGAAGCAGAGTGGGGCGTCGCTTCACCCCAGAAACTCAAGGAGCCAGGGGACCTCCCTCCCCCAGCCAAGGGAAGCCGTGAGGGACTGTGCTACCCAGCCCGGATACTACCCTTTTCCCTTGGTTTTTGTAATCTGCAGATCAGGAGATTCCCTCATGTGATAACACCATCAGGGCCCTAGGTTTCAAACACAAAACTGGGTGGGTGTTTGGGCAGACATTGAACTAGCTGCAAGAGTTTTTTTCATACCCCAGTGGCGCCTGGAACCCCAGTGAGACAGAACCGTTCACTCCTCTGGAAATGGAAAGGGGGCTGAAGCCAGAGAGCCACGTGGTCTCGCTCAGCAGATGCCACTCCCACGGAGCCCAGCAAGCTAAGATCCACTGGCTTGAAATTCTCACTGCCAGCACAGCAGTCTCAATTCAACCTGGGATGACCAAGCTTGGTGCAGGAAGGGGCATCCGCCATTACTGAGGCTTTAGTAGGCAGTTTTCCCAACAGTGCTAAGGAGATAGGAGGTTTAGACTGGGCGGGAATTCACCACGGCGTGGCTAAGCAGCCATGGCCAGACTGCTTCTTTAGATTCCTCCTCACTGGGCAGGGCATACTTTGAAGGAAAGGTAACAGCCCCAGTCAGGGGCATACAGATAAAATTCCCACCTCCCTGGGACAGAGCACCTGGGGGAAGGGGTGGCTGTGGGTGCAGCTTCAGCTGATTTAATTGTTCCTGCCTGCCAGCTCCGAAGAGAACAGCTGATCCTGACAAGAAGGATTCTCCCAGCACAGCACACCAGCTCTGCTAAGGGACAGACTGCCTTCCCAAGTGGGTCCCTGATCCCTGTGCCTCCTGACTGGGAGACACCTCCCAGCAGGGGTCAACAGACACCTCGTACAGGAGAGCTCCAGCCGGCATCAGGCCGGTGCCCCCCTGGGACAAAGCTTCCAGAGGAAGGAGTAGGAAGCAATCTTTGTTGTTCTGTTAGCCTCCACTGGTGATACCCAGGGGAACAGGGTCTGGAGTGGACCTCCAGCAAACTGCAGCAGAACTGCAGCAGAGGGGCCTGTTAGAAGAAAAACAGAAAGCAACAACATCAACATCAACATCAACAAAAAGGACCCCCACACAGAAACCCCATCCAAAGGTCATCAGCTTCAAAGATCAAAGGTAGGTAAATCCATGAAGATAAGGAAAAACCAGCGCAAAAATGCTGAAAATTCCAAAGACCAGAATGCCTCCCCTCCTCCAAATGATTACAACTCCTCTCCAGCAAGGGCACAAAACTGGATGGAGAATGAGATTGATGAATTGACAGAAGTAGGCTTCAGAAGGTGGGTAATAACAAACTTTAGCTCTGAGCTAAAGGAGCATGTTCTAACCCAATGCAAGGAAGCTAAGAACCTTGAAAAAAGATTATAGGAACTGCTAACTAGAATAACCAGTTTTGAGAGGAACATAAATTACCTGATGGAGCTGAAAAACACAGCAGGAGAACTTCGTGAAGCACACGCAAACATCAATAGCCAAGTCAATCAAGCAGAAGAAAGGATATTAGAGATTGAAGATCAACTTACTGAAATAAGGCATGAAGACAAGATTAGAGAAAAAAGAATGAAAAGGAACGAACAAAGCCTCCAAGAAATATGAGACTATGTGAAAAGACCAAACCTACAATTGATTGGTATACCTGAAAGTGACGGGGAGAACAGAACCAAGTTGTAAAACATACTTCAGGATATTTTCCAGGAGAACTTCCCCAACCTAGCAAGACAGGCCAACGTTCAAATTCGGGAAATGCAGAGAACACCACTAAGATACTTCTCGAGAAGAGCAACCCCAAGACATATAATTGTCAGATTCTCTAAGGTTGAAATGAAGGAAAAAATGTTAAGGGCAGCCAGAGAAAGGTCAAGTTACCTACAAAGGGAAGCCCATCAGACTAACAGCAGATCTCTCTGCAGAAACCCTACAAGCCAGAAGAGAGTGGGGGGCAATATTCAACATTTATTTTCTTGAGATAGAGTTTCACTCTTGTTGCCCAGGCTGGGGTGCAATAGCGCGATCTCAGCTCCCTGCAACCTCTGCCTTCCGGATTCAAGCAATTCTCTTGCCTCAGCCTCCCCAGTAGCTGGGATTACAGGCACCCACCACCATACCTGGCTAATTTTGTATTTTTAGTAGAGATGGGGTTTCACCATGTTGGCCAGGCTGGTCTCAAACTCCTGATCTCAGGTGATCCACCCACCTTGGCCTGCCAAAGTGCTGGGATTACAGGCATGAGCCCAGCCTTGACATTCTTAAAGAAAAGAATTTTCAACCCAGAATTTCATATCCAGCCAAACTAAGCTTCATAAGCAGAGGATAAATAAAATCCTTTACAGACAAGCAAATGCTGAGGGATTTTGTCACCACCAGGCCTGCCTTACAAGAGCTCCTAAAGGAAGTACTAAATATGGAAAGGAAAAACCAGTACCAGCCACTGCAAAAAAAAAAAACAAAATATAAAGACCAACAACAGTATGAAGAAACTGCATCAACTAATGTGCAAAATAACCAGCTAGCATCATGATGTCAGGATCAAATTCACACATAACAATATTAACCTTAAATGTAAATGGACTAAATGTCCAAATTAAAAGACACAGACTGGCAAATTGGATTAAGAGTCAAGACCCATCAGTGTGCTGTATTCAGGAGGCCCATCTCATGTGCAAAGACACACATAGGCTCAAAATAAAGGGATGGAGGAATATTAACCACGCAAATGGAAAGAAAAAAAAATGCAGGAGTTACAATCCTAGTCTCTGAAAAAACAAACTTTAAACCAACAAAGATCAAAAAAGACAAACAAAGGCATTACGTAATGGTAAAGGGATCAATGCAACAAGAAGAGCTAACTATCCTAAATATATATGCACCCAATACAGGAGCACCCGGACTCATAAAGCAAGTTCTTAGAGACCTACAAAGAGACTAAACTCCCACACAATAACAGTGGGAGACTTTAACACCCCACTGTCAATATTAGAGCAATGAGACAGAAAATTAACAAGGATATTCAGGACTTGAACTCAGCTCTGGACCAAGCGGACCTATTAGACATCTACAGAACTCTCCGCCCCAAATCAGCAGAATATACATTCTTCTCAGCACCAAATAGCACTTACTCTAAAATCGACCACATAATTGGAAGTAAAACAGTCCTTGGCAAATGCAAAAGAACGGAAATCATAACAAACTGTCTCTCAGACCACAGTGCAATCAAATTAGAACTCAGGATTAAGAAACTCACTCAAAACCACACAACTATGTGGAAATTGAACAACCTGCTCCTGAAGGACTACTAGGTAAATAATGAAATTAAGTCAGAAATAAAGAAGTTCTGTGAAACCAATGAGAACAAAGACAACGTACCAGAATCTCTGGGACACAGCTAAAGCAGTATTAAGAGGGAAATTTATAGCACTAAAATGCCCCCATCAGGAAGCTGGAAAGGTCAAAAACTGACACCCTAACATCACAATTAAAATAATTAGAGAAGCAAGAGCAAACAAATTCAAAAGCTAGCAGAAGACAAGAAATAACTAAGATCAGAGCAGAACTGAAGGAAATAGAGACAAAAAAAGCCCTTAAAAAAAAAAAAAATCAATGAATCCAGGAGCTGCTTTTATGAAGATTAACAAAATAGACTGCTAGCTAGACTAATCAAGAAGAAAACAGAAGAATCAAATAGATACAGTAAAAAATGATAAAGGGGATACCACCACTGATCCCACAGAAATACAGACTACCATCAGAGAATACTATAAACACCTCTCCACAAATAAACTAGAAAATCTAGAAGAAATGGATAAATTCCTGGACACATACACCCTCCCAAAACTAAACCAGGAAGAAGTCAAATCCCTGAATAGACTAATAACAAGTTCTGAAATTGAGGCAAGAATAGCCTACTAACCAAAAAAAGCCCAGGACCAGATGGAATTCCACCAGCGGTACAAAAAGGAGCTGGTACCATTCCTTCTGAAACTATTCCAAATAATAGAAAAAGAGGGACTCCTCCCTAACCCATTTTATGAGGCCAGTATCATCCTGATACCAAAACCTGTCAGAGACACAACAAAAAAAGAAAATTTCAGGCCGATATCCCTGATGAACATCAATAAATCCTCAATAAAATCCTCAATAAAATACTGGCAAACTGAATCCAGCAGCACATCGAAAAGCTTATCCACCATGACCAAGTCAGCTTCATCCCTGGGATGCAAAACTGGTTCAAGATACTCAATAAAACTCAAAATCCCTTCATGCTAAAAACTCTCAATAAACTAGGTATTGATGGAACATCTCAAAATAATAAGAGCTATTTATGACAAACCCATAGCCAATGGGCAAAAGCTGGAAGCATTCCCTTTGAAAACCAGCACAAGACAAGGATGCCCTCTCTCACCACTCCTATTCAATGTAGTATTGGAAGTTCTGGCCAGGGCAATCAGGCAAGAGAAATAAAGGTATTCAAATAGGAATAGAGGAAGTCAAATTGTCTCTGGTTGCAGACGATATGATTGAACATTTAGAAAATCTCATCTTCTCAGCCCAAAAACTCCTTAAACTGATAAGCAACTTCAGCAAAGTCTTAAAATACAAAATCAATGTGCAAAAATCACAAGCATTCCTATACACCAACAATAGACAAGCAGAGAGCCAAATCACAAGTGAACCCCCCCACACAATTGCTACAAAGAATAAAATACCTAAGAATCCAACTTACATGGGATGTGAAGGACCTCTTCAAGGAGAACTACAAACCAATGCTCAAGGAAATAAGAGGATACAAATTGAAAAACATTCCATGCTCATGGATAGGCAGAATCAATATCATGAAAATGGCCATACTGCCCAAAGTAATTTATAGATTCAATGCTATTCCCATCAAGCTACAATTGACTTCACAGAATTAGAAAAAACTACTTGAAATTTCATATGGAACCAAAAAAGAGCCTGTATAGCCAAGACAAGCCAAGACAATCCTAAGCAAAAAGAACAAAGCTGGAGGCATCACACTACCTGACTTCAAACTATACTACAAGGCTACAGTAACCAAAACAGCATGGTATTGGTACCAAAACAGATATATAGACCAATGGAACAGAACAGAGACCTTAGAGATAACACCACACATCTACAACCATCTGATCTTCGATAAACCCCACAAAAACAAGCAATGGGGAAAGGATTCCCTAATTTAATAAATGGTGCTGGGAAGGCCGGGCACAGTGGCTCACACCTGTAATCCCAGCACTTTGGGAGGCCGAGGCAGGTGGATCACCTGAGGTCGGGAGTTAGAGACCAGCCTGACCAACATGGAGAAACCCCGTCTCTACTAAAAATACAAAAAAAAAAAAAAAAAAAATTAGCTGGGCATGGTGGCTCATGCCTGTAATCCCAGCTACTCAGGAGGCTGAGGCAGGAGAATTGCTTGAACCTGGGAGCCAGAGGCTGCAGTGAGCTGAGATCATGCCATTGCACTCCAGCCTGGGCAACAAGAGCAAAACTCCATCTCAAAATAAAATAAATAGATGATGCTGGGAAAACTGGCTAGCCATATGCAGAAAACAGAAACTGGACCCCTTCCTTACACCTTATACAAAAATTAACTCAAGATGGATTAAAGACTTAAATGTAAAACCCAAAACCACAAAAACCCTAGAAGAAAACCTAGGCAATACCATTCAGAACATAGGCATGGGCAAAGACTTCATGACTAAAACACCAAAAGCAATGGCAACAAAAGACAAAATAGACAAATGGAATCCAATTAAATGAAAGAGCTCCTGCACAGCAAAAGAAATCATCATCAGAGTTAACAGGTAACCTACAGAATAGGAGAAAATTTTTGCAATCTATCCATCTGACAAAAGTCTAATATCCAGAATCTACAAGGAACTTCAACAAATTTACAAGAAAAAAAAAAACCCCGTAAAAAGGTAGGCGAAGGATATGAACAGACACTTCTCAAAAGATGACATTTATGCGTCCAACAAACATGAAAAAAAGATCACCACTGGTCATTAGAGAAATGAAAATCAAAACCACAATGAAATACCATCTCATGCCAGTTAGAATGGCCATTATTTAAAAAGTCAGGAAACAGATGCTGGCGAGGCTGTGGCGAAAAAGGAACGCTTTTACACTGTTGGTGGGAGTGTAAATTAGTTCAACCACCGTGGAAGACAACATGGCAAATTCCTCAAGGATCTAGAGCCGGAAATACCATTTGACTCACCAATCCCATTACTGGGTATATACGCAAAGGATTATAAATCATTCTACTATAAAAACACATGCACACGTATGTTTATTGCAGCACTATTTACAATAGCAAAGACTTGGAACCAACTCAAATGCCCATCAATGATAGACTGGATAAAGAAAATGTGGCACATATATACCACGGAATGCTATGTAGCCACAAAAAAGTATGAGTTCATGTCCTTTGCAGGGACATGGATGAAGCTGGAAACCATCATTCTCAGCAAACTAACACAGGAACAGAAAACCAAATACCACATGTTCTCACTTAGAAGTGGGAGTTGAACAATGAGAACACATAGGCACAGGGAGAGGAACACCACACACTGGGGCCTGTTGGGGGGTGAGGGACAAAGGGAGGGAGAGCATTAGGACAAATACCTAATGCATGCGGGGCTTAAAACCTAGATAATGAGTTGATAGGTGCAGCAAACCACCATGGCAAATGTATACCTGTGTAACAAACCTGCATGTTCTACGCATGTATCCCAGAATTTAAAGTAAAATTTAAAAAAAGGACACACACACACACACACACACACACACACACACACACACACACACACAAAGACAAGAAGTAACAGATGCTGGCAAGATTGTGGAGAAAGGGAATTCCTTGTACACAGTTGATGAGACATAAATTAGTACAGCCAATATAGAAAACTATATGGAAATTCCTCAAAAAATAGAACTACCATATATCTAGCAATTCCACTACTGGGTATATATCCAATAGAAAGGAAATCAATATATCAAAGAGATACCTGCACTCCCATGTTTATTGCAGCACTATTCACAACAGCTGAAATATGGAATAAACCTAAGTGCCCATCAGTGGATGAATGGATACAAAAAAATGTGGTACAGGCTGGGCGTGGTGGCTCACGCCTGTAATCCCAGCACTCTGGGAAGCTGAGGCAGGTGGATCACCTGAGATCAGGAGCTCGAGACCAGCCTGGGCAATATAGTGAAAACCCATCTCTACTAAAAATAAAAAATTAGCCAGCCATGGTGGTGCACACTTGTAGTCCCAGCTCCCTGGGAGGGTGAGGCAGGAGAATTGCTTGAAACTGGGAGGCAGAGGCTGCAGTGAGCCATGATAGCACCACTGTACTGCAGCCTGGGCAACAGAGCAAGATTGTCTCAAAAAAAAAAAAAAAAAATTGGGGAGATATATACACAACAGAATATTCAGCCATAAAAATTATGGCACTCATTTGCAGCAACATGATGGCACTAGAATCGTTAAGTGAAACGAGGCAAGTACAGGAAGACAAATATTGCATGTTCTCACTCATATGTAGGAGCCGAGACAGCAGATCTCATGAAGATAGAGAATAGATTAATGGTTACCAGAGGCTGGGAGGGGTAGGGGAAAGGGAGGTGAGAGCTTGATTCATGGGTACGAATATACAGTTTGATAGAAGAAATAAGCTCTAGGGTTTGATAGACTGGGAGGGTGACTATAATTTACAAAAGTCTATTCTATATTTCAAAATAGCTCAAAGAATGTGGAGAAAAGGGAACCCTTGTACACTCTGTCGGTGAGAATGTAAATGAGTGCAGCCACTATAGAAAACAATATGTAGATTCCTCAAAAAATTAAAAATAAGACTACCACATGATCCAGCAATCCCACTACTGGGATTCCAGAGGAAATGAGCTCTGTGTTGAGGTATCTGCGCTCCTATGTTTATAGCAACATTATTCGCAAGAGCCAAGATACAGAATCAACCTATGTCCTTCAACAGATGAATGGACAAAGACATTGTGGTTCATATACACAATGGGATACTATTCAGACTTAAAAAGGAAGAAGTCTTATCATTTGCAACAACTTAGATGAACCTGGAGGACATTTGTTAATTAAAATAAGCCAGGCAGGGCTGGGCAGGGGGGCTTATGTCTATAATCCTAGCGCTTTGGGATGGCTTGAGCCTAGGAGTTTGACCAGCCTAGGCAATATGGTAAAACCCCATCTCTACAAACAAATACCACCAACAACAACAAAAAACCCCACAAAAATTAGCTGGGCATACTGGTGTTTGCCTATAGTCTCAGCTGCTTGGGAAGCTGAGGTGGGAGGATCACCTAAGCCCCAGGGGCCGAGGCTGCAGGGAGCCGTGATTGTGCCACTGCACTCTAGTCTTGGGTGATGGAGTGAGACCCTATCTCAAGAAAAAAAAAAAAAAAAGCGACGCACAGAGAGACAAACATGTGATGTCATATATATGCAGAATCTAAAAATGAATTCACAGAAGCAGAGAATAGAATGGTGGTTACGATGCACTGGGGGAGTGAGGTAGGGGTTGGTAGATGCTGGTCAAAGAATTTAAAATTCCAGTTAGACAGGAGTAAGTTCAAGACACTTATCAAACAATATGGCAACTATACCTAATGTATTATATTGAATAATCACTGTTATTTTTTATTTTTTTAAAAAGACGTAGGTTCGCTCTGTGGCCCAGGCTGGAGTGCAATGGTGCAATCTTGGCTCACTGCAACCTCTGCCCTCAGGGTTCAAGCCATTCTCCTGCCTCAGCATCCCGAATAGCTGGGACTACAGGCATGTGCCACCATGCCTGGCTAATTTTTTTGTATTTTTAGTAGAGACAGGGTTTCACCACATTGACCAGGCTGGTCTCGAACTCCTGACTTCAAGCGATCCATCCACCTCGGCCTCCCAAAGTGCTGGGATTACAGGTGTCAGCCACCGTGCCTGGCCTAAAAATCGTTGAGATTTTTAAGTGTTCTCACTACAAAAAAAACGAAAAGCATATGGGGTGTGCCTATGTTGATTAGCTCAATTTAGCCATTTTACAGCATACGTATTTTAAAACATGTACACAAATATGTACATTTTTTGGGTCCATTAAAAAAAGAATGCTACAACATTGTCTGACACAAACAATACATTGGAGAGGTTTGAGGTCCAAATCAAGGAATTTCAATTTGAGGAGTGAGGTAATCAACTCCCATAAGTTTTTAAGGGGATGACCTGTTTTAAGAAAGCTAAATAGCAGCCAGGCATGGTGGCTCATGCCTGTAATCCCAGCACTTTGGGAGGCCGAGGTGGGAGGGTCATGGGGTCAGGAGATCGAGACCAGCCTGGCTAACATGGTGAAACGCCGTCTCTACTAAAAATACAAAAAATTATTTGGGCGTAGTGGTGGCGGAGCTTGCAGTGAGCCGAGATCACGCCATTGCACTCCAGCCTGGGCAACAGAGTAAGACTCCATCTCAAAAAAAAAAAAAAAAAAAAGTGCTAAATAGCAACAGGCTGCTGTGGAGGGAGAACAGACCAAAGGCAGGAAAAGCCAATGAATGGGGAAAAGAAATCAACTGATTCGGGCATAAGATTGAGAATGGAAAAAAATCAGCATCTATCAAAAATATGAAACTGAATAATGGAATCACAGGCACAAGGGAGATAACTGGGACGGGAGCAAGTTTACAAGATGAGTCTTTGTGTTTGCAACTTTAAATGTAAGTATTCCATAGTACTGCAAAATCTATGTAGTTACTTCATCTCAAAGAAATCATTTTTGATAATTAAAAAAAAAAAGATGAGTTTTGTTTTAAATACCAGATGTCTTCTAGGCTCTTCCTCCTTAAAATGTGACCTGCAGATCCAGGCACCGTGGCTCAAGCCCTTAATCCCACCTGCTTGGGAGGCTGAGGCAGGAGTATCCCCTTCAGCCCAGGAGTTCGAGGCTGCAGTGAGCTATGATGGCACTACTGCATCCCAGCCTGGGCAACAGCAAGAACCCACTTTTTTTTTTTTTTTTTTTGAGACAGAGTTTGGCTCTTGGTGCTCAGACTGAAGTGCAACGGTGTGATCTCAGCTCACTGCAACCTCCGCCTCTCGGATTCAAGCAATTCTCCTGTCTCAGCCTCCCGAGTAGCTGGGATTACAGGCATGTGCCACCACGCCTGGCTAATTTTGTATTTTCAGTAGAGACAGGGTTTCCCCATGATGGTTAGGCTGGTCTCTAACTCCTGACCTCAGGTGATCTGCCTGCCTTGGCCTCCCAAAGTGCTGGGATTATAGGTGTGAGCCACCGTGCCCAGCCCTACCCGAACCCACCTCTTAAAAAAAAAAAAAAGTGGTCTCTAGGCCGGCAGCATTGCCATCGCCACCACCTGTGAGCTCGCTGGAACTGCAAGGGGCCCACCTCCACAGCATTACTGAATCAAAGTCTATTTTAACAAGATCCTCAGGTGACTTGTGTGCACATTAAAGTTTGAGAAGCACCTGTTTAGACAACTTTTTAAAGTAGGACTTTTTGCTGTCAGAAAAGCAGAATTTACAAAAACCAAGGAAGGAGAGGGTGTCAGATGTTTCAGACACTCTAGAAGGAAATGTCAAAGAAAATTCTTAAATCCAGCTTGCTGGCTTACCTCCTGATTTTTCTCCCCTTCTGTCTGGAAATAGCTCTTCAGTTGTGCTTTCATCCACGAGTCCCACGACAGGGACTGATGGTGGGAACCTATCGTGTAAACATAGATATGGGGCCTCCCCTCTGATTATTGTGTATAGATATCTCTTCCTCTCAGGAACAGATCCAATGAGATGTGAGAATCCAGTGAGATGATGTCCACAAACTTTCATGAAATGTGAGCTCCAGAGGAGCTCAGTTTCAATAAGGATTGAATTTTGTGTCACCCCATTTTAGTTAATTGTGAAGCTTGGATTCTGTTGATGAGGGTGTTAGTTCAGGGTCAGGAGTACAAACGGGCCTTAACAGTTGTGCTCTGAACTGTGTTTCATTTGCAGAACCTTATGCTTGAGGACCGAGAAACCTCCAGCTTTAAATACTTCATGCTAAATCCCCTCTCTGGTCGCCACATAACTCACGGGGCATTAAACTCTCCCGCCTGGTGGTACATGATACTGCTGAAGTCTTCACGGTTTTACCTTTGCCATGTGTAGCAGATCACCCAGTGCTTCAGAGCAGGGGCAGTGGACTCCGATCTGTCTGAGCCCCTGGCTTATGTCCCACAGCCTCTGCTAGAACTTTGCTGCAATTGTTGGTGCAGGTCAGCATTAGTATTTTACATATGTCAAGAAAGGAGTTTTCCACAAGTTGCAGATTTTGCAAGCTACATAGGGATACCTACGCCTTAACACTCAAGAGATGACCCTCAAGCAGAGAGGGGCAGAATTAGTGCCTTCCCAGCGATAGGCTGTGGGGTGGTGGTGGAAGGGAGCAAGCCTCTGGTTAGAGTCTCGGCAATGTATTCATTCTGGAAACATTTCTGGGGAGCAGTCAGGTGGGTGAGACCCTGCAGCCACCCTGACAGGTCCTTAGACGGAGCAGGACCACGGCACACAGCAATGCCTGTGAACCACCACACCTCGGCATCTCACCAAGCATTTCTCACAGCAACCACCCCAGAGGTCCAGAATTAGGAAAGCTGAGGGTGAGAAATTCTCAATCTGCTGTCGTCAAAAACAGGACTCACTTTGACAAGAGCCCTCACTACAGCCTTCAGTTGAGACCAAGAAAATACCCGCAACTCTGTTCAAACTGAATAAGATTTTTGCAATTTGATAGAAGGGATGCCAGGCACGAGTATTGCAACCAACTTTTAGCTGGGCTTAAAAGGCAGCATGACCCTCTACATACTCAAACTACAGTGGGATTTAATGAAGAAGATCCATGAATTGTCATTAAACTGACTTTAGCTGAAGAACTGTGGCAGTTTTATCACAGCTACCTGGGCTTACTTTTATTAGTTTCCTATTGCTGGAACAAGTTACCACAAATTTAGTGGCTGAAAACAAATTTATCTCAGCATTCTGGAGGTCAGAATTCAAAATTAGTCTCACCGGGCTAAAGTCAAGGTGTTGGCAGGGCTGGTTCCTCATGGATGCTCCAGGGGAGAATTCATTTCCTTACCTTTTCCGATTCCTAAGGTCTGCATATCCTGGCTTGCGGCCACTCCCTCCATCTTCAAAGCCAGCAGCGTGGCACCTTCAACTGTCTCACTCCGTCCGTCATCGCAGCACGCTCTCACTCCGACTGTCCTGCCTCTTTTATAAGAACGCTGTGTTTACATTGAGCCCACCTGGCCAATCCACGGTGCTCTCCCCATCTGAAGACCCTTAACTTAATCACATCAGTGAAAGTCCTTTTTTCCAGGGAAGGTGGCATATTCACAGGCTTTGAGGATTAGGATGTGGACATTTTTGAGGACCATTATTCTATCACAGGTGTGAAGCCACATGACATTTTAAAGGCAAATAGTTTTGTTTTGTTTTTTTTTTGAGACAGATTTTGCTCTTGTTGCCCAGGCTGGAGCGCAATGGCACAATCTCAGCTCACGGCAACCTCCGCCTCCCGGGTTCAAGTGATTCTCCTGCCTCAGCCTCCCGAGTAGCTGGAGTTACAGGCATGCACCACCATGCCCGACTAATTTTTTGTATTTTTAGTAGAGGCGGGGTTTCTCCATGTTGGTCAGGCTGATCTTGAACTCCTGACCTCAGGTGATCCGCCCACCTCAGCCTCCCAAAGTGCTGGGATTACAGGCGTCAGCCACCGCGCCCGGCCAGCAAATAGTCTTTTTGAGCATGGAATCGTGACCCAGTCCAGGCTACATTGGTGGCTCTAGAGCAGTGGTCAGCAAACCTGTTCTTAAAGGGCCAGATAGTAAATATTTTAGGCTTTGTGGGCCAATTCCTCAACTCTGTATTGTAACATGAAAGCAGGCACAGATGGCAAAGAAACAAAGGAGCATGGATGTGTTCCAGTAAAACTTTATGTGCAAAAACAGGTAGCAGGGCAAATTTGGCCCTAGAGCCATACCCCTACTCTAGGTCCAACTAAAATAAAAGAATTCTGTTCAACCATTAACATTGGAGTCAAGTTTGCAGAGAAATTAGACTGTTGGATTAAGGACAATGAAAAGCTGGCCAAAGAGTAATTGGTTTACAGATTGGACCTAATAATTGTGTCAACCAGGCAAATATTTATTATACCAGAAGCTACCTTTATATTACCAGAATGCAAACCCTGACAAACCAGACCACAGGTGTCCGCAGATGAGCACTAAAAAAGAAGCAGCCAGGCAAAGCTATTGTTTAGCACCAGGTATCAAGAGCAATACCTGTGACCAGAGCTAATAGTACAACCAGTGCTATCCACAATCTTCTGACAACCAAGTTGTTTCCCAGAGAAGAACGAGTGTCTATAGCAAGCTTGTCCAGCCCATGGCCTGTGGGCCGCATGTGGCCCATGGCTTTCAATGTGGCCCACCACAAATTTGTAAACTTTCTTAAAACATAATCAGATTTTTTTTGCGATTTTTTTTTTTTTAGCTTATCAGCTATCATTAGTGTTAGTGTATTTTATATGTGGCCCAAGACAATTCTTCTTCCAGTGTGGCCCAGGGAGGCCAAAAGATTGGACAACCCTGGTCTCCAGGCTTGAGCAGCAAGTAATTGTCCCAAAGATGGCTGCCAAGGAACAGGGCAGATGGATCCGAAATCCGTGATAGTGTTTGTCAGGCATAATCGCCAGATGGAAATCAAGTGAGAATCAAGAGGATTAATCAAGAGATTACCAATATGGTGACCAAGGCCTTGATTGTTAGAATTGAAGAAGGAGCTCTATTGTAGTTCATTTTCAAAATTCAGTAAGAACCAAACTAGCCTAGTTTTTCTTCTCTTCCTGAAACTCTATTTTTATGTTCATTTACCTTAAAGAAACACTGCCATACATATATTCCCAGTCTGGTCTTGAACTCCTGAGCTCAAATGATCCTCCTGCCTAGCCTCCCAAAGTGTTGGGATTACAGGTGTGAGCCACTGCACCTGGCCATTTTCTCCTTTTTTCTACTTTTTCCATAAATAGTTGCTTTTTATATTGTAACAGTTAAATTCTACAGCATAACTAACTACTTGCATATGAAATTAAAAGGAGGGCTATGACAATGGAGTGCTTTTTACAGCCAATTGTTTTATGCATTTTTACAATCTTTTACTTATGATGTTTTCTTTTTTTTTTTTTTGGAGACAGAGTCCCACTCTGTCACCCAGGCTGGAATGGAGTGGTGTGATCTCAGCTCACTGCAACCTCGACTTCCTGGGCTCAAGCGATCCTTCCACTTCAGCCTCCTGAGTAGCTGGGACTACAGGCATGCACTACTACACCTGGCTAACTTTCTGTATTTTTTTTTATTTATTTATAGAAACGGGGTCTTACTTTGTTGCTCAGGCTGGTCTCGAACTCCTGCGCTCAAGCATTCCGGCCTGCCTAGGCCTCCCAAAGTGCTGGGATTGCAGGTGTGAGTCACTGTGCCTGGCCTACTTATGGTATTTTCGAACAATATGAAACCTTTCAAAAAACCAGTCTAGTGTCTAGTCCATGTGGAAGACCAAACTCAGAGTAGAATATAGTCTTTGCTAACTAAATCTAAGTTGCAGGAGCTTAGAGATTTAAATACCAATGTTTGTACAATATTGTTTGCTAATTCTAAAATAAATTCATGATCGGTATGCATTTGTGGTTAAATGTATTCTCATTCTATTATATAAACAGGACAAATTTATTCTGAGGATGTTTCCAAAAGTGCTTATGCAAAATTATTCTGCCAGAAATGTAGGCCTGATGGTTTATTCTTATAGGTTTATTCTTTATATTTTTATAGACTTATTCTTCCTGTTTGTGCCAATGTATCAATGTAAAATTAGTTTGTTTTCTTTCAGTCTGTTTATTGCTTCTGAAAAAGGGGACGCTGCTCAGCTGGTGTTGGTTTTGGGCCTGACGACACTTTCTGTGAATGTTGAAAAACTGCAAACTAAAATCAATGTGGCTACTTGTGAGAACTGCTGCTGCAGAGAAACTGTTAGAGTGATGCTAATAGCAACAGAGCCAACGAGAAGGAGCACGTTTTCTTCCTCATCCAGGCTGCGTCCAGTGTCCCTCCAGCACCTCCTATTGTCAGAACTTAATAGGAATAGTTGGCAAAGCAGAAATGAGACTTATAAGTCCCAGCATCACAGAGCAAAATCTAAAAGGGTAGGTTTGAAACTGAGAGATAGTAGCCTAACGATGGGCATAGGCACCTTTACTTCTGAACACTATGATTCCATGCACCCAGAAGAATTGGGAAGGGCACAGAAAGTGCCCAAAAGATCAGTGAAAAACAGTGAAGATATGGTGGAATTTGGGAATGTATAGGTTTTAGGTAGTTATCTAAAATTGTCCCTGAAATCGGTAAGTGAAATAAAGCTTGTGAAAGGGTTATTAATTAGGCCACAATGGAAAGTAATCTTTATTTAGTTTATATTAGGTAGCTTTTGTTTTTGTTTTTTTTTTTTGAGATGGAGTCTTGCTCTGTTGCTCAGGCTGGAGTGCAATGGCGTGATCCCGGCTCACTACAACCTCCGCCTCCCGGGTTCAAGTGATTTTCCTGCCTCAGCCTCCAGAGTAGCTGTGATTACAGGCATGTGCCACCATGCTTGGCTAATTTTTGTATTTTTAGTAGAGACGGGGTTTCATCATGTTGGCCAGGCTGGTCTCGAACTCCTGACCTCAGGTGATCCACCCACCTCAGCCTCCCAAAGTGCTGGGATTACAGGTGTGAGCCACAGCACCCGCCCTAGATAGCTTTTAAAAAATTTTTGGCACAGTGTCAGACATTTACTGGAAGCTAAATAAATAAGTGATGGCTGATAATCTTCAAAGTTCTCTGGTGATAACTATATCGACATCAGCCTGGACCATTTTGTTTGAGAAACAAATTGAGAAAATATCAGGCTTCTCCTTTAGTTTCACTTTTACTGTTGGTGCTTTACCTAGCTTGCATTTCTCTGGCTTCTGCAGTCAGCGTAAATAGTTCCTTTGTTTTCCAAAGTTCCTCCTGCCCCTCTAAATGCTCTATATCTAAAAACTCATTTAAGAAGCAAGTTGGAAAGTACGCGTGTATGGAATGTGCTTTCAAAATAAACACTAAAAAATAAATAAATAAATTTTAAAAACACCACTAAAAAAAAGGAAAAAGCAGTTTTTTGAAATTCTAATGATTAGAAAGAATAGATGGTAAAAACAGTAGTTAGCTACCTAGCAGTGAAATAGTTGAGAAAAAGAGATAAGGGAAGTGATGATGATGATGATGATGCTGATGATGATGACGATGATATTGGATTAAAAGAGCAATACAGACTGGAACAATCAGGAAAAAAGAACAAGGATCAATAGCAGAAATAAAGGACATGACTTAGCTCTTATAGAGCTTTACAGGTATTGTATTGTATTAATCTTAAAATGCTAATTTTTTTCCACAAATAGGATGCATTTTACCAACAATGCATACCAAAGTTTAATTGGCAGTATCCTTTCTTCGTGGTATAGAAAATAACAGGTATTTTACAGTTGATGGCATCTTAGATTAATATACACTAATCTGCAATTTACAGGAGCTACATTTCATGTACATAAGCAGGTATAGATCTGAAAAGCTAGCTGTAAAAAATAGCCAATGATTATAGAATATTCACAATGTACTAGATCTGGTTTGCAGAATTAAGGAGGGGATTCTCCATGAATAGCGCCCCCCCAGCCAACACTTCAATATCTATACAACTTTGTTGATCTCCATCCATGCTGTGATTCAAAATCGAATTCACAGGGCTATGTGTAGGAGGCACACAAGTTTATCATACAAATGAGACAATTTTTGTGCGTGTGTGAAAGGGGGAGCTATTATTGTTTTGGGAAAACAGATGTAACCCATAACTATTCAGGGCAAACCAGAGGTATGCTTACACTAGCTATATGCCCTTCATTTCAGAAGTTCAATGTTAAGCACCTCACTAAACAGACCGTGAAATGCTGAATAAATCAAAATCTTTATCATAACATCACTGAAAGGGAGGTAAGGAATATGAAGAACCCAAAAGAACCTGACACAAAGGCCCTAGGAGGTGAGGAAGGCCCAAAACTTAGGCTGGCTTCTGAAATCTCCTGCCCAGGAGATCTTAAACTCTCACTTTGTTGATAATGTAGGAGGTCAAGGCAAGAGATAAAGCCAAGGTCTGCCACAGTGCAGACTAAAACCCTCTGATGAACCTGTGTCATGAAAGGGTTATACCTGCAATGTACAGGTAAAGAGGCCTAGGTCCTGCCATGCAGAATGCAGGAGTCAACAAGAACAACAACAAAACCCCATGCCTATCTCCAACCTGTCACTTTCCCTGGAGAATTTGTAAATCACAAGCTGGCTCTTGTACAGGATTGTGGTCTGAAGTTGCACTGTGGTTTGAAACCCCTTAGTGAAGAATTTCATTCAAAGAGGTTCTGGGTAATGCCCCAGGCAGCAGGCTAAAGCATTCCCAATTCCCTTAGGAAGAATTCACGGTCAACTTAGGCCTCAAAGAATGTCCACAGATAAAGTTTTAAGGAGAACGAGCTTATAATAAAAATTCACAAGACATACAAGGAAATAAAATACCATGAGTAAAAACCAACAGAAACAACAGATAAACAAAGAATCCAGACATTGGAATTATCAGACACAATATTTAAAAAACAAGTGGAAATGCAAATGCCCCAGAAACATGAAAATATATTCATCCCCAATAGATACTAGGGAAATGCAAATGAAATTCTCATTGATACATCAATTCATATTCATCAGATTGACAGCAATGTTTTCAGTTGGCATTACCAGTTTGGCATCAGCTAGTTTGTGCATGTAAACATGTTCATACCCTCCATTCCTAGGTTATACCCTAGAGAAACTCTTACATATGTGCCAGGAGATGTAGACCAGAATGTCCATAGTAGTACTGCTTATAATTTTTAAAAACCTGAGAATAATGCTAATGATCCCCAATATTAAAACTGATACATTGTGCTGTATTCATACAATGCCAGACTACAGAGCAGTGAAAAAAAATAATGCACCTATTTGCATCACCATGGATGAATCTCAGATATAATATTGAACAAAAGAATCAAGTCATAGAAGATGTATGCAGTATGAGTCAGTCCATTTACATAAGTAAAAAAGGGTATATGTTGTTTAAAGATACATACAAAGGTGATAAAACAGAAATGAAAGGCAAAGGAATAATTATCGTGAAATTCAGGACAGTGGTTGTCCCTGGGAGGGGTGGGTAGCAAGGAAGTACGATCGAGGTAGACAATCGAGGGGTTTCTCAAGTACCTGGTGACATTTATTTTCTTAACCTGGGTAGTAGGTTCATGGGTGTTCACTTATCCTTTTTTAAAACGTACATTTTATACACACTTTTGTATGTATTCTGTATTTTATAAAAAATAAAATTAAATAAGAAATTATTCTTATAGTCCTTTTCTAACCCATGGGGCCTTCTGCTAGAATTTTGTGCTGTTCACATTCTCAATGCCAGCTTCCTTAGCCATAAAGTAAAAGGGTCCAGGGATTTGTAGCAGTTCTTCAGGGCTGCCGCACTCTATAATCTTCCCGTTGTCTAGGACCATTACCCTGAAACAAGGAAGAAAGAAATAAAAGTCTTAGAAAGCAGCATCTCAAGTCTAGGCATTTATAAGAATAACCAGGACTAAGTTGTGGTATAGTCAGACAAGGCTACAAAGCAGTGAAAATCAATGAGCCACAGCTACACACATCAACATGGATGAATTCTGCAAATAATATTGAACAAAAGAATCAAGTAATAGAAGAATACAGGCAGTATGAGTCCATTTACATGAGTTTTTAAAAGAAGTGCACATTGTTTAAGGATAGATTGGTTTACAAAGGGTGCCTATCATCTCCAAACAGCTTTCTAAGATTACTGACTTTTGATTGTAATATGACACAGCTGGAAGGAATAGAAAGCTTCTGGCTGTTTTACAGAGCAGCAGCTGAGGCTCAGGACAGTTAGGAAGGTCTATGGTCAACATCTGCCTCTCACGGCTTGAGCTTCCACCTCCCCATACCCAGTTAATTGTTACAACACACAGTTTCCTATTTTGCCCTCAAGATATGAATAGTTCCCTTAACCTTGTTCGTTTTCATTTGCGTGATGTAAAATTTTGGCCAGATTACTTGACATCTCTAAGTCTCAGTTTCTTCATCAGTAATGTGGTGGTGGTTAAACCTTCTGCCATCAGGTGTTTCCCGGCTGACACTGTTACTGTTGAGCAAGGGTTAAGCCATCCGTGTCAAGCCCTGTCCCCCTACACTCACTTGTCACTGTCCATGATGGTGTGCAGCCTGTGGGCGATGGTGATCACTGTGCAGTGGGCGAACTCGTTTTGGATGGTCGTCTGAATGAGGTTGTCTGTCTCTAGATCCACCGCAGCAGTGGCCTCATCCAGGACCAGGATCTTGGATTTCCGAAGCAGAGCCCTGCCCAGGCACAGCAGCTGCCTCTGGCCTATGCTGCAGCCAATAGAAGCAACCATGTGTTAGCTCCTAAAGACCAAGGAAAGACGCAGGGCAGGGGGACCATTTTCATGTTCCAGATCAGACTTTCAAAACCCCCCCTCCAAAATTCCCCTGGAATGTTTGGGCCTCTTCAACTAGCTGTACCTTGCTGCTGTGAGCATCGTTTTTCAAACTTTCCCAATTGAAGACCCACCCCAAGTACTTAATTAAAAAGTCATATTTCTGGGCCCTTGCTTTGCTCAATCAGAGCGGGCAGGAGCCTAGGAAGGTGCCTTTTTACTAAGCACCCCAGGCCATTTTTATGCTTAAACAAGTTTGGATAACAATGGCCCAGGAACCATGCTTTGTATTTGGTTGCCGTGACATCAACATTTCCAAAACAACATGAGTGTCACCAAGTTTACGTTAGCAGCATTTGACCTGAAGCCATTAATATAGGGTGGAGCAACACTAGAATGCCCCAGTGGCATTTCTTTGTGGCCTTAGCAAATCAATTTATTATTTTAATGTGTAATTCTAGCCTCAAGGCTAATTATTTGTTCAAGGCCTTCTGCTTTGATTAGAGATGAAGCTGTCTAATGAACGTGATGTCTTGGTGTGAGATGCAATGTATGTGGAATTCAAATATGCTTCTAAAATGCAAATAGCTTTAATTTGCTAAAAGCCTGTAATGAAGGCTGGACCTCTTACCTAACATAAAGAAGCTTTGGGAAATGATGTGAAGGAAATATTCAGGAATTTGCTAATTGCTCTTTCCTGCTGTGGCCATTAGGGAACATATTAAACAGGGGGTGGCCAAAGTGCTGTAATTCTCTGTAAGAAAATTTCTGCAGGAGATGAGAAGTCACCCAAGATGAACTTCCAGTTTTCCCCTGTAATGTAAGATCAGAGACACTGAAAAACTATTTACTTAGCTTGTACCAAACTCCTGCCTGGCCCAAAGTGTAACGTAGACTTTGGACTTTAGAGTAACAGACTGTTGCTGAGGCGCCACTTTGTCTTTCAGCTGCTCTCTCCAAGCTGAACTTACCCATCATTCAACAGAGAAATGTAAGTTTTAGTCCCCCAGGCCAGGTTTGAAACTCAGGTCTGAAATCAAGGCATTGGTAATACCATTTAAGCATCTCTCAGCTTGGACAGGAGAAAGATGGCATGATTTTTGTTTTTACAAACCAGAAATGTCAAGGCCTCCCATTGTACCCTACCATAGCATCCCAAATGTACCCTCTGTAGCACAGACTGTACTGGCATTTACTGACAGAGGTCTGTCTTCATTATGCTGTAAATGCTAGGAAGTCAGGGTTGTGTCTCTGTTTGCCTCTGTATTTTCAGTACCTGGCACACAGTAGGTGTACATATATTTTCGAGACGGAGTTTCGCTCTTGTCTCCCAGGCTGGAGTGCAATGGCGCAATCTCAGCTCACCACAACCTCCGCCACCCGGGTTCAAGCGATTCTCCTGCCTCAGCCTCCTGAGGGATTACTGCTGGGATTACAGGCCTGTGCCACCATGCCCCACTAATTTTGTATGTTTAGTAGAGATGGGGTGTCTCCACGTTGGTCAGGCTGGTCTCGAGCTCCCGACCTCAGGTGATCCGGCTGCCTCGGCCTCCCAAAGTGCTGGGATTACAGGCATGAGCCACTGCGCCCGGCCGGTGTTATTACATTTTTGCTGACTGAATGTTTGAATGATCTTTTACACTGGCCTAAAGACCTACTTGAGTCCTGCTAGTTGCTAGATCTGTTGTGGAGGGAAAGTAAACTGACGATGTTCTCTACCAGGGCTTGTTCCCTGGGGCTACACACTAAAATCACCTGGGTCCCCGATTCAGTTGGTCTGGGCTACAGTTTAGGCGTTGGGAGCTTTAAAGCTTCCTGGGTGATTTTAGCTTGCAGCCTAGTTAATCACAACACTCTAGGCAGTGCTTCTCAAGTGTAATGTGCACACAAATCACCTGGGAATCTTGCTAAAGTGCGGATTCTGATGAGTAGGTCTACGCCCTGAGATTCTGCACATGTAACAAGCTCCCAGGTGAAGCCAGAGTGGCTGGCCCCTGAATCAGTTACTGAGCCCTCCCTTCCTTCCTGAGCTTCAACTTGCCAACGGCCTATTCCCTGCCTACCACCACTGAGGCCCCTGGGGCAGGAGCAAGACCTGTCCATGAGCAGTGGGCTTTGGCTGAGGGCAGAACTTCAGTGTGTGGAAGGAAAAACAAAAATGTTACAGGAAAAATGCCAGATCAACTTATTAATGGACAGGCAAACATACACTGAAGGCCAGAAGTGAACTGTCAATTATATAAAAATGTTTTGGAAAGGTTAAAAATAACTGTGAAAGCCAAGAGAGTCTTTTGTTGATTTCAGGTGTTTCAACAGTGCCTACGGATTTTACAGATGTCACGTTCCCTGTCATCCGCATGCTCTTTAGATCAGTGGTTCTTTAACTGCGATGCCCTTAACAGCCTCGTGGGGATCCTTTAAAACTCCCTATGTCCAGTCTAGCCTCAAACAATTAAATCAGACTCTAGGATTGGACCAGGCAGCCAGACTATTTTCATCCTGATTGTGCACAGCTGGGAGCCTCTGCTTTCTGTGGGATGTGTAAGCTCACATTGTGTAATGTCATATGAGGAGTACACTTAATAACAAAGGTTTTTTGTTTGTTTGTTTGTTTGTTTTGAGATGGAGTCTTGCTCTGTCTCCCAGGCTGGAGTGCAGTGGTGTGATCTCAGCTCACTACAACCTCCGCCTCCCGGGTTCAAGCAATTCTCTGCCTCAGCCTCCTGAGTAGCTGAGATTACAGGCGCCTGCCACCACACCCAGTTAATTTTTTGTATTTTTAGTGAGACGGGGTTTCACCATCTTGGCCAGGCTGGTCTTGAACTCCTGACCTCGTGATCCACCGGCCTCAGCCTCCCAAAGTGCTGGGATTACAGGCGTGAGCCACTGCACCCGGCCAATAACAAAGGTTTTCAAGAGTTGATTTTTTTTTTTTAGACGGAGTCTTGCTCTGTTGCCCAGGCTGGAGTGCAGTGGTGCAATCTCGGCTCACTGCAACCTCCACCTCCTGGGTTTAAGCGATTCTCCTGCCTCAGCCTCCTGAGTAGCTTGGGACTACAGGTGCCCACAACCATGCTAGGCTACTTTTTGTATTTTTAGTAGAGACAGGGTTTCACCATGTTGACCAGGCTGGTCACGAACTCCTGACCTCAGGTGATCTACCTGCCTCAGCCTCCCAGAGTGCTGGGATCACAGGCGTGAGCCACTGTGCTCGACCAGTTTTCAAGAGTTTTAAAGCACTTTCACATCTATTTTATCTTGTGAACTTTACAACAGGTTCATTTTACACTTTAGGAATCAGACCTGGATGAAAATTCTATGCCAGGCATCACCTAACACGAGGAACACGAGGAGTGGCCCCCTCACATCCTCTCATTGCCTGCAGGGGTAGCAGGCTATGGAACATTACCTCAGGTTGCCACCAGCCTCTGTCACTTCGTGGGATAACCCAAGTTGCAGGCTGGCCACAAAAGACTTGAGGTGAGCCAGCTCCAAGGCCTTCCAAATCTCCTCATCTGAGTAGTTGTTGAAAGGGTCGAGATTCATCCTCAGGCTTCCAGAGAACAGGATGGGGTCCTGCAAGTGAAAGGACAAGGGGGCTGTTGGGGCTCATGCCAGAAAAGGACCTCGGAGTTCCTCAGGACTGGGAGATGGTGGATAGGACTGGCCTGAGATGGATTCCTGAGGCAGGAAGCTGGTTTGTGGTTGAGCTTCCGCAAGGTTTTCCCTCCTAAGGCTCGGAGTGGCTACCAGCCAGGGGCTAGGCACAGGGTTAGAAGTCCTCGGTTTATTTTTTGTTTTTGAGGCTTTCACTCTGTTGCCCAGACTGGAGTGCAGTGGCACAAACACCGCTCACTGCAGCCTTGACATCCTTAGCTCAAGTGATGCTTCCACCTCAGCCTCCCGAGTAGCTGGGACCAGAGGCACGCACCACGATGCCTGGCTGATTTTTTAAATTTTTTGTAGAGATGGGTTCTTGCCATGTTGCCTAGGCTGATCTTGAACTCCTGGGCTCCAGTGATTCACCTGCCTCGGCCTCCCAAACCCATAATCGTGATTTCAAGGTAGAGGGATCAGAGGAGGGTAGAGGAAAGAATAGTACAGCTGCATGAGAAGAAGGTGTCACGCTTTTGAAGAGGCTGGAGAAAAGACTATCGAACTGAGCAAACACCAGACAGACCAAAACTACCCCCAGAGGAACTGGGCTGCAGTGGGCGGAGGAGGAAAGGTTCTCCTGAGGAGCCGCTGCGGGGAACGGAGAGGCCTCGCGGCAGTCCTTATCTGGCAGGATCCAGAGAGGAAGCCGAAGGGAAATCTTTCTTGCTGATGCACGAAGCGTTCCGCTTGCTGGCAGAAACCTGCAGCAAATTCCCTCCTCTATCTTTTAACCATAGCAAATGGGGAGTATAAAGCTTAATGGCTTCAAGCTTCAGCGGCAAAACTGCTAATGCTGATTGCAAAAGTCTTGCAAACCGTGATGGGCTATAGCAACGCTAAAGAATCGTCTGCTGTACTTGACTTCTGTTGTGTTGCTGCCACCTAGTGGTCAGATACAGGCAGCCACAAATGCATATTACCAAACATTTCAAAGTTCTGGAAATGACGTGTCCATCCTAGGGAACTAGCTCAAGTATCCCGAGTAGACCGTGGAATTGACAGTGCTGACTGAACAGACATCAAGAAGAAGCTGCATATGTTTCCTGTAAAACAAGCTGCTCCCCACGGCATGTGCCCGAGTAAGTTCTAGAGCTCACCTGGGGGATGATGGTCAGCTTCTCTCGGAGGTCGTGGAGCCCAATGGAAGCAATATCTACTCCATCAATGATAATCTGACCACCGGCAGCCTCTAAGATTCTGAAGAGGCAGTTTGTGAGGGATGACTTTCCAGCTCCTGTCCTGCCCACCACACCAATCTGCGAATATAGTTCCCTTACACATTAGTTCCACAAATAATTCTTGGGGAAAAGTTATTTAGCCTGGGCATTCACAGTCACAGGAGGTAAGAGGCAGTGACTGGCTACTCCATCTCTAAGATATTAAACTGATTTTGGTTTTGGTGAGGAAAAAAGTACCCAGATGTCAGAAAAAGATGCCAAAAATCATTGTTTGCTGAGAACTATAGTCACTGTTTGAAATGGACTCTCTTGGCAGCTGTTGTTATAATTATTATTGGAAATTATAGATAAAAACAAAATCCTTGTTTAGGCCAGGCGTGGTGGCTCATGCCTATAATCCCAGCACTTCGGGAGGCCAAGGCAGGCAGATCACCTGAGTTCAGGAGTTCAAGACCAGCCTGGTCAATATGGCAAAACCCCGTCTCTACTAAAAATACAAAAAAAATTAGCCAGACATGGTGGCGTGCACCTGTAGTCCCAGCTACTTGGGAGTCTGAGTCAGAAAAATCACTTGAACCCAGGAAGCAGAGGTTGCAGTGAGCCAAGATTGTGCCACTGCACTCCAGCCTGGGTGATAGAGTGAGACTCCATCTGAAAATAAATAAATAAATAAATAAAAATAAAGAAAAAAGAAAAATGCTTGTTTAGAAGTGAAGAAGGGAAAGATTAGGTCTGCCACCAGCTGAGAGCCAGACTCTGATCTGGACCTCAGCGTCCTTGCTCATCAGACCCCAAGTCCTCGGAGAACAACAGCACCTAAGGAGGGTGCCTGACTTTGAAGACTGGGAGGAGAACTGGGCCATTCTTCCTTCAGGGACAACCTCCACACTGCTATTCTCAACAGTTCCTTCACCAGGCCTGGCCGCCCCCTTGTTTCCTTCCTGACTTCCTCTCTGCATACTGTGGACCTTATAGGAAAGGGGCCCTGGTCAGCTGGCTAGGAGGCAGGGAGGAGCTGAGCAGAAGGCCCCGACAGCTGCGGTAAGTCTGTGTGATCCCTGGCTGCTATCCTTCCCTCTGATACTGTGTCCCCACACCTCCCCAGGGCAGAGGAAGTGCCCTGACCCTTTCCCTCCATCCAAATGATGAAGGCTTAGGGCCCAGCTGCTCTCCACTCTGTCCAATTGTTGTTTGATCACAAGGCCTCCCATCCAGGCCTTCCTTCACTCCACCTACCTTCTCCATGCTACCGATGTCACAAGTGATCCCTCTGAGGACCAGATCCAGCTCAGGTCGGTACCGCACTTGGTAGTTGTTAAACTGGATCTTGCCTTTGCTGGGCCAATCTGGCGGAGGCCTCTTATCAGTCACCCAGGGTGCCTGGCAAGGAGACAAGATGAGAAGTAAGTTTTATAAGGTGGCAACTCAGCCGAACAGTCCACCCAGGACTCGTGTCATAGAACAGGAGAAGGGTAGCAGTGTCCCAGCTACCTAATGGCCTCTGCATTTAATAGGCTGAACTAGACTTGCACTTTTGGAAAGTTCCTACCTTATTCAGTTAAAGAAAAATACACCATGAGCTTGTGCTGTAGATCTCCTCGGTATGTTGCAAGACCCGACATCCCCTAAACCATTTCCTATTCTAAGTTTGAAGAAATTAGGTCCTTTGAGTTAGAGGAAAGGAAACTTTAGGGACCCATTATGGGCCCATGTAAAATATGGAGAAATTCTAAAGATGCACTCTCGAAGGAGTTGCATGTTGTTTTTGCCTTGTTCCTGGATTTTTCCAGTTCCTCCTTACCTCATTTTCCACTTTTGTGTACTCAGTTATTCGCTCAACAGCCACAATGTTGGTCTCTATTTCTGATGTCATCCTCACCAGCCAGTTCAGGGTTTGTGTGATCTACAGAAAAACCAGAAGACTGAAAATCATCATAGGCACAGAAACCAACTCAACCACTCAAACCACAAGGACAATCCAGTGCCGACTTTGTACCCAGCACTGTGCTGGACTCTACAAGGGAGTAAGGAAAAGTGTAAGAAAGACAATCCTTGCCTCCTTGGGGAAGGAATTAAGAGCAGTGCATTGAATGGCTGCAGACTAATTAGGTGCTCACGCGAAGGGCAATGTGAGTGTCTAGTGGTTTGGGACTAAAGCTGGAATTTGAGAGTCTGGCAATGGGTGGAGTGGGAGCAGAGCTCAGGCCTCCTGCCTGGATGCCTAGTGTTCTTTGTGAATCAGGGAAAGGCATGATCCAGGCCAGGGAATCTGTAGATTACTCAGATGCAAACTTCTTTCAGAAAAAGACTCAGGAGTTTGCATATATGCACAGAGAGTTCTTGTTGAGCAAATGGTGGTTAAAGAAAGGGAGCCACAGAAAGCAGAGGACGGAATCATGGGGACTCAGAGTATCCACTTTGTGTAGATTGAAGCATATGTAATTGCCGGTGTTTGAGTCATTTTGTTTTGGTTCAATCTAATAGTTTCCTGACTATTTGCCTTGTCTGTCCTGGGCTAAAAAGCCTAGAAATGGGGGTATGAAAGGGCAGTGACACAAGGAACTAAGTGACTCTAGTGAATAACAAAGTCCTTTTAGGTGCCCTGGCAGGAACACATTGGGCCTTATTAACTTCTTTTTTTTTTTTTTTGAGATGGAATCTTGCTCTGTTGCCCAGGCTGGAGTGCAATGGCACGATCTTGGCTCACTACAACCTCTGCCTCCTGGGTTCAAGTGATTCTCCTGCCTCAGCCTCCCCAGTAGCTGGGATTACAGACACTCATCACCATGCCTGGCTAATTTTTTTTGTATTTTTAGTAGAGATGGGGTTTCACCATGTTGGCCAGGCTGGTCTCAAACTCCTGACCTCAGGTGATCCACCCACTTTGGCCTCCCAAAGTGCTGGGATTACAGGTGTCAGCCACTGTGCTCCACAGGCCTTATTAACTTCTAATGAAGACAGCACTATTATATAATGCCCACATGTAACTATGCAAATCTCTTTGAACTAAAAAAATTAGTTCAAAAAGATGGTCAAATGACTCATTTATAACAAATATTGATTGAATAATTACGGTAGTGCCAGCCACTGTCTTAGGTGCTAGAAAAGAATCATGCCTGCCATGTATCCTCTAGTCATGCTGGGGATGCTGCAGTGAGACACATTCTATAGTTTTATCAGACTCTATGTTCTTTATTAGAATTACCTCCAATTATTCTACGATCTAAGAAAAATAAACACAGGAGGAATTATTTGTTCAAAAAGCCTTTCTGATTACTGCTACGTTCTAGAGAAGAAAGTTATTTATTCTCTCACTAGAACCAAGCAAAGAGGCAGACAGGGAACAATTAGATTGAAACATATGAAATTGCCTTCTTAAGCCCTAAGGTCAATATTTATGTCCAGTTTTCTAGATGGCATTCATGTCTACTTAGGAAGAGTAAGGAATACGTCCATGGGTAAAAGATGGAGCCAGGGTTTGAACCTCAGTCTTCTTTAGTCCCTCTGGGTTTAAGAAGGAATCAAGAGCACAGACTCCACAGTATACATCAGGCTTAATTTAAGAATAAGCACACTAACGAAACCAAACTCCCAACCTTCAAACTCACATTGAGTGCATTGGACAGAACAAAGCCAACAGTGTCCCCACTTAGGGTATCTCTATAAATAACCATCATCAAGGCTGAAAAGAAGACAGTCAGGTTCCCAACCAGCTCCAGGCGAATTGCAAGCCACCTGTGGGGCAACAGAACCAGAGAGTGCGTGTCACTGATCACGTCCTCATCTTAACCAGCAACCTTGGCGTTCACAGAACATTCTCAGAGGGTTTGACTTGATCGGGCCGCACTCTTAGGCAATGCCTCAATTTGACTTAGAAACACCATGTATTCCTAAAAGCCTATTGATATATTTTTTAAGAAAATAAATTGCATTTTAAAGATCCTAGAGGTCTTTGCTGAACTAAGGGAATCCTACAGTGCAATGTCTACCAAACTCGCCAAATCATAAGAATCACCTAGGGCAACTGTTAATATACAATGTTACAAATTCATGTGGAAAATTCCTGGACCCTTTCCTTTAAGATTCTGATTTCAGGGGGCCTAGGATGGGATTCAAGAATCTGCATTTTTTTTTGTTTTTGTTTTATGAGACAAGGTCTTGCTCTGTCACCAAGGCTAGAGTGCAGTGGCGTGATCATGGCTCACTGCAGCCTCGACCTCCCGGGCTCAAGCCATCCTCCTACCTCAACCTCCCAAGTAGCTGGAACTATAGGTGCACACCACTACACCCAGCTAATTTTTTTGTATTTTTTGTAGAGCCAGGATTTCATCATGTTGCCCAAGCTGGTCTTGAACTCCTGGGCTCACGTGTTCTGCTTGCCTCAGTCTCCCAAAGTGCTGGAATTACAGGCATGAGCCATTGCTCCTGGCCAAAAATCTGCATTTTAAATGAACGCTCCAAATGACTTCTTTTGATCAGGCTGGGGAAGCAATGCCATAGTGAATCCATGTGTAAGATTAAAAAGTAAGCACCATAGGAAGGGTCAACGTGCCCTGTTTGATTTCAGTATTTGTAAAAGGGGAAGAAGAAGCTGAGGGTGAAAGGAAGTTAGGTGCAAGTTGGCCACAGGGAGATATACTGGGGTTTCATAGAGAACTGAAGAATACATGTGTATAGACACAGTTTATAAGAATGGACTTTTACTGTGACAGGCCTAGGGGGTCTGGAGGGCTCTGGTTCACACCTCAGGATGCCTGGAGCCCCTAGGTTTTCTGATTTCCTATCTCCATCCTCACTGGCAGGAAAGCTTCTGGAACTAGGAGAGGGTTGCTTAAGAGGATGAGGGGTCAGGACCAGAGATGGAGGAGGAAAAGAAAGCTCACAGGTGGCTGGGCGCAGTGGCTCACACCTATAATCCCAGCGCTTTGGGAGGCTGAGGCGGGCGGATCATGAGGTCAAGAGATTGAGATGATCCTGGCCAACATGGTGAAACCCCTTCTCTACTAAAAACAAACAAACAAAAATAGCTGGGCGTGGTGGTGCACACCTGTAGTCCCAGCTACTCAGGAGGCTGAGGCTGAGGCAGGAAAATCGCTTCAACCTGGGAGGCAGAGGTTGCAGTGAGCCGAGATTGCACCACTGCACTCCACCCAGACAACAGAGCAAGACTCCGTCTCAAAAAATAAAATAAAATAAAAGGAAAAGAAAAAAGAAATTTCAGGCAGAGGAGGTCGCGGCGCCGGAGGCCCCAGAAGGGTCGAAGGCGCCGCGGGCTGGGGTCGGTGGCTTAGGGAGCCCGTCCGGCCATGGTGGCCGCGGCTGGTGGTTGGCGCGGCTGCGCTGCGGCCCGGGGCAGTGCGGAGCCAGGACAGTCGCGGCGCTGACGCCCGCGGGCCCCAGCTGCAGATATGAAGCGGAGCCGCTGCCGCGACCGACCGCAGCCGCCGCCGCCCGACCGCCGGGAGGATGGAGTTCAGCGGGCAGCGGAGCTGTCTCAGTCTTTGCCGCCGCGCCGGCGAGCGCCGCCCGGGAGGCAGCGGCTGGAGGAGCGGACGGGCCCCGCGGGGCCCGAGGGCAAGGAGCAGCCGCCTGCCTTGGCCTCCCAAAGTGCCGAGATTGCAGCCTCTGCCCGGCTGCCACCCCGTCTGGGAAGTGAGGAGTGTCTCTGCCTGGCCGCCCATCGTCTGGGATGTGAGGAGCCCCTCTGCCTGGCTGCCCAGTCTGGAAAGTGAGGAGCGTCTCCGCCCGGCCGCCATCCCATCTAGGAAGTGAGGAGCGCCTCTTCCCAGCCGCCATCACATCTAGGAAGTGAGGAGCGTCTCTGCCCGGCCGCCCATCGTCTGAGATGTGGGGAGCGCCTCTGCCCCTCCGCCCCATCTGGGATGTGAGGAGCGCCTCTGCCCGGCCGAGACCCCGTCTGGGAGGTGAGGAGCGTCTCTGCCCGGCCGCCCCGTCTGAGAAGTGAGGAGACCCTCTGCCTGGCAACCACCCCGTCTGAGAAGTGAGGAGCCCCTCCGCCCGGCAGCTGCCCCGTCTGAGAAGTAAGGAGCCTCTCCGCCCGGCAGCCACCCCATCTGGGAAGTGAGGAGCGTCTCCGCCCGGCAGCCACCCCGTCCGGGAGGGAGGTGGGGGGGGGTCAGCCCCCCGCCCGGCCAGCCGCCCCATCCGGGAGGGAGGTGGGGGGTCAGCCCCCCGCCCGGCCAGCCGCCCCATCCGGGAGGGAGGTGGGGGGTCAGCCCCCCCGCCCGGCCAGCCACCCCGTCCGGGAGGGAGGTGGGGGGGTCAGCCCCCCGCCCGGCCAGCCGCCCCGTCCGGGAGGGAGGTGGGGGGGGGTCAGCCCCCCCGCCCAGCCAGCCGCCCTGTCCGGGAGGTGAGGGGCGCCTCTGCCCGGCCGCCCCTACTGGGAAGTGAGGAGCCCCTCTGCCCGGCCAGCCGCCCCGTCCGGGAGGGAGGTGGGGGGGTCGGCCCCCCGCCCGGCCAGCCGGCCCGTCCGGGAGGGAGGTGGGGGGGTTGGCCCCCCGCCCGGCCAGCCGCCCCGTCCGGGAGGGAGGTGGGGGGGTCGGCCCCCCGCCCGGCCAGCCGCCCCGTCCGGGAGGGAGGTGGGGGGGGGGTCTGCCCCCCTGCCCGGCCAGCCGCCCCGTCCGGGAGGTGAGGGGCGCCTCTGCCCGGCCGCCCCTACTGGGAAGTGAGGAGCCCCTCTGCCCGGCCAGCCGCCCCGTCCGGGAGGGAGGTGAGGGGGTCGGCCCCCCGCCCGGCCAGCCGCCCCGTCCGGGAGGTGAGGGGCGCCTCTGCCCGGCCGCCCCTACTGGGAAGTGAGGAGCCCCTCTGCCCGGCCAGCCGCCCCGTCCGGGAGGGAGGTGGGGGGGTCAGCCCCCCGCCCGGCCAGCCGCCCCGTCCGGGAGGGAGGTGGGGGGGGTCAGCCCCCCCGCCCAGCCAGCCGCCCTGTCCGGGAGGGAGGTGGGGGGTCAGCCCCCCCGCCCGGCCAGCCGTGCCATCCGGGAGGGAGGTGGGGGGGTCAGCCCCCCGCCCGGCCAGCCGCCCCGTCCGGGAGGTGAGGGGCGCCTCTGCCCGGCCGCCCCTACTGGGAAGTGAGGAGCCCCTCAGCCCGGCCAGCCACCCCGTCCGGGAGGGAGATGGGGGGCTCAGCCCTCCGCCCGGCCAGCCGCCCCGTCTGGGAGGTGAGGGGCGCCTCTGCCCGGCCGCCCCTACTGGGAAGTGAGGAGCCCCTCTGCCCGGCCAGCCGCCCCGTCCGGGAGGGAGGTGGGGGGGTCGGCCCCCCGCCCGGCCAGCCGCCCCGTCCGGGAGGGAGGTGGGGGGGTCGGCCCCCCGCCCGGCCAGCCGCCCCGTCCGGGAGGGAGGTGGGGGGGGTCGGCCCCCCTGCCCGGCCAGCCGCCCCGTCCGGGAGGTGAGGGGCGCCTCTGCCTGGCCGCCCCTACTGGGAAGTGAGGAGCCCCTCTGCCCGGCCAGCCGCCCCGTCCGGGAGGGAGGTGGGGGGGTCAGCCCCCCGCCCGGCCAGCCGCCCCGTCCGGGAGGGAGGTTGGGGGGTCAGCCCCCCGCCCGGCCAGCCGCCCCGTCCGGGAGGGAGGTGGGGGGGGTCAGCCCCCCTGCCCGGCCAGCCGCCCCGTCCGGGAGGTGAGGGGCGCCTCTGCCCGGCCGCCCCTACTGGGAAGTGAGGAGCCCCTCTGCCCGGCCACCACCCCGTCTGGGAGGTGTGCCCAACAGCTCATTGAGAACGGGCCAGGATGACAATGGCGGCATTGTGGAATAGAAAGGCGGGAAAGGTGGGGAAAAGATTGAGAAATCGGATGGTTGCCGTGTCTGTGTAGAAAGAAGTAGACATGGGAGACTTTTCATTTTGTTCTGCACTAAGAAAAATTCCTCTGCCTTGGGATCCTGTTGATCTGTGACCTTACCCCCAACCCTGTGCTCTCTGAAACATGTGCTGTGTCCACTCAGGGTTAAATGGATTAAGGGCAGTGCAAGATGTGCTTTGTTAAACAGATGCTTGAAGGCAGCATGCTCGTTAAGAGTCATCACCAATCCCTAATCTCAAGTAATCAGGGACACAAACACTGCGGAAGGCCGCGGGGTCCTCTGCCTAGGAAAACCAGAGACCTTTGTTCACTTGTTTATCTGCTGACCTTCCCTCCACTATTGTCCCATGACCCTGCCAAATCCCCCTCTGTGAGAAACACCCAAGAATTATCAATAAAAAAATAAATTTAAAAAAAAAAAAAAAAAGAAAAAAAAGAATGGACTTTCCCAGGCCAGCTGTGGTGGCTCACGACTGTAATCCCAGCACTGTGGCAGGCCAAGGTGGGCAGATCACCTGAGATCAGGAGTTCAAGACCAGCCTGACCAACACGGAGAAACCCCGTCTCTACTAAAAATAAAAAAAATTAGCTGGGCGTGGTGGTGCATGCCTGTAATCCCAGCTACTTGGGAGGCTGAGGCAGGAGAATTGCTTGAACCCAGGAGGCAGAGGTTGTTGTGAGCTGAGATTGCACCATTGCACTCCAGCCTGGGCAACAAGAGGGAAACTCCATCAAAAAAAAAAAAAAAAAGGACTTTCTCAAAGAAAATGTATTTAAATGTCTGCACCAATAATTCCAGCATGTGTATGAATAAATATGATATGTCCTTTACAGTGAAGGTCTAATAAGATTTACTTATATGCCTTTTCCTTCTTAGAAAGTCTCTAAGAAATAAAATATCTTTACAATCAAACTCCTGACCTGTCCACATTCCAAATAATGCTGAGCATCTTTAGCGCCTCAAGACACTTTGGAAGCCACTCAAGAATTTTTCTTCCTGAAAAAGATCTTCCTCTTTCCAGGACATACTGCTTGCCAGGGCTTAAGGATACTGGAGAATAATGCTCACCCTGTTCACAAGACGGAAGCTTCCCTTTCTGTCATCAATGGTCTTACCTAAAAATTCCCAACTCTCCTCTCTCCAACCTCCACTGCCTTCACTACCCAGAAAGAGTGTCATGACTATGGAGAATCTCACATCCGTTCTCAGAAAAGTAAACAGAGGATGTTCAGTTCACCCAGCACTTATTTGGTACTGGGTTACAAAATGCTCACAAATGTCATTTGACTTCCACCATGAGACAGGTGGAACCCTGTGAGATAGGGTGTGTTCTGGCCATTACAAAAACAAAGAAATGGAGATTCTCCTTAGAGAAGTCAAGGCAATTCACCCAGCTTGGTAAACGGCAGAGCTGTCATGGGGACCCAGTCTCTGACTCCAAAGCTCATGCTTTCTTCTCTCCACTTACATAGCATGACAGTGTGTGTGGCCAGAGTGAATTTCACACCACTAGCCATGCCTGCCCTCCCACCGCTAATATCAAACATATAGAACCCCAAAGTACACACATGGGTAAATACCCAGGGGAAGCCTCACCTGTTGGAGGTGATCCAGGAAAAGACACATTTCTGGTTGGTGTCAATCCTCACCTCATTGTGTTTCAGAAATCGCTGCTGGTGCTCAAAGGCACGGATAACTGGCAAACCTGATACGGTCTCGCTGAAGTGAGAGTAGATTGGGGACCTGGTGACAGAGTCCAGACGCCTCAGCTGGCGGGAGGTAGACACATAAAACATCTGGACACAAAAAGTAAAGAATCAGCCAGTCCCGCAGTCATGAGGCATCCACCATCTTCCTCCTTTCTGGCCACAACCCAGCATTCTTCCCCTTGATGGGCACAGCTTACGTCTGAACAAGACAAAAGCCTGCAGTGCCATGTCTGGGAGCAGAATGATGAGAGGCTCCGAGGAGGAGACCAATGAGAAGACTGGGGTTGGTGGGGAACAGAGTGGGGTGAACGTGAGGAGAGCACACTGCAGCCTCAGAGCTTTGAGTCTCCAAACCTCCTAAGGAGTTCCGTCAGCCTAACCCATATCCCCCAGATCTACGGCTATCATCCATGTGACAGTTTCTGTACTCATTAGAGAAAAGGTCCCCAAAAGGATTTTGTAAAGGCAGTGGGGCCCGTGGGGTGTGTAAAGTGGGGATGGGCAGGAAATGGCCAGAAAAAGGCATGCCTAGGTTTGGGTAAAAAGGGAAGAATCTGTTCAATTAAGTGACCAAAACTGTGCCTCGGTGGTGTGTGAAGGTACAGAGAATTCTGGAGGTATGCAGAGTGCTGAGGGGGTAAGAACTGGAACAGGGTAGAATCCAATGCAGGGAAGAACCCTGTGGCCTGAGGGCAAGGGGGAGTGGAATGGGTCCGTGCTGCTACTAGATTCTGTGAGGATTTGTTGAAACCTGGGAAGAGTGGGGCGTTGGAGAGACGGGATGCAAAATGTTATACATGGACATACAGATGTTCCCTCCAATAACCCTGCTTCTTGTTTGTTGGCTTGTTATTAATAGTTAAAAGGCCGCTATGGTGACAATGTGCCTGAGGAACTGTACACGGACATGGGGGCGAGCCGCCAATCGCAGGCCACAAGGCCACGAGCCCCTGATCAGTGTCTTCAGAATTGTTTCCCCAGGCAAACAATTCACCACAAAAGCAGCTGGTGGGACCAGAGTTCCTCCACAGCCTCCCCTTCCCTCATCCATTTTATTGTGGGAATAGGGTTCCTTCCACTCGTTCCAGTTTCCCTGTTTTGCTTTCAAGCTGCACATTCCCTCGAAGAATACACTGGAATTGAGCCTAAACCACCCACAGACACCCCAGTGAAACTAGAACTTTGCCGAAGTAAAAAGAAAGACCCAGCTGCTGCTGAGAGACATCTCCAAGCAGCTATGCCTGTCCAAAGTCAACCAAGGAAGCACCATAGCATGGCTCTTCTGGAACCGACCTAATCGTCATGGGGGTTCTTATGGAGCTGCAAGACTGTGTCCAGAGCCAATCTCAAAGTAGTCTTGGATCCAAACGTAAATCTGTCCGACCTAAGCTTCCAGGGAGTGAAGGGTGGGCAGCAGTTAGGGTGACATTTGCCATAAATGGTGCACCCATTGATGCTCTCACTTCAGCTTCAGACAGTGGCCTGTGGGCTCCTGGGTATGTCAACATATGACTAAATGGCAAAGCTGCTGAGGGGAGGAGTGAGTGACTAGCAATGAATCAGAGAGAAGATTCTCAGGAAAGAGGCTGGGCTTTTATAGATAGAGAGGAAGGAAGGATGACTTAGCCATTTCCAAACCTACCTGAACAGATACATAAATAATGCCAAGAGGAATGACGATGATGGTGAAGACAGGAGTGGCCATGCAGATCATGACAAGGGTGCTGATTATCCCCAGGAAGCATGTAATCCAGCTGCGCAAGGACTGAGGCAGGGTGTCATCCACTGTGGAAATATCCTAGGAAAACGATTAGGAGAGATACACCATCACTGAGGTCTTCCTAAGATAGTTTACATCTTCCTAGTTCTAGCAAGGAATCTGTTGGATTCTGTGTGTTCCCAGTACTCCTTCATGTAATCATTTCATTGTGTTCATTTGCAATAGGCTGCATTGCTTGCCCCAATAACCAATTTCATTTCCATAATTTCTTCATTTAGGCCTGGCGTGGTGGTCACACCTGTAATCCCAGCACTTTGCAAGGCCGAGGCGGGTGGATCACCTGAGATCGGGAGTTCAAGACCAGCCTGACCAACATGGTGAAATCCCATCTCTACTAAAAATACTCAGGAAGTTGCTTCCTCTGCTAAGCATAGAGGACCAAGGGGAAGGGAGCTGGGGTTGAATGTGAGCCTGCCTGGACAGTGTTCTAACCAAGGAACCCAGCGGGAACAGATGTGTCTTACTGCCATGTTGCCTTCGTGTCATGTGAAATAAATGAACAAATAAGAAAAATGAATGAATGGATGGATGGTTTGGAGAACACTCAAGAAGCTTGGTTTATATTTTGGGTTGCCCTTGCCTAAATTTGTGGGGATTATATTGATTCTATGATTGGTAATATGTGAGTACCAAAGTGAGTTTAAGTTATCTCTGGAATTTCTCAAACTGTATCAGGGATAATGGTCTTCCAGGAAAGCTCTGAATCATGGATGACTCCTGAGTCTAACCTACCTTTCCCAAAGTCCTATCAGAATGCAAATAACTATACCCACAGTTGGCAGAGAAAAGAAATCCCTACCAGTTATCAGTTCTATGCAGATTACTTTTGATCCTTACCTGGCACAGAGTCTCCATCTTTCCTTCCTCCACTCCATCTCCTCTTAACTCAGCCATTGATCCCAGAGGCCCCTTGATCAAACTCCCCTTAATAGGTCTGAGCCACCTCCCCAACGAAACATACTATATAATTAATGACAGTTTCCTTTCTCATGCAAAAGCAGTCTTCAAACTATGACTGTTGCCTAAGTAACTCACAGAAAACCTCTGTGTTCTCTTTCCCAGAAGATTATATATATTACAACATGGGGAAAACTGTGATCTTTACAAAATTACTATGAGAAATTTCTCACCCAAAATTGAGTGTTCTTTTAGGTTCTAGTAAAGAGCAGAAAGGCCATTGAAGTTGTCTCTAGTGACATCATGCCCACTGTTTCTGCCCCAGAGGAAGATGACACAGGGGGACCAGTTAATGGCCCACTTTTGAAGCAGTTACTGTGTCCCCAGAACCTGGCTGTGGACTGTGAGCTATACTTTCTATGTCTGCCCCAAGACCAACAAACAAGAGTCCAGAGCTGCTCCATAAGCACAGGGCTAAAAACTGTGCTGGTGATAGTTACTTATCATTCAGAATTGCCTGATCTCTGCCTCTGTTCCTGAATTCCCATCTCAGATACACTAAAAAATCAGTGAGTTGGGTCTGGCCCATGGAAGAGAGACATCTATGATCTTCACATTCATTGAGTGCCCCAGTGTCTAGTACAGTAGTTGGCTCATAGAAAGTGCTCAATAACGGTTGTTGAATGAATGAATGAGTGAATGCCAAGGGGTCCAGGATCTGTGGTAGATGGAAACAATATTTGAGAACTTTTTAAAATCACTGATGGCTCTATTCCATAGTCCAGACCAAATTTACTCATTCTTAAAGCATTCAAGATAGAAGTTTCAGGAATGGAGGCAGAGGCCAAGCAAAGGGTTATCCTACTATCTCTTGTATTTCCTGTCCCAGGCTGTGACAGTGCTTTTATTTATGTTCCTTCCTCTGCAGAATAATCCTTCTCACCCTGCTCTACTGCCATCCCCCAACCCTTGCCATCTCCCTGGCTTGCTTCTATGACTTAAGTTTCACCTTTTCTGACATTTCCCACCTTTATCACGCAGGCTGGGCTAGTGCCTTTTTTTCCTTTGTACTCCCAGACCACCTTTCTACACACTGCTGTTACTGGTTTTACTATATTCTATTATAATCCTTCACTTCTTTGGTTGTCTTCTTCACTAGATGCTGAGCTACTTGAAGGGTCAGAGATGTTCATCCCTCAATCTCCAGGATTCTTGGGAGCTCACAGCAGGTACTCAAGAAACACTTGCATGTTGAGTGACAAAAGAACTGGAACTGAACAGTGTTGTCTAGGGGGACATAATAATTCCTCCCTATCAGAAAGATCCTCAGTATATAAACACACCACCTGACAGTTCTTGAGATACTTACGCCGGCAAACCTGTTCACAATCCGGCCTGTGGGTGTTGTGTCAAAAAATCTCATAGGTGCTCGAAGGATATTGTTCAGCAGTTGCTTGTGCAAGATATTTGATGCATGGACGAAACCAAAGGCACTCCAGAAATGTGCTATGAACACAAATATACCTAGAGATGGAAGCAGTTTTGTCAGCACCATGCACAGGAATCCCTGAAGACTTGTGCCCAGGACATAATGGCAAATGCATTCCTGAGTCCAGGAAAAGTACAGGGTCCAGACAGATTCTGTAAGATGTCATAGCCATCAGACATACCTTGGGCTAATCCCAGAGCTCCGTAGACTCCAACTCTCATGTCCCTCTGAGATGCTGGATAGTCGGTGCTATTGAAGATTTTAGAGTCACTGGTCCAAGCACTGAGCCAGAGGTTGGATCCAATAAAAGCCACAGAATTCATCACAAACGCAAGGATGATGAAGAATATCGAAAACAATCCTATTGCTTGTAGGTACTCCAGGTAGATGGAGAACTTCACCTGCAAAGTCCCCACCTCAATATTAGTAGAACTCCCTAATGGCTTTTGATAAGGAATCACCTAGAATGCCAACCACAAGGAGAAGTGGAGTCCCCTGGGAGCATGGGTAGCAGGTAGCAAAATTTGGTAGTCTGTGGTCACCATTTCTGCACTGTGCCAGGAAGGATAATAGAACAATGCTGAAATACAATGCAGGGTAAATAATCATCAAAGCTAAAGGCATTTAAGAGGAGAAGATATAAAAACAGATTGGGACAAGCCAGACATGATAGCATGCCCCTGTAGTCCCAGCTACTCAGAAGGCTGGTGTGGGAGGATCTCTTGAGCCCTGAGGTTTTAGTCCAGCCTGGGCAACATAGTGAGACCCTGTATCTAAAATAAACACACAAACAAAAAATCAGAGTGGAACAGATGATGGGGTTCTACTGCCGACCTTGAAATTTGTGGTTAAATTTCATTAATTTGAATTATGTGCTCTAGGTCTGAGTTTTCCTGTTCCTCCACACATCAGAATGGAATCAAACACTCATGAAGTGTAGGATGAGGACATTCACAGGAAACATAGCATTCTTTATGGAAATATGACTTGGTAGAAAGCCCACAGCCTCTGCTAACAGGTTAATAATGAGTCTGAAGATTTGCAAAGGACAGAGGACATATTGCTCCTGTAAGTATGCGTTCAATTTTCACTGAACGTTAAAAATTTTGGGTTCTAAACCTTATAACACCTCAAATGCTACTTTTCTGTGTGGTGTTCACCTTTCCAGTTTCTATGAATTCCTTCTTAATTAGTTTTTGTCCTTTCACTAGTTCTTCGTCTTCCTTCAGGCTATTCACATTCCGAGTTTTCAAGGAGTTTCTCAGGGACTTCAGATGCCTGCCATTGGACCTAGAACTGAGAGAGGGAAGCTTCCCTGAGCATGCAGGCAATTCCCAAGGGTCTTCTTGCAAGCAGATGTCACAGTCACTCAGCTGGCATCAAAGCGCATTTCAGGGCAGATGACCAGGGGAAACTGACACAACCCCGATCTTTCCCCATCCCCACAACAAAGAAACAAAGGAAGAGCTTGGAGTGTCCATGGTGTTAACCCTCACAGGAAAAGCCCAGGAAGAAAAAGAAAAAGATCAAGTGGAAATATAGAGCTGACGAGGGCTGCCAGCTGAATAGATAGCCAACCTGCGGCTAAGTGTTCGACGAAAGCTGTTCTCTCTTCTCATGGTTATGGAGGCTGCATCTTCGGGGATCTCTTCCACACTGGATATCAGCCCATAGTCATCGTCTTCTTCTTCACTGCCATCATGGACTAGGGAGACACAGTAGAGGTTAGGGAAAGAGCTGCATAGATCCCTGTCAGTCCTATGAACAAGGAGAGAGAAGCCTCCTCTGATCTTGCTGGTTTCAGCAAGGGATCCCAGATGTACATACAGCATGGAATACTTTACTCCATAAATACTCCATACATAGTTATTAGTACATCTTGTTATTAAGAAATATCAGGATAAAGGAGAGATGAATTAATATTCCACTGGAAGAGAAAATGGTCAAAATGGAGAAGAAAATTCCTAGAAATGCCCAGGTTCCTTTGGAGGAGGAAAGAGCTTTTAAGGATTATGGTAGACAAATAGAAGAGTCACATTCTCAGAATTGACTAAAGAAGTGATTGTAAATTGAAAATGCTCATCTTGGCCAGGCGTGGTGGCTCACACCTGTAATCCCAGCCCTTTGGGAGGCCAAGGTGGGAGGATCACTTCAGCCCAGGAGTTTGAGACCACCTTGGGCAACATAGGCAAACTCTATGTCTACAAAAATTTAAAAATTAGCAGGGTGTGATGGTGCATGCCTGTGGTCCCAGCTACTTGGGAGGCTGAGGTGAGAGGATCACTTGAACACAGGAGGTTGAAGGTGAGCCATGATTGTGCCAATGTACTCCAGCCTGGGCAACAGAGTGAGACTCTCTCAAAACAGAAAAGAAAATGCTCATCTTGAAATTCAAATAATTTAACAAACTTATATTAATTTAAATCACTTAAAAGACATACCCGGAAAATAAAATAAAATAAAATATAAGACACAGTGTGGGCATCAGTGGGGATGGTAGAATAGGAACCTCCAGATATCTACTCCTCCATAAAAGCAATTAGAATAATGATTAAAAATGGTCAAAGTCAACTTTTTCAGAGCTCTGAAATTAACCAAAGGCTTGCAACAATCCCAGGAGCATTTGTGTTTTTGAAGAGCTGAAACTTAGTAAGAACAGTAAGTTTTGTGGCAG
This sequence comes from Homo sapiens, assembly GCF_000001405.40. Taxonomy (NCBI): domain Eukaryota; kingdom Metazoa; phylum Chordata; class Mammalia; order Primates; family Hominidae; genus Homo; species Homo sapiens. The sequence goes on along the minus strand of NC_000010.11, from coordinate 99,829,337 downwards.
TTTAACTTACCCTATTTCTGTCCCCCCTCTCCTTGGCTGCTATAACCTAGAAAACTAACAGCCATACAATCATAGCAGCCATGAAAACCAGCAGCCTAGCAGCCACTGGAGGGGGCAGAGTGGGTTCAGAATGCTCCCAAAAACCCCATCCCTGGAGAACTGACATTATCTCACCTATCTGGAATTCTCTGAAAACCCCCATTTATAGGGCCTATTTGACCTAACACTGAGCTAGCTCAAAAAACCAGCAGCAATTATTTAACATCACAGCAGCTGCCTGAGGTGGTGATAACACTTGGGGCAAATAAGAAGCTGACCAAAAACTTAAAAGGAAAAGCTGGGGAATAAGATGCTCACAGGGTCTCTGATCTCTCTGATATATTCCCAGCAATCTAGAATGCCACCTACACATGCAGAGCTGTGCACATGTCCAGGAAAGATGGAAGAGGGCTCTAATCTTTCACTTCCGGCTGACTATGTGGCTCTGTATAAGCAGGAAGTGAAGGCTAAGGCAGAGATGTAAATTGCTGGAGTGCTGAAGACATGCTCCCCACCACCCACAACACACACACAGAACCTCTCAGCAAAGGCTGAGACACTTATTGTTTCAAAGCAATTAAGGGAGTATCTGTCTAATCACTAGCTGACCACTAAGCCAACCAAACAGACTTCAGTGGTCACACATGACAATGACAAAGAATACAGACTTAACAGAATTAGTTCAGGAAATGAAACAAACATATAGGAAGAACAACCACAACAAACAGCAACAACAAAGATCACCAAACCACCGGAAACTAGGCGAGAGGCCTTGAACAGATTATTGCCTAACACCTTAAGAAAGAACTAATCCTGCTGACACCTTGATTTTGCCCTTCTAGCCTCCAGAAATGTGTGGCCATTCAGTTTGTGATGTGTTGTTAAGGCAGCTAATTAGGAAACTCATACACAGAACCAATCTCAGTGCAGCTCACCTTGCCCTCCTGCCCTTCTCTTCATTCCACCAAGTCCCAGATCCCAGGGCCAACACAGCAGCATCCTAGGCTCTGGAGCTTACAAAACTGCTCAGAAATGTTCTCTCAGTGTTCACCAGAAAAAGGGCTTACGGGGATGTTTTGCAAACTGTTCTTTGTACATTAAAGACAGGATTCTTCAAAGGAGAAGTGGTTTATAACAGAATCCAGAAACTCAGATCCAGGCTAATCAGAAAAAAATGTTTACCATTAGTATGGGAAAACTGCCCAATTTTCTTACGGTAACCATGGTGATGTGGTTGACTGAGCAATAACTCAGAGAACTCTAGCATTAGACACTGTTCTTTCCTTGGGAACTTCACCCTCCATTCCAGGCAGGTGTGGAGGGGCAACCCACCCCTTCATCTGGTGCCCAACGTGGAGGCTTTTCTCTAGGGTGAAGGTACGCTCGAGCGTGGTCATTGAGCACAAGTCGACGAGAGATCCCGAGTACATATACAGTCAGCCGTACGGTAAGCTTGTGAGCTCGGAAGAAGCTAGGGTAATAATGGGGCAAACTAAAAGTAAAATTAAAAGTAAATATGCCTCTTATCTCAGCTTTATTAAAATTCTTTTAAAAAGAGGGGGAGTTAAAGTATCTACAAAAAAATCTAATCAAGCTATTTCAAATAATAGAACAATTTTGCCCATGGTTTCCAGAACAAGGAACTTTAGATCTAAAAGACTGGAAAAGAATTGGTAAGGAACTAAAACAAGCAGGTAGGAAGGGTAATATCATTCCACTTATAGTATGGAATGATTGGGCCATTATTAAAGCAGCTTTAGAACCATTTCAAACAGAAGAAGATAGCGTTTCAGTTCCTGACGCCCCTAGAAGCTGTATAGTAGATTGTAATGAAAAGACAAGGAAAAAATCCCAGAAAGAAATGGAAAGTTTACATTGCGAATATGTAGCAGAGCCGGTAATGGCTCAGTCAACGCAAAATGTTGACTATAATCAATTACAGGAGGTGATATATCCTGAAACGTTAAAATTAGAAGGAAAAGGTCCAGAATTAGTGGGGCCATCAGAGTCTAAGCCACGAGGGCCAAGTCCTCTTCCAGCAGGTCAGGTGCCCGTAACACTACAACCTCAAACGCAGGTTAAAGAAAATAAGACCCAACCGCCAGTAGCTTATCAATACTGGCCGCCAGCCGAACTTCAGTATCGGCCACCCCCAGAAAGTCAGTATGGATATCCAGGAATGCCCCCAGCACCACAGGGCAGGGCGCCATACCCTCAGCCGCCCACTAGGAGACTTAATCCTACGGCACCACCTAGTAGACAGGGTAGTGAATTACATGAAATTATTGATAAATCAAGAAAGGAAGGAGATACTGAGGCGTGGCAATTCCCAGTAACGTTAGAACCGATGCCACCTGGAGAAGGAGCCCAAGAGGGAGAGCCTCTCACAGTTGAGGCCAGATACAAGTCTTTTTCGATAAAAATGCTAAAAGATATGAAAGAGGGAGTAAAACAGTATGGACCCAAATCCCCTTATATGAGGACATTATTAGATTCCATTGCTCATGGACATAGACTCATTCCTTATGATTGGGAGATTCTGGCAAAATCGTCTCTCTCACCCTCTCAATTTTTACAATTTAAGACTTGGTGGATTGATGGGGTACAAGAACAGGTCCGAAGAAATAGGGCTGCCAATCCTCCAGTTAACATAGATGCAGATCAACTATTAGGAATAAGTCAAAATTGGAGTACTATTAGTCAACAAGCATTAATGCAAAATGAGGCCATTGAGCAAGTTAGAGCTATCTGCCTTAGAGCCTGGGAAAAAATCCAAGACCCAGGAAGCGCCTGCCCCTCATTTAATACAGTAAGACAAGGTTCGAAAGAGCCCTACCCTGATTTTGTGGCAAGGCTCCAAGATGTTGCTCAAAAGTCAATTGCCAATGAAAAAGCCCGTAAGGTCATAGTGGAGTTGATGGCATATGAAAACGCCAATCCTGAGTGTCAATCAGCCATTAAGCCATTAAAAGGAAAGGTTCCCGCAGGATCAGATGTAATCTCAGAATATGTAAAAGCCTGTGATGGAATCAGAGGAGCTATGCATAAAGCTATGCTTATGGCTCAAGCAATAACAGGAGTTGTTTTAGGAGGACAAGTTAGAACATTTGGAGGAAAATGTTACAATTGTGGTCAAATTGGTCACTTAAAAAAGAATTGCCCAGTCTCAAATAAACAGAATATAACTATTCAAGCAACTACAACAGGTAGAGAGCCACCTGACTTATGTCCAAGATGTAAAAAAGGAAAACATTGGGCTAGTCAATGTCGTTCTAAATTTGATAAAAATGGGCAACCATTGTCGGGAAACGACCAAAGGGGCCAGCCTCAGGCCCCACAACAAACTGGGGCATTCCCAATTCAGCCATTTGTTCCTCAGGGTTTTCAGGGACAACAAACCCACTGTCCCAAGTGTTTCAGGGAATAAGCCAGTTACCACGATACAACAATTGTCCCCCGCCACGAGCGGCAGTGCAGCAGTAGATTTATGTACTATACAAGCAGTCTCTCTGCTTCCAGGGGAGCCCCCACAAAAAATCCCCACAGAGGTATATGGCCCACTGCCTGAGAGGACTGTAGGACTAATCTTGGGAAGATCAAGTCTAAATCTAAAAGGAGTTCAAATTCATACTGGTGTGGTTGATTCAGACTATAAAGGCGAAATTCAGTTGGTTATTAGCTCTTCAATTCCTTGGAGTGCCAGTCCAGGAGACAGGATTGCTGAATTATTACTCCTGCCATATATTAAGGGTGGAAATAGTGAAATAAAAAGAACAGGAGGGTTTGGAAGCACTGATCCGACAGGAAAGGCTGCATATTGGGCAAGTCAGGTCTCAGAGAACAGACCTGTGTGTAAGGCCATTATTCAAGGAAAACAGTTTGAAGGGTTGGTAGACACTGGAGCAGATGTCTCTATCATTGCTTTAAATCGGTGGCCAAAAAATTGGCCTAAACAAAAGGCTGTTACAGGATTTGTCGGCATAGGCACAGCCTCAGAAGTGTATCAAAGTACTGAGATTTTACATTGCTTAGGGCCAGATAATCAAGAAAGTACTGTTCAGCCAATGATTACTTCAATTCCTCTTAATCTGTGGGGTCGAGATTTATTACAACAATGGGGTGCGGAAATCATGCCCGCTCCATTATATAGCCCCACGAGTCAAAAAATCATGACCAAGATGGGATATATACCAGGAAAGGGACTAGGAAAAAATGAAGATGGCATTAAAGTTCCAGTTGAGGCTAAAATAAATCAAGAAAGAGAAGGAATAGGGTATCCTTGTTAGGGGCAGCCACTGTAGAGCCTCCTAAACCCATACCATTAACTTGGAAAACAGAAAAACCGGTGTGGGTAAATCAGTGGCCGCTACCAAAACAAAAACTGGAGGCTTTACATTTATTAGCAAATGAACAGTTAGAAAAGGGTCACATTGAGCCTTCGTTCTCGCCTTGGAATTCTCCTGTGTTTGTAATTCAGAAGAAATCAGGCAAATGGCGTATGTTAACTGACTTAAGGGCCGTAAACGCCGTAATTCAACCCATGGGGCCTCTCCAACCCGGGTTGCCCTCTCTGGCCATGATCCCAAAAGACTGGCCTTTAATTATAATTGATCTAAAGGATTGCTTTTTTACCATCCCTCTGGCGGAGCAGGATTGCGAAAAATTTGCCTTTACTATACCAGCCATAAATAATAAAGAACCAGCCACCAGGTTTCAGTGGAAAGTGTTACCTCAGGGAATGCTTAATAGTCCAACTATTTGTCAGACTTTTGTAGGTCGAGCTCTTCAACCAGTTAGAGACAAGTTTTCAGACTGTTATATTATTCATTATATTGATGATATTTTATGTGCTGCAGAAACAAAAGATAAATTAATTGACTGTTATACATTTCTGCAAGCAGAGGTTGCCAATGCAGGACTGGCAATAGCATCTGATAAGATCCAAACCTCTACTCCTTTTCATTATTTAGGGATGCAGATAGAAAATAGAAAAATTAAGCCACAAAAAATAAAAATAAGAAAAGACACATTAAAAACACTAAATTATTTTCAAAAATTGCTGGGAGATATTAATTGGATTCGGCCAACTCTAGGCATTCCTACTTATGCCATGTCAAATTTGTTCTCTATCTTAAGAGGAGACTCAGACGTAAATAGTAAAAGAATGTTAACCCCAGAGGCAACAAAAGAAATTAAATTAGTGGAAGAAAAAATTCAGTCAGCGCAAATAAATAGAATAGATCCCTTAGCCCCACTCCAACTTTTGATTTTTGCCACTGCACATTCTCCAACAGGCATCATTATTCAAAATACTGATCTTGTGGAGTGGTCATTCCTTCCTCACAGTACAGTTAAGACTTTTACATTGTACTTGGATCAAATAGCTACATTAATTGGTCAGACAAGATTACGAATAATAAAATTATGTGGAAATGACCCAGACAAAATAGTTGTCCCTTTAACCAAGGAACAAGTTAGACAAGCCTTTATCAATTCTGGTGCATGGCAGATTGGTCTTGCTAATTTTGTGGGAATTATTGATAATCATTACCCAAAAACAAAGATCTTCCAGTTCTTAAAATTGACTACTTGGATTCTACCTAAAATTACCAGACGTGAACCTTTAGAAAATGCTCTAACAGTATTTACTGATGGTTCCAGCAATGGAAAAGCAGCTTACACAGGGCCGAAGGAACGAGTAATCAAAACTCCACATCAATCGGCTCAAAGAGCAGAGTTGGTTGCAGTCATTACAGTGTTACAAGATTTTGACCAACCTATCAATATTATATCAGATTCTGCATATGTAGTACAGGCTACAAGGGATGTTGAGACAGCTCTAATTAAATATAGCATGGATGATCAGTTAAACCAGCTATTCAATTTATTACAATAAACTGTAAGAAAAAGAAATTTCCCATTTTATATTACTCATATTCGAGCACACAGTAATTTACCAGGGCCTTTGACTAAAGCAAATGAACAAGCTGACTTACTGGTATCATCTGCATTCATAAAAGCACAAGAACTTCATGCTTTGACTCATGTAAATGCAGCAGGATTAAAAAACAAATTTGATGTCACATGGAAACAGGCAAAAGATATCGTACAACATTGCACCCAGTGTCAAGTCTTACACCTGCCCACTCAAGAGGCAGGAGTTAATCCCAGAGGTCTGTGTCCTAATGCATTATGGCAAATGGATGTCACGCATGTACCTTCATTTGGAAAATTATCATATGTTCATGTAATAGTTGATACTTATTCACATTTCATATGGGCAACTTGCCAAACAGGAGAAAGTACTTCCCATGTTAAAAAAACATTTATTGTCTTGTTTTGCTGTAATGGGAGTTCCGGAAAAAATCAAAACTGACAATGGACCAGGATATTGTAGTAAAGCTTTCCAAAAATTCTTAAGTCAGTGGAAAATTTCACATACAACAGGAATGCCTTATAATTCCCAAGGACAGGCCATAGTTGAAAGAACTAATAGAACACTCAAAACTCAATTAGTTAAACAAAAAGAAGCAGGAGACAGTAAGGAGTGTACCACTCCTCAGATGCAACTTAATCTAGCACTCTATACTTTAAATTTTTTAAACATTTATAGAAATCAGACTACTACTTCTGCAGAACAACATCTTACTGGTAAAAAGAACAGCCCACATGAAGGAAAACTAATTTGGTGGAAAGATAATAAAAATAAGACATGGGAAATAGGGAAGGTGATAACGTGGGGGAGAGGTTTTGCTTGTGTTTCACCAGGAGAAAATCAGCTTCCTGTTTGGATACGCACTAGACATTTGAAGTTCTACAATGAACCCATCGGAGATGCAAAGAAAAGCACCTCCGCGGAGACGGAGACACCACAGTCGAGCACCGTTGACTCACAAGATGAACAAAATGGTGACGTCAGAAGAACAGATGAAGTTGCCATCCACCAAGAAGGCAGAGCCGCCAACTTGGGCACAACTAAAGAAGCTGACGCAGTTAGCTACAAAATATCTAGAGAACACAAAGGTGACACAAACCCCAGAGAGTATGCTGCTTGCAGCCTTGATGATTGTATCAACGGTGGTAAGTCTCCCTATGCCTGCAGGAGCAGCTGCAGCTAACTATACCTACTGGGCCTATGTGCCTTTCCCGCCCTTAATTCGGGCAGTCACATGGATGGATAATCCTATAGAAGTATATGTTAATGATAGCGTATGGGTACCTGGCCCCACAGATGATCGCTGCCCTGCCAAACCTGAGGAAGAAGGGATGATGATAAATATTTCCATTGGGTATCGTTATCCTCCTATTTGCCTAGGGAGAGCACCAGGATGTTTAATGCCTGCAGTCCAAAATTGGTTGGTAGAAGTACCTACTGTCAGTCCCATCAGTAGATTCACTTATCACATGTCTGCAGGTGTACCCAACAGCTCCGAAGAGACAGCGACCATCGAGAACGGGCCATGATGACGATGGCGGTTTTGTCGAAAAGAAAAGGGGGAAATGTGGGGAAAAGCAAGAGAGATCAGATTGTCACTGTGTCTGTGTAGAAAGAAGTAGACATGGGAGACTCCATTTTGTTATGTACTAAGAAAAATTCTTCTGCCTTAAGATTCTGTGACCTTACCCCCAACCCCGTGCTCTCTGAAACATGTGCTGTGTCAAACTCAGGGTTAAATGGATTAAGGGTGGTGCAAGATGTGCTTTGTTAAACAGATGCTTGAAGGCAGCATGCTCGTTAAGAGTCATCACCACTCCCTAATCTCAAGTACCCAGGGACACAAAAACTGCGGAAGGCCGCAGGGACCTCTGCCTAGGAAAGCCAGGTATTGTCCAAGGTTTCTCCCCATGTGATAGTCTGAAATATGGCCTCGTGGGAAGGGAAAGACCTGACCGTCCCCCAGCCCGACACCCGTAAAGGGTCTGTGCTGAGGAGGATTAGTATGAGAGGAAGGCATGCCTCTTGCAGTTGAGACAAGAGGAAGGCATCTATCTCCTGCCCGTTCCTGGGCAATGGAATGTCTCGGTATAAAACCCGATTGTATGTTCCATCTACTGAGATAGGGAAAAACCGCCTTAGGGCTGGAGGTGGGACAAGCAGGCAGCAATACTGCTTTGTAAAGCATTGAGATGTTTATGTGTATGCATATCTAAAAGCACAGCACTTAATCCTTTACCTTGTCTATGATGCAAAGAACTTTGTTCACGTGTTTGTCTGCTGACCCTCTCCCCACAATTGTCTTGTGACCCTCTCCCCACAATTGTCTTGTGACCCTGACACATCCCCCTCTTCGAGAAACACCCACGAATGATCAATAAATACTAAGGGAACTCAGAGGCTGGCGGGATCCTCCATATGCTAAACGCTGGTTCCCCGGGTCCCCTTATTTCTTTCTCTATACTTTGTCTCTGTGTCTTTTTCTTTTCCAAGTCTCTCATTCCACCTTACGAGAAACACCCACAGGTGTGGAGGGGCAACCCACCCCTTCACAGGTGCTTTTTGTTTTCTCCACGCTACTACCTGGAGCACATAAAGGCTGATGCAAAGCTTTCAATTGCTCCTTTCTGCTGGTCCCTGATACTCCTGCCCCACTCTCCTGGCCTGGCTCCCAATTCCTGTCACCTACACCATCCTGTTCTTTGTTCCCGCCTTCTCCTTCCAAAGCTACAGACTTCCTGATTTAGATTTTTCTTCTGTCTTTTTTGAGCAGAGATGGGGTTTCACTATATAGCCCAGGGTGGTCTCAAACTCCTGGGCTCCAGTGATCCTTCCGCCTTGGCCTCCAAAGGGCTGGGATTACAGGTGTGAACCACCACATCCAGCCCTGGCTTAGATTTTTCTTTCAAACTCTTGGGCTTCTCAGGGTGGTTTTCTTGTTGTTGTTGTGTTTTGTGTGTGTGTGTGTGTGTGAGATGGAGTTTCACTCTTGTTGCCCAGGCTGGAGTGCAATGGCACGATCTCAGCTCACCGCAACCTCTGCCTCCTGGGTTCAAGCAATTCTCCTGCCTCAGCCTCCCAAGCAGCTGGGATTACAGGCATGTGCCACCATGCCCAGCTAATTTTGTATTTTTAGTAGAGACGGGGTTTCTCCATGTTGGTCAGGCTGGCCTCGAACTCCTGACCTCAGGTGATCCACCCGCCTCAGCCTCCCAAAGTGCTGGGATTACAGGCGTGAGCCATCGTGCCTGGCCCTCCCAGGGTGGTTTTAAACCATTACTTGTCCTCACCTCATGGTCAGAACATGCTGTCACTTGTAGGCTGTGTAGCTACTCCCTCATCTGACTGATTTCTGGAATGCCTCTACAGCCTTCTGCCCTGGCTTTCTCGACCTGAACTCCTGCTGGTGACAACCACCTGAGGGTGATAACCAGACCAATGCACAGGACTGCTGTTGGCAGGTCCTTGGGAAGGGTCACAGTAAACAGAGCTCCACTGCTGACTGGGGCTAACTGGTGAACCCAATGGTGGTGATATTAGAGGCTGTTGCTATGGTATACTCTGAGACTACGCAACTGCCATAATTTTTTTCTGGTTCAAACACCCAGTGGTTTTGGTATATTAATCAAAATCCCTTTGTTAGGATCTACCAAGAATTTAGCAGTACACTAATAGTGCCAGCCCATGAAGCTGTCGAGGAAGTGGTTTTAATGGATTTGGGGTAGATGGGATGACATGTGTGACTAGAGTCAATAGGAACATGGCATCCCTAAAAGAGGGACCGTTGTGCCACTGGTGTTTCTTCCACAAGGGTTACTCACTCAGACTTTCAGTTGTACCCTTCTAAAGAGTGTCCTTTGATTGTGTGTCAGACATCAGATGAGCAGGATAAGTCACCAGTTTGGCCCAGGCATAGAGTTTCAATTTCTATGTTTCCTCAAAGAGACACAGAACCCAGAAAGCAGAGTTTGAATCTCTGGGTAGTTTGCTTCCAAATCTAGTTCACTGGATACTGAGCAGTTCAGGAATTAGATATTGATTTACCATTCCACCCATGGCCCAAGTTCTATCTTGTCCCAATCCTTCTTACATACCTGTGGCTTCCTCTTCAGGGCCTGTATGTCTTAGAAATGTCTTCAGATTCTTAGCAAACTCTCCTTTTTTGGCCAGGAGAGCACTGTAGGATCCTTTCTCTACAATTGTTCCATTCCCCAGAACTACAATCTCATCCACTTGAGGAAGAAAGTGCATGCTATGTGTAACCAAGAGTCGAGTCTATAAAAATAATATGAAGTTGTGTTGATTACCATATGTCCACCATCTTCCCTGTCTTACTTGCCAGACATGTCCTCCCCTCTCCCTCCCACCCCACCTTTATATCTTCATCATGTTCAATGATTTCTCACCTTGCCTTTCAACAGGCCATTGGGGCCCAAGACCTTATTAAAAATATGTTTTCCTACATGAGCATCCACTGCAGACAGGGGGTCATCTAGAAGATAGATGTCTAAATTTTGGTAGGTAGCTCTGGCCAGGCTGATCCGCTGCTTCTGACCCCCACTAAGATTTATACCCTGAAGAAGAAAATAATTCATATTAAGCACTACTCCCTAGATCCACCTTCACAGAATCTAATAGGGAGGGGTAAAAGGAAGAAATTTGTCTCAATAAGGTGTCAAGGGGTTAAAAATCTTACAAGTTCCTTTATACAAATAAAGAACTGATTCAAATAAATAACTTTAGTCCTAATAATTAGATATGGCCAACTTACCACTTTTTATCAGATAATTTACTTATTTAATAGTTTTGTTGCTTGTCACCCTGTGACAATGTAGAGCAGAGGTTTTTTCTATTTTGTTCATGGATGTAATTCCAGAACTTAAAACACTGTTTGGCACATAGTAGGTGCTCAATAAGCGTATGCTAATTAATGAACAAAATTACTCCAGAGCTGTATCTTCATTAATCTTCTAACATCTCAAGATTTTTGTTCCCCAAGATTGCTACATTTATTTCTAGTAATGGGGAGGGAGGATGAAAACATCCTAAATATGCAGGGTCTTTATTTAGAGGTTTCAAAATAAATTATGCTAGATCTATATAATAAATACAATACAGTCATTAAAAATCTTTTTTTTTTTGAGATGGAGTCTTGCTCCATCTCCTAGGCTGGAGTGCAGTGGCGCAATCTCAGCTCACTGCAACTTCTGCCTCCCTGGTTCAAGCAATTCTCCTGTCTCAGCCTCCCGAGTAGCTGGGACTACAGGCGCCTGCTACCACACCCGGCTAATTTTTGTATTTTTAGTTGAGATGGGGTTTCACCTTGTTGGTCAGCTGGTCTTGAACTCCTGACCTCAGGTGATCCACCCACCTTGGCCTCCCAAAGTGCTAGGATTATAGGCGTGAGCCACTGTGCCCAACCCTAAAAGTCTATTTTTAGGAAAGGCCTTTAATAACATCAAAAGATAATTCACAATAAACATCTAAGTGTTCAAAGCAGATTAGTAGAATCTTCCTCTGGCCTCACTGATACAGAAGTAGAATCAGGACACCTAGGCTCTGGTCCCACTTCTGCCCCACCACCTGTGAGATCAACCTTGGGCCAGTCACTGTTAACTTCTCATGGCCTTTGCCTCATCATCTTTGATTTAAATTACATAATTCCTGTATCTGTTTCCAAGCAGAAAGTTTGAAATTCTGAGTTATTTACATGGAATATTGTGGCCACTTAGTACAAACACATGATTTCTGGTGTTTATTCCAAATATGACTACCTAAATTAATCAACTAGATTACCCCTGTGTAGTTCTTCACCACCATCCTCACTTTTTCTCTTCAATATGCCTTCACCCTTGAAGATCCCTTGTTATCCCAAGTACCTTCTCTCCAATCTCAGCCAAATCTCCTCCAGGCAGCATTTCCAAGTCTGGGAGGAGAGCACAGGCCTCCAGTACTTGCTGGTACCTCTTTTCATTAAACTCTGTTCCAAAAAGGATGTTGTCCTTTATGGTGCCATTCTGAATCCAGGACTGCTGTGGGACATAGGCAGTGGTGCCCTAGATGAAAAAGGATCAGATCATGTTACAGCTGCACCTCCAGAAACGCAGGGTTGAAGGACGGGGTGGCTGGAGAGGGGAAGAAACAAATGGAGCTTAAATTTAAATAACTGTGCATCAGGATGACTGAGGATCTGATATGTATTCACGTGCTTGTAGTTATTCCACTCTCAGGACTCAATATCCTCTTCACCATTAAAAGCCCCATCCACTTTTGTTGGACTATCGTTTTTCAGCCATGATCCTGAAAATTAGATGATAAATGTGTGTGATGCTTCTAGAAGAGGGTTTTAGTCAAACCCAATTGAGTTTACTAGGACCAACGAAAGGCTAACACTGACAAGGGAATGGTATAGATCAGCGGTCCTCAACTTTTTGGCACCAGGGACCGGTTTTGTGGAAGACAATTTTTCCATAGATGGGGTGGTGGTGGGAGATGGTTTCGGGATGAAACTGTTCCACCTCAGATCATCAGGCAGTAGATGCAACCTAGATCCCTGGCATGTGCAGTTCACAATAGGGTTCATGGTCCTATGAGAATCTAATGCTGCTGCTGATCTGACAGGAGGTGGAGCTCAGGTGATAATGCTCGCTCGCCGCTCACCTTCTCCTGTGTAGCCTGGTTCCCAACAGGCCATGGAACAGTACCAGTCTGAGGCCCACGGGGTTGGGGACCCATGGTATAGATGACATCTTAAGAAGCAAGATTATAACCAAAGAGAGATGGAAACTGGGCGCGGTGGCTCACGCTTGTAATCCCAGCACTTTGGGAGGCCGAAGTGGGCGGATCACCTGAGATCGGGAGTGACCAACCTGGCCAACATGGCAAAACCCCATCTCTGCTAAAAACACAAAAAGTAGCTGGGCTTGGTGGCACAAGTCTGTAATCCCAGCTACTCGGGAGGCTGAGGCAGGAGAATCGCTTGAACCCAGGAGGCAGAGGCTGCAGTGAGCTGAGATTGGGCCACTGCACTCCAGCCTGGGAGACAGAGTGAGGCTCCATCTCAAACAAACAAACAAACAAACAAAAAACAGAGATGGAGGCCGGGCGCGGTGGCTCACGCCTGTAATTCCAGCACACTGGGAGGCTGAGGCAGGTGGATTACGAGGTCAGGAGTTCAAGACCAGCCTGGCCAAGATGGTGAAACCCTGTCTCTACTAAAAATACAAAAATTAGCCGGGCATGGTGGCATGTGCCTGTAATCCCAGCTACTTGGGAGGCTGAGGCAGAGAATTGCTTGAACCCAGGAGGTGGAGGTTGCAGTGAGCCGAGATCACGCCACTGCACTCCAGCCTGGGTGACAGACTGAGACTCCGTCTCAAAAAAAAAAAAAAAAACAAGACCAGAAATGGAGACCAACAAAGGCCTGTGTTTGAGGAAGAACCCAGTTATGAGTTAGCAAGAAAAAAGCTTCCCAAAAGGAGTTAGAAGACAGACTTAAATCTGTAGCCTGCTCTGCTATAGCGCATGTTTTTTAAATTGCAGATTAGTTCATTAGTGATTGCTAAATCAGGAAATGATGTCAGTATATGGTAGAACAGCTGGTTCTTACATTTTTTTGTCAAGCAGGTCAATATAAATCAATTGGAGGAAGCATTCTCATACTTAAAAAGAAACCCTTAGCAATATATATATGAAGATCTTAAGAAAAAAAGCTGAAAATCTATAGATACTCCTCTGTTTGGTACAAGTAGTGATAACAATTCAAAAATAACTATAATTTTCCCTAAATTTAGCTCTCTGGAAAAGTTCAGAGTACTGATGAAGATGCCATGAAAACATTTTCCTCCGTTAAAAAAAAAAGCATAATTAGCCAGTCCCAGTGGCTTACCCATATAATCCCAGCACTTTGGGAGACTGAGGCAGATGGATCACTTGAGGCCAGGAGTTTGAGACCAGCCTGGCCAACATGGCAAAACCCCGCCTCTACTAAAAGTACAAAAATTAGCCGGGCATCATCAATGATAGACTGGATAAAGAAAATGTGGTACATATATACCATGGAATACTATGCAGCCATAAAAAGGAACGAGATCATGTCCTTTGTAGGGACATGGATGAAGCTAGAAGCATCATCCTCAGCAAACTAACACAGGAACAGAAAACCAAACACTGCTTGTTCTCACTTATAACTGGGAGTTGAACAGGGAGAACACATGGATACAGGGAAGGGAACAACACACACCAGGGCCTGTTGGGGAGTGAGGGGCGAGGGGAGGGAACCTAGATGACAGGTCAATAGGTGCAGCAAACCACCATGGCACATGTACACCTATGTAACAAACCTACACGTTCTGCAAATGTATCCTGGAACTTAAAGTAAAAAAAAAAAAAAGTTAGTGGGGCATGGTGGCACACACCTGTAATCCCAGCTATTTGGGAGGCTGAGGCAGGAGAATTGCTTGAACCCAGGAGGTGGAGGTTGCAGTGAGCTGAAATTGTGCTATTGCACTCCAGCCTGAGTGACAGAGTGAGACTCTGTCTCAAAATATATATATACACACACACATATGTGTGTGTGTATATACATACACACACATATATGTGTGTGTATATACATACATATACACATACACACACATATGTGTATATACATGTATACACATATATGTGTATATACACGTGTGTGTATATGTGTATATACACATATGTGTGTGTATATGTGTATATACACATATGTGTGTATATGTGTATATACACATATGTGTGTGTATATGTGTATATACACATATGTGTGTGTATATGTGTATATACACATATGTGTGTGTATATGTGTATATATATGTATATATACACATACACACACATATATGTTTGTGTGTATGTATATACACACATATGTGTGTATGTATATACACACATATGTGTGTATACACATATATGCACACATATATACACGTGTGTATATATACCCATATATGTATATATGTGTATATATACATGTGTGTATACATACGTGTGTATATATACATGTGTGTATACATACGTGTGTATATACATGTGTGTATACATACGTGTGTGTATACATACGTGTGTATACATACGTGTGTATACATACGTGTGTGCATATATACACATGTGTGTATATATACACATGTGTGTATATATACACATGTGTGTATACATACATGTGTGTATATATACGTGTGTATACATACATGTGTGTATATATACACACATATGTGTGTATATACACATATGTGTGTATATATATGTGTATATACACATACACATATATATATACAAAATTGATGAAGAAGACAACACCCTACACCAGATTTTTATTTTGGAAGCAAATGCCATCAAAGATTTAGCTCTCAAAGGAGGAAGAGAAAGGCCCAAGAGTAATTGCAATGTTGGGTGCAAATGCCAGTGATGATTGTACAATCTACTGTTTTTATTGCTCTTGATATTACTGTTATGGTTGGTATTGTTTCTGTTGGTAGTTTGGTTACAAAGTTATATAAGTTTTTAGTGATCTATTACAATTCTTTTCCCCTAGGTCCTGTTATTTTTATTGTACAGTTTTGCAGGATGCATGATTTTTCAGAAACAAATACATAGATAAAGCAGAAATGCCTATACTTTTTTTTTTTTGAGACAGAGTCTCTCTCTGTCACTCAGGCTGGAGTGCAGTGGCATGATCTTGGCTCACTGCAGCCCTCCTGGGCCCAAGTGATTCTCATGCCTCAGCCTCCCAAGTAGCTGGGATAACAGGCACATGCCACCACACCCGGCTAATTTTGTATTTTTAGTAGAGACAGAGTTTCACCATGTTGACCAGGCTGGTCTCGAACTCCTGACCTCAGGTGATCTGCCTGCCTCGGCCTCTCAAAGTGCTGGGATTATAGGCGTGAGCCACCGTGCCTGGCCAGAAATGCCTATATTTTGAAGGAAGACCTCTCTAATCAGCAGTTTTCACACTGTAGTATGCGTATGAGAATCACCTTTAGAGCTCATTAAAAATGCAGATTCCCAAATCTTACCCCCAGCAACTGATTATATAAAGCTGAAATGGGAAGGAGAATCACAGTCCACAAATCTATCGGATGTCTCCAAGACCTCACCTACTAGCCCTCAGTGCCTTCTCCCCAGTGAGGCAAAAGCACGAAGCTGCTGACATTCGGGAGTCAGAGGCTTTTGCATTGGCATTCCCTCTCACCTTGATGGTGATGTGCCCGTGGACATTTTCCATTTCTCCCAGCATGGCTGATATCAAGGAGGATTTCCCAGAGCCGACAGGGCCTATCACAGCCACAAGTTGGCCTGCCATAATGTCCAGGTTCACACTGAAAGACAGGAATGTCTTTGAAGGAGATAGCAGGGGTTGGGTATTGAAGAGTAGTTCAAGTCACTTCTCTGAGTCTCCATGAAGTCTGGTATCAGGAGATTTCCCCTCAAGATTGGAAAATTTGCCTTGGATATACAAGACCCCAAAGTGCTTCTTTAATACTTTTTCTTTTTCTTTTCTTAGCTCTAAAAGGCTAGAGAATGAGCCCTAATGAGCCCTAATTTATCCAACTCATCTATAAGCTGTTTGTGACAAATGTGCATTTCCAATGATAAAATTCTCCTAGAACTAACATGGTTACCCATTGAACAAGACCCTAGTGGGGGCCTGGAGACCTGGCTTGGTTCAAGTCCCAACCCTGACACTGCTGGTCTATGTTATCTTGGAAGGTCACTTCCTTTGGACTAAGGACCCCTCCTTTCTTACTAATGGGATTGGACTAGATTAACATTTCCCAAATTAGGTACTAAATGTGTCACCTGGAACATTTGCTGAAAGTAGATTCCCTGGCCCTTCTCCTAAATATTTGACTGTATCTGGCTGAGTAGGGGCCCACAATGGGATAGGTTCCCGGAAACTGTGTGTGCCAGCCCTGTTATTTGAGTTTCTAGAACATTAGGAACATTAGGAACTTGTTCACAGTCTTTCTGAATCTGCGCATTGAGGTGAATTTCTTCCAGACCTATAACAGTGAAGTGGAAGCCCTGCCCAGTTTCCTCTCTGGAAAGGGAAACTGCTGGGTTAGGAAGGTTCAGAGCATGTGCTCCTGCCCCAACTCATCCTGGGGCTAGCTCTGGAGTCCATGTTAAAGGCTGTAGGAACAAGATAGAGGAGTGGGAAGTCAGGAGTATAGTAAGGAGACAGTAAGATGTGCTCAGTTGTGAAGAAACAAAGATATGGCCTATTCAGCCTCCTGGTGTACTCTGTGTGCTGTGCTCAGTGGATGAATTGGGTGTGCTATTACACATGGTGCTTAAGAGACACACTATGTGCAGAAGATACACACTGAGAAGCCAGATTCCAATGTTCCTGATTGCTATTCTTGAATGAATGAACTTATACTGAATTCAGGTTCTTGGGTTTGTCTTCTACCATACCCAGAGACGCCGGCCACCTGCCAACGCTGCACTACCTCCATCCACAATCTGCACACACAAATGTCTTCATGGGATCACAGCTGGATATTCATGGCCCCATAGTAGGAAAGCAGCATGGCAAATGCAGTTATCAGGGGAAGGGGCTGAGAACCTTTGCTTTCAGCTCATCTCTCCAGGGGTTTATCCTGCACTAGTATCTAACCGAAGACATGCACATAGCTCATTTCCCCATGCATTCTATTACATGGAATTTTCTGAGAATAGGCCAGGCAGTGAGAATGCTAAAGAACATTAGGATGGAAAGAAGGCAACTCACTCTCGGACTGTGGCTTCCGAATCATGTTCCCAGGTAAAGGAGGCCTCAGAAAACTGCATGGCTTTGTCTGTTGAGAAAAAGCCCTCTTTTAGTCCAATGTAGGTCCCCACGTGACTGTCTGCCCTCACGTGTCTCTCTCCGCTTTCTCCATCAGCTCCTAGGATTGTTTCTGCTAAGTGCTGGCTCCTACGCTAACAGGAGGTGAATGAAATCTCCTAGAATGAGACCATGAGACCAGAAGTGGCCTGCATATGAAGTCCTTTTTTTTTTTTTGAGTCATGGTCTCACTTTGTCACCCAGGATGGAGTGCAGTGGTGCAATCTTGGCTGACTGCCGCCTTGACTTTCCGGGCTCAAGAGATTCTCCGACCTCAGCCTCCAGGTAGCTGGGACTACAGGCATGCACCACCATGCCCCGCTAATTTTTGTATTTTTAGTAGAGACAGGGTTTCACCATGTCACCCAGGCTAGTCTCGAACTCTTGGACTCAAGCAATCTGCCCATCTCAGCCTCCCAAAGGGTGAGGATTACAGGTATGAGACACTGCATCCAGCCTAAAGTCCTTTTCTTTTTTTTTTTGAGATGGAGTTTCACTCTTGTTGCCTAGGCTGGAGTGCAATGGCGCAATCTCAGCTCACCACAACCTCTGCCTCCCAGGTTCAAGTGATTCTCCTGCCTCAGCCTCCTGAGTAGCTGGGATTACAGGCATGCACCACCACACTCAGCTAATTTTGTGTTTTTAGTAGAGACAGGGTTTCTCCATGTTGGTCAGGCTTGTCTCGAACTCCTGACCTCAGGTGATCCACCCACCTCGGCCTTCCAAAATGCTGGGATTACAGGCATGAGCCACCGCACCCGGCTAAAGTCCTTTTTTATTCAGAACTCCCAAGCCTACTGGTAGCCCAGATTCCTGACCTATGGATACTCTGGGTATACTCTCAGGCCCTCTGTTGCCCAGTCCCCTTGTATGAATTCCACCTCCATATATAAATCCTCCCCACTATGGATTCCAGTCCTATGCCCACTCTGGCCATGGCTGGCCCCCAATCTTTAAACCTTCAGAATCTGAGTATTCTTTCACTCCAGGCTACCTTCCCAATCCCACACACTTGGCTCTATCCTGACTTCTGCTTTCTGGATCTTTTGCAGGATTCCCTGCTTATCCTCAGAAGAGCTGGCCCAGCTTTACTTAGCAATCTAGTTGAGCAATCTGCTCTAAGTGTAAACATAATTCAAGTAAGAACAGTTTGTATCTTATGCAAGCATAGGCTCAAGACAAATCTCCACACTCTCTCTCAGTTTGCTGCTACTAAGCTCTTGTATTATCAAAATTCTGGCACCAGTACTGCGAATAAGTTTGGGAAGCAACTTCCAAATTTATTTACCAAAATTGCAGTCATGTCGAATGGCAGATGTGTCCAAGTCATCCCCTCCCAAGTACTTCTCTAGCCGCTCTGTGGAAACACTGGCCTAGAGAAGGACACAAAGGATCTCAAGAATTAAAGTCAGTAACGAGCACAAGCAGAGAGATTTTGACTTTGTCGTTAGTCCATGATTTTCTATTTGCCACAGCTGGCATCTCCTAATCTCCACCGAACTCAGCCCCGGAAGCTATCCCACCATAGACAGATGGAAGTGGATGCTCTATTTCAGTCCTTGAGCAAACTCATGGAGTTCAACTCTTCTGCTGTCTCTCTCCAGTCTTCGGCCCTAATTCCAGAAACTACCTCCTGCCTTCTAAGACAAAAAATTAACTTCTATCTGGTTCTGGTAACTAGGCCCCTGGCTTTCTCTTATTTAACTAAGTCTATGCCCTGATGCCCACCCAGCATCCTAACTAAGCCACTCCTGGGAGCCTCTAAAGAGGAACTGGCTATAGCATCAGGGGGACCCTGCACACTTCCACATAGGCCAGATAGCCGAAGCTTAAATGGCAGGTGAGGTAAGTGTTGGCAGAATACCCTGCAGTCCCTGGAACTTGAGAACTTGAGAAGATTTCGAGGCACTTCTACAAGGATGTTTCTCACCTACTTCCCTCTCTTCCAAAGAGGCTGTCATGAGATGGTTTTTCATTGCCACCCAGGCTCTGATGAAGTCTTAGGCTTTCTGCCTGTTCCCTCCTTAGGGTACAGAAGCAGGCTATAGAACCACTTAACTGCTGCATGGATCAGCTCCTCAAAAACAGAGTACCCCACTGCTCACATTGCATCGCCATCTGACCCTTTTGTTTTGATTCGTTTTGTTTTGTTTTGAGATGGAGTCTCACTCTGTCGCCCAGGCTGGAGTGTAAGGGTGCAATCTTGGCTCACTGCAACCTCCACCTCCCAGGTTCAAGTGATTCTCGTGCCTCAGCCTCTCGAGTAGCTGGGACTACAGGTGTGTGCCACCATGCCTGGCTAATTTTTGTTTCTTTAGTAGAGATGGGGTTTCACCATGTTGGCCAGGCTGGTCTCAAACTCCTAACCTCAGGTGATATGCCTGCCTCAGCCTTCCAAAGTGTTGGGATTACAGGTGTGAGCCCAGCCACCATCTGACCCTTTTTGATTCAGTGTCATCCTGAGGACCAGGAATGCAGGGAGCTGATACCTTTGCTGATCTTGCTTTTGCTATTTATGCAATAAATTGTATCTAAAAAGATCCTGTTGCTTCTTTACCTGCCAAATCTGCCAGCTTTTCTTTACACCCTCCAGGACAGGGAGGCCTTCTCTTTCCCATGGTCTGAGCTCTCTGAAGCCAGACACTTAGGGGATAAATGCAAGTCACCACACTCCTGTCATTCAGGCCTTCTCATCAGTCTGCTGCCTGTCCGGTGACCTTCCTCTGCAGATCTGGTACTTGTCGCATATCAGTGACTATGCTCAGTTTTTCAGAACCCAGGTATTCCCTCTGGTCCATCCAAGGTTTCCTGAACTCCAGACTCATTTTCTGATAGCTTGAGGCTCTCAATTTGCATTTGGTTTGACCAACACATGGGTTTATGCAAAGGGAGGGTCTCTCTTCTCCCTTTGGGCCATATTTGCCTAATGCTATCTCAACACCTCAAGAGCCTTGGAGAAATATGAGAGAAACTGGGCTGGGAAATGTTCCCAGTACTAGGACTAAACATAATAATCTCACTAAATGCTTTCACAAGATTGTCTCCCTGTGAGGTAGATGAGATTGGTATGATTATCCTCATTTTATAGTTAGATAAACTGGGGCTCAGAAAACTCATGATTTTATTAAGGTCAAACCATTGGTCTCCAGAGACCAAACAGATCTCTCTCTTGAAAGTTTACCAGCAAAAGTTAGACATGGGATGTGATAGCCAGTCATTCTGGACTCCAAGGCTTTTAACCAGAGACAGGGAGTTAGCAGTGAGAATGCCGACCTACCTGGAGCATGGAGGAGATCATCATGGGAAGCATGCTCAGGGGAAAGCGCAGGATATTGAAGAGGGTAATGGAGGTGAAGGCCTTTTGTGCATCCAAAATATTGTTGCTATCCACCAGGACATAAACAGAAAATGTGACCACAGATACCTGGAAAGGGCAAGGTCATGAGCAATTTATTCCTAAAAGGGACCAAGCAGCATTGTGCTAAGTTTCAGGAACACCATATATCAGAGTTGAAGGCGCCTTAAGGATCATCCAGCCTCCCCATGTTACAGATGAGAAAACTGAGCCCAGGAGAGGAGGAAATATCTTCTCCAAGGTCACAAAGTCAATTAATGGATTACTAGGACCAGAGCTCAGGTCTCCTGGATCCTATATCAGTGTTCCTTCCACTATAGACCTACACCACCTCCCAAAGAAGACAAGAAAGCCTCCTAAGCCAATCCTTCCTGATACCACATTCTTGCTGTGCATCCTGAAAAGTTGCTCTGGGAGCCAGACCATCGTACAGTACACGAAGGTGAAACTAGAGCTGGGGGTATGGTACAAAGGAGGAAAAGTGGCATGGGGCGGTGAGAGGGACAAGTCCCCTGGATCTTGCGGTCAGGCCTAGAGATGCCAGCTAGTCTATCAAAAGTGAACTTCCTCTTCAGGAAGCTGATGCAGGTCCAGGTGAATACGCAGCCCATGGACCCCTCTGCTACTCACCAGGACTGGAGTTAACTGGAAGACGAATATTACTACACACTGTAGTTGACTAAAGGCCAGCAGGTTCTTGAGCTCTTTCTTCCGGAGGTTTTGTACTTGGTCTCTGAATGAAGGTTCCCAGGCAAAATATTTCAGGATCTAATAAGTTGAAAAAAAATACAGCTCACATGATTGCCCCTGAAAGGGCACCAGGTGTATCTGATCCACCCATGTTTTAAGATATAGTCCCCAAAATGTGGGGAATAGAAATCCAGATTATAAAGTATGATTACAGAAAGGTAGCTTGTATTTGTTGACAACCTACTATGTACAAAGCATTTTAAATACATTATCTCACTTTATAACAACCTTAGTATGACTAACTGTTCCAGTTTGCCTGGGACTAAAGGGCTGCCTAGGACACAGGCCTTCCAGTCTTAAGACTTAAAAAGTTCTGGGCAAATTGAGTTGAGTTAGTCACCTTACATTTGTAGAGTTATTATCTTCATTTAAACTATAAGGAAACAAGTTGAGAGAGGCAAGGGAACCTTGCCAAACTTTTGGCAAGTTAAGCTACCCAGTGGTAGAGCTGAGATTCAAAACCAGCTCTCTCTTTTAGTTTTGCCACATTCACAGAAGGACATGTCAGAGCTCTGTGTGGAGAATTAACAAGGAGTTAAAAGGGGGCTCTGTTTCATTTTTAAGAAGTTTAGGATAATGTTAAGATGTATTAATTCAAAACAATATTTAGTTAAAAGAACTTATTGGTCACCTCTGGAGGATGAAATGCATTATCATGAAAGCTGGCAAATAGAGGGAAAGAAGCAAGCATTTTTTCTGTCTATCCCATACAAACTTCATTTTAGGGTAACCAACAAGTTGATGAAAGATAATTCTTCTTCATAAAATTCCAGCTAATCAATGTCAAGGGAATAACAGAATTTAAAAATTTCACTCTTTTGCAATTCCTAATGAAATAACAGACCTAGGCAATGATCATAAAATTCTTACAATAGTGTTTTTCACCTTGGTGGCATATTAGAATCATCTAGGGAACTTAAAAAAATACACATGTCTGGGCCTCACTCCCAGAGTCCAATTTCAATGGTTTGAAGTAGGCTCCCAGCCTCAGTGGGTTTTACAAACTTCAAATTTCTCAGGTGATTCTAATGTGCTGCCAGCATCACAAACCACTGCTCTAGTGAAAGACTAGCAGGAAACCTTGTAAGGGATGGATCAGGCTGACAGCACCTGGGCCCGCTCAAGTTACCATCGCTGCAGTTTGGGAAGCACACAGCACCACTTGAAAGCAACCTTGTACTCCCGCCCCCAAATCAAATATAAATCAATCAAACCTTTAGATCTAACTATCAATTTACAGGAAATACAGGAAATAGGACAAATAACCTAGTTTTTTTGGAATGACCAAGACACACACACACACACACACACACACACACACACAGACAGAGAGAGAGAGACTGTAGTAGATTAAAATCACTATCAATTAAATATCATGCATGGACATTTTTTGGGTCCTTATTCAATCTAACCAACAGCAAAACAAACAAAAGGCACATATGAGGCAACTGGAGAACTTTGATGGTATCAAAGAATGTTAATTTTTTTTGTAGGTATGATACTGGTATTGTGGCTATATTTTTAAAATAAATCCTTCTTTTAGAGCTACATACACAGCATTTATGAATGAAATGACAAGATCTCTGAGATTTGCTTTAAAATAATCTAGCAAGTGTGAGGGGTGTGGGTTTATAGATGAAACTAGTTAGGTCATGCTGATAATTCCTGGAGCTGGGTGAAAAGTTTGTAGGGGTTCATGATAGTCTCTACTTTTCTACATGTTTAAACACTTCTACAGTAAAGTGTCAAAACAAAACAAGCTATTTAGGGTGAATAAATAGAAATTGGGGTTCAACGGAGGACCTGAGAGGGACAGGAGGACATGAAACAAAAGTCATGTGACACAACCGGCCCAGAAGCAGGAATCCATCACCTCTACCAGGGTTTGCAAAGGCCAAGAGAGCCACTGCTTCTGTCCTTACCCACAGAGAGCCACCTACGCTCAGATTCTCACCTTGATTCCACTAAGAATCTCATTCATGATCTTTAAACGTTTGTCTTTATTCTTCATATTTTTGACCTGCCAGGAAAAAAGCAAAAGAAAAACAATATACGCTTCCATGAGAGAGGGCTCAGGTTTGCTGCAGACATCAGGCCTCACTGCTACTTTGTGGCTGTCACTTAGTAAGAACTTGAGGTGCCCAGTGATGGGATTCACCTCCCTCCACTCTCCTCTTTGCCCACTCTGCTCCTGCCGCACCCATCTTCTTTCTGATCCTTGCTTGTTCCAAGCTTGTTTCTGTCCCATAGCCCTTGCCTGACTGTACCCACCTCCCAGGCTGTTCTTTCCCTGCCCTTCCCAAGGCTTTCTCCTTTACAGTCAGGCTTGTATCATTCAGAGTTCAGCTTAAATGTCCACTCCCCAAGAGGCCTTCCCTGAACTCATTGAAAATAACCACCCACTCACTCACTATCTCATCACCCTGTTGAATTCTCTGTATAATACTTATCATGATCTGATATTTTTCTTCTTTGTGTATTGCCTGTCTCTCCACCACCCTACCAGGTAGAATGTAAGATCCATGAGAACAGGAGCCCTAACTCACTGCTGTGTTCTCAGAGAAGTAAGATATGTAAGAAATATTTTCAAAACAATTATTTGTAACTTGAATGCAAAACAAATGAGTGAATAAATCATATACACTGTCAAGTCCACCCACCCAACCTGTGACTTCTGGCAGGACTGAGGACACTGTCCACACGGAGCCCTCCCACCTGGTGGTAGCGGGGTGATTGCCAAGGCTCAGGCTGAAATTTGGATCACTCATGCGACTGCTCTCTGTGGTTGGTTTAGATTGCCATAATGGAGAAGCAGGGCCCCAAATCCCTGTTCTTAGGGCAGCCCAGCAGAGCAAGATGGAAGAATTATGTGCAGCATCTCTGGGGTAGCCCTTCCTTCCCCAGTCAGGCTCTTCCCTCTAACATGAATGCAGAGGAGTATATATAAACCCTAAGAGTCATCAGAAGATGAAAAGGGAACTCAGAGACAGCTAAGTACAATTGAGATGGTAGAAAGTCTTCCACCAGCTTTGCCTTGCCCAAACTCCCATTAAGAATTAGAGTAGAGTAAGAAAAAGGGTTTACACTTTAAAGAAAGCTTATATTCTTCTGGGTGACTTTTTCTTTACCTGAATGGTCTTACTCTTGGTGGACAGTATCGCATTAATTGGGATTACAAGCACCATCACCCCAACACCTGCTAAGACTGAGGGTCCCAACTCTCTCCATAGGAAGAAGATAGATAAGACAATCTGTAGAACACTTGACCACAGCATGTGCATGAAGTTGGTCACATCCATGAGCTTCTGGGCATCCACAGACATCAGGTTCACTGTTTCTCCAACGGTGTACTCCTTCCTGGCCAAGTTGGATAGGGTCAATGCCTAAAGATAAGGATTGAAATTAGGACCCATGGACAAAGCCAAGGATACTAGGGAGTAGAAGAGGAAGCTCAGGAAGTGAGATTACAATGGAAGGATGTGCTCCATATGGACACAGCTTCTCCAAGGCACTGTGACTTCTTGCCTCCAAATCTTACACATGGTATTCTCTCATTCTTGACCACTCTTTCCTCTTATTCCCACCTTCCTCCAACTCTACCCATCCACACACTTCTTTGCCCAGAAAACTCCTATTTATCCTTTGGTGTCAGCTGAGATGTAACTTCTTATAAGAAAACCACCGTGACTACCAAGTTGGGGTTAGATATTCGTCCTGTGTACTCTCATAATATCCTGAGCTTACCTTTGTCATTACATTCATCACAATGAACCATAATTACTTTGTTTTTTTCTGTTTCTCCACTAGATGTAAACTCTGTGAGGATGAGGGCAACATCTGTCTATTTCACTACTATATTATGTGGCACATAGTAGAGAATCAAATACTGAGGGATGGAAGAAAAGGAGGGATGGATGGATGGAAGGAGAGAGGGAGGAAGGGAAGGAGGAAAGGGAGAAGGGAAGGAGGGAACCAGCATGTATTGATTTTGACCTCAGAGGCTTTTGATGTGGCAATGTTATTTGGAGTCATACTCTTATGAAGAGGTTGCAATCATTCCCAAGAAGGACAGAGAATTTAGAATGAAGAGGAAAACTTCAGACTTCAAACTTTGAAGTAAAATCACTTTTGTAGGCTGTGTGCAGTGGCTCACGCCTGTAATCCTAGCACTTTGGAAGGACGAGGCAGGCAGATCACCTGAGGTCAGGAGTTCAAGACCAGCCTGGCCAATATGGCGAAACCCCATCTCTACTAAAAGTACACAAATTAGACGGGCATGGTGGCAGGAACCTGTAATCCCAGCTGCTCGGGAGGCTAAGGCAGGAGAACTGCTAGAACCTGGAAGGCGGAGGTTGCAGTGAGCCGAGATCATGCCACTACACTCCAGCCTGGGCTACAGAGTGAGACTCCGTCTTGAAAAATAAATAAATAAAATAAAATAAAAGACTTTCGTGTCAGGATTTTTCAGGCACTATCTAGATGCCTGATCTTGTAGTATGGGCTTCCTGTTCTCATGTTAGAGAGGTCAGGAGGCTGATAGCCACAGGTCTGTCACTTACAACAATGCCTTGCACAAATGTACCACAGCACTGAAACCAACTTGCACTATGCCACCAAGGCACCATCTGGAGTAGACTGCATCTTTCCAGAAGAAGGAGAGCCACCTTGTAATTCCCACAAAGACAGTGTACAGGCTACAAGTGGCCCATACTACTTCCATCTCCTCCTAGAAGCATTACTGTCATCTTAATCCACCAATACATTCTTTGGAACATATTAGGATTCTTGGCTGTACAGTAAAAAGAAGAAAGTTTTCTAAAATGTTAGACCACCAAGGTTCTAGAGGAATCAACCCACTGCTATGCCTTCCCTTTGGTATGGAAGAGGGGAAAAAAAAAAAAACAACAACTAACAACATCTAATTGCCCTTCAAGGTAATCACTATATATTTCTATTTTCAATAAATACAGTCCCAGTAGCCCTTGTCTGGGGACAACTCCTGGCTATGTGTTTGCAGGCATTGAAATTATCTAAGCCTGATTTTTCTCTGTAAAATAGGTATAATGTACTTATTTCACAGGGCAATAGCCCTGTGAATTGATAATGAATGTAAAAAATGTTTCATAAGTAGTGAAGCATTGTCTAAACATATAAATTAGTAATTTTCTTCCACTCTTCTAATAGCGATATTTATTTGAATAAAAGTGTCATTGAGGGTTCTATTTTATAAATCTCTTTATTAATTGTAATAGTTGCAAAACCTGGAATATTAAGAACCAAAATAGTGCGAATGAATAATCACAATTATGAAAAAATTGTAGAAGTGTACTTTACTAGCAATGGCTGAGACAGGCTGGTTAGTGACCTCATAACTTGTAAACCAGCAGAAACTCAGTATCTCCAGAAGAAATAAGGAGATTTTAAAAATCAACTGGAGGAAGGCAAATTCCAGTTGGGGGGTATCTGGGAGTTCAAAGGACTTGACTAGACTTCTGATTTAAAGACACTTGGATTATCTGCCACTGTCTCTCAACGAACCAACATCTACTCAGGGAAGACAAAGACACAGTGGTGTTTCTAGAGAGGAAAGCAAAGGAGAAAAGTAGGAACTGTAATAGAGAAGTTACTATGATGGAACTTTCCAGTGATGGAAGAAAAAAAGGAAGAAAGTCAACTAGTGTTCCAACTTATAAAAAGATTGGAACCTATCTCCTCCTGGATGAATTTTCTCCTCAAGCCTGTAGTCACTGATCATAACTACTGTATTTTCATTTCTTAAGGAACAAAATGGGACTTCATCTTGGTATGGAGGACATGAGGAACATACAGTTTCCTTGAGAAAGTTAACCATTAAAAACAATGTATCGGCCAGGCGCGTTGGCTCATGCCTATAATCCCAGCACTTTGGGAGGCTGAGGTGGGCAGATCATGACGTCAGGAGATCGAGACCATCCTGGCTAACATGGTGAAACCCCATCTCTACTAAAAATACAAAAAATTAGCCGGGCGTGGTGGCACGTGCCTGTAGTCCCAGCTGCTTGGGAGGCTGAGGCAGGAGAACCGCTTGAACCCAGGAGATGGAGGTTGCAGTGAGCCAAGATTGCACCACTGCACTCCAGCCTCGGTGATAGAGCGAGACTCCATCTCAAAAACAACCAAAACAAAACAAAACAACAACAACAACAAACAATGTATCAGAGGGAAGATGAGCAAAATCATCTTAAGGAAATGAAAAAGCTTCCAGGTCTGCAGAACTCAGTAATCAGCATGAATGTATTTACAAACTGAAAAAAGAAGTCAGACAGAGGAGGTTTAGGTTAGCACTAAAGGTTAGAAAAAGAAGTTGCTAGGTGAAATTTGGTCTGGGGAGGTGGAGCTCCGGCAAGACTGCAATTTGAGATGGATACACCAGGTCTCTGAGCTGGATTTCATTAAGTATTTGAGTTAAATGTTGGTGGTTTTAAGAGTTTGACCCTTCACCAGCTTCTTTTCTGACCTTATATTCTTTTCCAAGGCATTTCACCTTGTCAAGAGAGGCAGGAAGAGATGGATGGGTAGCCAAGCCTTCAGGGCTGCAAGGTGGATCCTGAGCACCAGAACAGCTTGCAGGCTTCTCCCTGGGGAGTACGTTTTCCCTCCTGGCCTCTCCACCCATTGTCTGTGAACACACTTCTCAAAATCTAATTTCCAAAGAAACATCTAAAGGAGGCTGTATGGCCAGTCAACATTAAGTGTTGAGATAAGTTACCATTTCCATCACATTTTCCTCAACCTTGGAATCAATGCTCATATTTACTGAGGGGATTTTCTTTGGTGATACCTGCCGTATTCTGCTTACCTTCTTATATACAGAAGCCATGATAGCTGTCCGTACTTTTACACCCAGCTTGAAGCACAGTTGGAAATAACACTGAAGGCAGAAAGACTGAATGAGAGCCGCAGTGAATAAGAGGATTGCACAGAGATATCCAATCCACAAATATGTGTCACGGTCACTTGCAAAGGAGATCAGCAATCTGCCAGAGAAAAGCCAAGTTAGTTATACCCATAAGGCCTCCAAGGATGCCTCTCTCCTCATGCACAGCCAGCTAGACTACACTATCTTTACACTGTAGGTAACAAAAGTGACCAGAATTGTCCAAAGCCTTTGAAAGACCTAAGTCTACAGTTTTACCAGTGTCCTTTCTGTTTTGTTTTGTTTTTGATACAGGGTCTCACTCTGTTGCCCAGGCTGGAGTGCAGTGGCAGGATCATAGTTCATTAAGCCTCGAACTCCTGGGCTTAGGTGATCCTCCCACCTCAGCCTCCTAAATAGCTGGGTCTACAGGCATACGCCATCGCATCTAGCTAACTATTTTCTTTTGTAGAGATGGGGTCTCGTTATGTTGACCAGCCTGGTTTCTAACTCCTGGCCTGAAACAATCTTCCTGCCTCAATCTCCCAAACTGCTGAGATTACAGTCATGAGCCACCATGTCCAGCCTGGCGTTCTGGCTTTTACTTGGAGATGAGCAGCAAGAGCTTAGGGTTGATAACCCATGGCTGTGAGAATGGATAATGACAGAAATGCTCCACCTAGCTGTCACTGCAATGCTTTGGCCCTGTCTTTCCCTGCAGGTGGTTCACTCCACAGGTCATGACAGATTGTGAAGTCTTGTCAAGATTAACCTGAACCTCCCGTGGAAGGCTGCGATGGAGAGATGAAGTCAGTTACTCTCCAGGGGTATGCTACCCGCCACTTGGATCTGGCTCAGCCCTTAGCAGTTTAACAAGAAACAGCCCCTAACAATTACCCGGCCCCCTATGAGGAGACAGACATGGAAAAGAGAGAGGCTAAAGTACATATCATCATACATCTTGAAAACTGCCTGCGGTCTTCATGAACACAATGCTGTAAGGTTAAGGTGGAAGAAAATTACGAGCATTTTTAAAAAATGGGAATTTAAGAAAAGCTCCTGCTTGCATACACAGTGGCAAAAAGGAGGGTGGCAGAGGAGGCCCTGAAAGGACCATCTGAGGCCTGGAGACTCACTTCAGCAGCTGAGGACTCACAAACGTGAAGATGTCATTCACTAGCTTCAGTAGGAATGATTTCAGGAGCACCATGTAGAAAGTTTTGAACAGAGCCTTCATCAACCAGGATTTTGGAACATCTTTTTTGGTCCCAGACTTCTTTTTTTTCTTTTCAACATCTTCCTAGGTACAAAACCAAACAACAGTGTCCACAGAGTTATGTCTGTTACTGGCCTGAGCAGCTCCAGGGTGGTCAGCCTGTGAGCCCCGTGGCCTTCTCTGTACAGGTTTTGATCATCTCTCCCTGGCCTAGTTGCTTCTGCCCTTCTAGCTGCCTTCACTGTTCCACTCTCCCGCTCCTAACTGATACTTGTAATCTATTTTAGATTAGAAAACCAGGCAACTAAGCTGGTAAGAGTCCCATGTAAAAAGAGAGACCCATCTGCGTGGGGGCCTGAGGGGCAGTCCTGAGAGTGAAGGGCCTGGGCATGATGCTGAGAGGTCCTTTCTGTTCTTTTCATGCTTGTTCTTTTCATGGTTGCTGTGAGATGTTATGGGTTGAATTGTATCCCCACCCCCAAAAGCTATGTTGAAGCCCTAACCCCCAATACCTTAAAATGTGCCTTATTTCGAAAGAAGGTCTTTGCAGATGTAACCAAATTAAGATGAGGTCACTGGGGCCCTAATGCAGTATGATTGATATCTTTACAAGAAGAGAAGAGACAGACACAGAGAGAAGATGGTCCTGTGATGGTGGAGGCAGAGGTCAGAGTGATGCATCCAGAAGTTAAGGAATGCCAAGCATTGCTGGGGAACACTAGAAGGTGGAAGAGAGGATTTTCCCCTCCAGGTTTCAGCGGGAGCGAGTCTGATATCTTGACTTCAGCCTTCTGGCCTCCTGAGCTGGGGACAGTACATTTCTGTTTTAAGCTATCCAGTTGTGGTACTCTATCATGGCAGCCCTAGGAAACTAATACATGGGGCATTACGACTCAGTCACCAGCCTCTGTCTATGCTTTGGCCTCCTCATTATGTCCTCCTGAGTCTCATCTTGCCCCAAATTCCAGCTTCTCAGCCTACCAGTGATACTCTCTCACAATGTCTTTCACTGAGGTCCCATCTGATGGGTCTCCCTTGCCAGGACAACTGCCCTGGCCTCCCTTCTAGCTTCCATTCTTGCCCACAACGATCCATCCTCTGGGGAGCCGCCCAAGTAAGCTTTTCACAGCATGAATCCAGTCTCATTACTCCTCTGCTCAAAATCTTCCGCTGGCAATCAGACTTCAGACAAAGTCCAGATTCCTTATTGTGGCCCACAGGGGTCCACATAGCTTAATCCCTGTCCACT
The DNA here is from genome assembly GCF_000001405.40 of Homo sapiens. NCBI lineage: Eukaryota > Metazoa > Chordata > Mammalia > Primates > Hominidae > Homo > Homo sapiens. Next base: position 99,798,041 of record NC_000010.11, on the reverse strand, counting down.
TCCTTGAGCCCATCTCACCCCATGCGCACCCTGTCCTGGATCTTCTTGCCATTCCCTGAGCAAGCCAAATGTGTTCCCCTCTCAGCCTCGCATGCCTGCTCCTTCTGACTGGAACACACTTCCCTCTGACTGTCCCTCAGAGGGCCTGATCTCATCATTTGAGTGTCTGTTCAGATGTCATCTCCTCTGAGAAGCTTCCCCTGTTACCCTGTCTCAAGTCGCACTTCACTCCAAATACACTATTGTTTTATTTTCTTAATAGCTATTATTACTTTCAAAGAGTAACCTATGTATGGGCTTACTACATATTTTCTAGCTCACAAAAGATGAGCAATCTTTTAGTGCCCAGAATGGTCACTGACACACAGTTGTGCTCAATAAATATTTTCAAGTGAATGAATCAACAAATTGCCTGCTTATGCTAATTTGTACCAAGGTGCAAAATCTAGAAATGCTAAGGTATTATTTTTTTCAAAACCACGTTTCATTCTGGAAAATTTCAAAAGTACCCCAAAGGAAAGAGAACAGTACATTACACGCCATGTATCCATCACTAAGGTAGTATCAGTATTGTGAATACCATTAATAATATGAAGTGCACTGAGAAGTATGAAGTGCTATAAAAATGTAAGGACAGAATCGCCATGATGCTGATGTACCCTTGCCTGAAACATGCAGCGCGCTCACACAGACACTCAAGGGAAAGTTACCAGGACAAGGGCATCTTGGCTTTGACTCTGATTCTTGTTCAAGCCAGGCAGCCTGGCTCCAGAGTTCTGCTGGGAGCTCTTCTCCTGCCGTCTCTGGAGTGCCCGCCTGGCTTTCTGCAGCTCTCTCTTCATGTGCGTTTCAAACTTGCTCACTAATGTCTTGGTTTTCATCTCTTCATCAACTTCCCAGACATCCTCGAGTGTCAGAGGACGCTTGTAGCCTTTCAGAATGATGCTGGAACAAGAGCGAACCACAGGCTGAGACCCCCAGGCTGGGTCAGAGGCTATCTCCACCACTTCTATCAGAACCTACCTCCAGGTTCTGGGATAGAGGGACAGAAGAATGGGACTATCCCCATCTCCTGGCCCTTTGAACTTGACAGAGGAGTGGGGAGAGCAGCAAAAGGAATGGGTGGGGGCAAAAGAATGTGTTAGAAGACAAGAGAAGGGGAAGACAGCTAAAAGAGCATCACCTTACCCTGCTCTTGCTCCTTCCTCCTCAAACACTGGCTGCCTCTCTGCCACTCTGGCATCTCCTTGGGGGCCTCCTTGATGCCCTCAAGAAATAAAGCAGCCCCTGTGGCATCTTTGTTTTTGGTGTGTGTGGTTTTTTGTTGTTGTTGTTGTTTGTTTTTTGTGTTTTTTTTGAGACAGAGTCTTACTCTGTTGCCCAGGCTGGAGTGCAGTAGCGCAATCTTGGCTCACCGCAACCTCCATCTCCCGGCTTCAAAGTGATTCTCCTGCTTAAGCTTCCCAAGTAGCTGGGATTACAGGTTTGCACCACTGCACACGGCTTCTTGTTCTTCTTCTTCTTTTTTTGTTTCTGTTGAGACGGAGTTGCGATCTTGTCGATAGGCTGGAGTGCAGTGGCGCGACCTCGGCTTACTGCAAGATCTGCCTCCCAGGTTCAAGCGATTCTCCTGCCTCAGCCTCCCAAGTAGCTGGAATTACAGGCACACACCACCACGCCTGGCTAATTTTGTATTTTTAGTAGAGACAGGGTTTCACCATGTTGGCCAGGCTGGTCTCAAATTCCTGACCTCAGGTGATCCACCTGCCTCTGCCTCCCAAAGTGCTGAGATTACAGGCGTGAACCACTGCACCAGGCCCCCAGCTAATTTTTGTATTTTTAGTAGAGATGGGGTTTCACCGTGTTAGCCAGGCTGTTCTCCAACTCCTGACCTCAAGTGATCTGCACATCTCAGCCTCCCAAGGTGCTGGGATTACAGGTGTGAGCCACTATGTCCAGCCACTGTGCCATCTCTCTTGATCAGGGCTCTTAGCCAGGAGTTTGAGAATATGGATGGAAAATAAATTATATATATGTTTAGAGACATGGTCTTTCTCTGCCCAGGCTGGAGTTCAGTGACAGAGCCATAGCTGACTGCAGCCTCAAACTTCTGGGCTCAAGTGATCTTCCTGCCTTGGCTTCCCAAAGTGCTAGGATTACAGTTGTAAACCACCATACCTGGCCTAAATTATATTGTTATTTGTAATAGCATCTAACTGAAATCTAGCATTTAGAAATCTTTCTTTCTTTCTTTCTTTCTTTCTTTCTTTCTTTCTTTCTTTCTTTCTTTCTTTCTTTCTTTCCTTCTTTCTTTCTTTCTTCTCTCTCTCTCTCTCTTTCTTTTGATGGAATTTTGCTCTTGTCGCCCAGACTGGAGTGCAATGGTGCGATCTTGGCTCACAGCAACCTCTGCCTCCCAGGTTCAAGCAATTCTTCTGTCTCAGCCTCCCAAGGAGCTGGGATTACAGGCACATGCCACCATGCCAGGCTAATTTTTGTATTTTTAGTGGAGACAGGGTTTCACCATGTTGGCCAGGCTGGTCTCAAACTCCTGACCTCAGGTGATCCACCCGCCTCAGCCTCCCAAAGTGCTGGGATTACAGGCATGAGCTACCATGCCAGGCTGAGAAATCCCACATGTTCTCATAGCTCACTTATGCTCATAACTACTTTAAAATTATGGTAATTATTAGACTCATCACTAGATCTTGTTATTTAATGCATTAATAAAGAAGTACTTGTATTACTAAATCACACATTTGTTTTTAAAATATTTTGGTAACTATATTTCAATATATTTGGTTTTCTTTAGAATCCAATGTCTTTCATTTTATTTCATGCATTTAAAACACTTCCTGAGAAGGGATTCATAGACTTCACCAGCCTGCCAAATGGGTCCCTGCAACTATAAAGGCCAAGGGTGCCTGCTCCAGATCCTCTGGTAGCCCAAGCCAGCTATTTCACCCCTTACCCTCCAAACCTGCCTCCAAATTTTTCCTTTCCTGTCCTACTGCCTCCTTTCTTTTCTCCTGTGGGACCCCTAGGCTACCAAAAACAAATCCCCCTCCATCTTCTCCTCAGCATCCCAATCTGCCCAATGGAGGGCTTGGATTAAGTTGGTCTGTAAGTTTTAACACTCTCTGACTCTAAGTAGAAGAGAAATGGAGGTCACAGGAGGCATTTTTAAAAAATTAATCTTTCGGCTGAGCGCTGTAGCTCATGCCTGTAATCCCAGCACGTAGAGAGGCCAAGGCAGGTGGAACATGAGCTTGAGTTCAAGACCAGCTTGGCCAACATGGTGAAACCCCGTCTCTACTAAAAATACAAAAATTAGCTGGGCATGGTAGCTCACACCTGTAATCCCAGCTACTTGCGAGGCTGAGGCAGGATAATCACTTGAACCCAGGAGGTGGAGGTTGCAGTGAGCCAAGATCACACCATTGCACTCCAGCCTGGGCAACAAGAGCAAAACTCCATCTCAAAAAAAAAATAATAAAATAAAAAATCTTTCTGACACTTTCAGAGGAGTGAGAGAGTAAGGATACAGCCAATCCATACTCCAGGCTTTCCTACCTGTCATACCAGCTGTAGGTAATGCTACTCAGGAATGAAGCTATGGATGATGGATTCTGAAAGACACAAAAAAATCGAAATGTAAACCAATTGGAGACAGGAACTTCATGGGACTCTAAAATCAGAAACTGATTTTTTAATGATATAATGTTGTGCTAGAAACTAGATATGATGTTAAAGTCAGCTTATCAACATGTGTTTATTTGGAGACCCTAAAGCCACTAGTAGAATGATAATCAGATTTTCTGGCATAGATATATGAATGAATTAATTACACTGACAATTGGTAGGTGAAAGTAAAAGTCAGTATTTTACTCTCATCACTATCTGTTTCCTTGTCATAAAATGGTCTGTACTACCTTATTCTGGGCTTGTGGCGCCTCCGTGAGACCCAGACATCTTAAAGTTATATTCATTAAGATATCATCCAATTAAGTAATATATGAGATGGGCATATTTAGAATCTCACATTTGATGACTCATTATTTTCTGAAAATGCTGAAAAGATCAGGATCAGGATCTGGAATCCGTAGGAGATGAAGAACAGGCAGGAGTAGGCTAGATTAGAATTGTCACCCTATGAGGAAAAAAACAAAGAGGAAAAATGAGCCTTTTGTCCAAAGGAAGTCTACATGGCCCGTATATATCAATGCTTGTGATTAAAGCCTATGATCAAATCCCTCTAATACAATTCGATCCTGGAGCTCAACTTGATGCCATTTACTATGAGTTAGAGGTTGCCCCATGGTACCTCCTCATGTCATCCACTCTTTTTTTCCTTACCTGTAAGAGTGTCCGGATCAGAGTCTGAAATTGGAAAGTGCCACAGAGTATCGAGAGAATCCAGAATAGGGACAGGAACCAGGAGTTTTTCTGTACACACCATTGTCTGCTGTATTGGATCAGCAAAACCAGGAGCTGGAGAGAAATTCACATGATGTTCTGAAGAATACTGCCACTAACCGAGGACTGAGGGGAGAAGGATGTCAGAGAACATGGGAAGAAAGGAGGGCTGAGGGAGGAGACTGTCGTGACTAATCTGGCCAGGTAGAGAGCACACAGATGCCAGGTTGAACATGTCACCCCCATGCCATCCAGCTTTTTCTTTTAGTGCCTCATCTCCATGGACCACACTTGAGTGGGATGTTAGCCAAGAATGTAGAAGGTCACTATCTGCATTTTAGTGGAGTTACTTTGAGAGCTAGAAAAACCTTTCCAGGACCCATGAAAATTAAATTCAGACATTGCAGTAGTAAGGTCGGAAGGCAGGTTCTAATTAATTAGGTGCAAGGTGTCTGTAGCTTGATTTTCTAATATAAGATTAAGCAATTAATTTTTTTAAAAAATCTTGCCTTATACCATCTCACATTAGATATAATAAATTAAATGTTGATTTCCTAGACCTAGCTGTGCTCCTAAAACAGCATTCTGGTGGGGAAAGAGCCATGATTTATAACATTTGCCCAGGAAGGATTGTGCCGAGCACATGGTCTAAAGGAGCCACTGCTACTGAGGCCCAGCTGACATTGCTCTGCCTGAACGTAGGTTTGCGATTGCCAGACATTTTGATTTTTCAATAAAGTTTGAAAGTTCAAATAATTATGTGTCATTAGTTGCCACTGAATTGATGGCAATTAATTCAATTGCTATTTAAACACTGTCTAGGCCCCACCCCCTGAAAAAATGCCTGCAAGAGAGACATTAGTTTTTTGATATCAAGTTTATATAAACTCTAAGCTCACTGATCCATTGTTTAAAGTCATCAATCAATTTAAAAACAATATTTACAGATTTAAAATATTGTTTTACATCAAGAAACTTAGCTCTCTTCTGTGACCCTTAGATGGCAAGATGTGCGGACATAAGATATACATCTTAGTCATGAAAGCTAATACTTAACCTAGGAAGAAGCCTCTATACATTAATGCTCAAATGAAGATGAAAAGCTAAAATTTGTTTCACCCCATTCCAACCAAGCTTTGCCTCACTATGGATCCCGCGAAAAAGACAGATGACCTTGGAATTAATTTCATCCCCAAAGAGTACATTTCACCTAGATGCCTATGGGTAATGAAAAGGTAAACAGGGCAGAAGTGGTATAGGTCTTACCCATGTGCCTAGGTAGAGGCTTGGATTGGTATATCGAACAGCAGGGACTGTGGCTTGTCCAGAGTCTTCTGTGAGTACAAGGGCCAGCTCTATGGCTGCTAGAATAAGAAGAAAACCAACGAATACCTGAGAAGGGAAAAAGACCACTGTTAAGAGGATATCATTCTTTATAAGGCTCTTAGAACAGAATGGTTTCCGGTGATGGATAGGAAAAGCGGTATGCAGTGATTCAGATAACACAATAAATATTTCTGGAAAGAATGGATACATACAGTTCAAGTGATAGAATAATGTTCAAAGTATGCCATGATCATTGTTTTTGAGGAATGCTGAGTGTGAAGTTTTAAAATATGTCTGCAGATTTTTTGATATTCCTCTCTTCAAAGAGCAGAGCTTAATTCCCTCTCCCTTGAGTGTGGGCTGGGGACTTAGGGATGTACTTCTGGTGAATAGAAAATGGCAGAAGTGACAGCGTGTGACTTCCAAGGCTAGGGCATAAAAAAGCAATGTGGATTATTTCTCCTTGTTCTCTGTCTCCGATTGCTCACTCTGGAGAAAGCTACCAGTCCAGTCATGAGGACACTCCAATAGCTCTTTGGAGAAGTCCACTTGGTAAGGAACTGAGACCTTCCGCCAACAGCCAGTGAGAAACTGAGGCTTCCTGCCACCAGCCATGTGACAGTCGTCTTAGAAGCAGATCTTTTAGCCCCAGTCAAGACTTCACATGCCAGTAACCCCAGACAGCTCATATGAACTTCAACCTCCTGAGAGACCTTGAAGCAGAACCTGGGTAAGCTGCTCCCAAATTCTTGATCCACAGAAACTGTTAAGATTTAAAGAATTCTCTTTTAGCTGCTAAGTTTTGGGGTATTTTGTTATATAGCAACAGAAAGTACTAGGTTTAAAAGGCACTATTCCCTTTCTTAGGCCATAGGTTTTTTGTTTTTGTTTTGAGACGGAGTCTCACTCTGTTGCCCAGGCTGGAGTGCAGAGGCGCAGTCTCGGCTCACGGCAACCTCCACCTTCTGGGTTCAAGTGATTCTCCTGCCTCAGCCTCCCGAGTAGCTGGGATTACAAGTGTGCGCCACCACACCTGGCTAATTTTTGTATTTTTAGTAGAGACAGGATTTTACCATGTTGGCCAGGCTGGTCTCAAGCTCCTGATCTCAGGTGATCTGCCTGCCTCGGCCTCCCAAACTGCTGCGATTACAAGCATAAGCCACCACACTCAGCCCCAGTCTTGATCCCAGACAATGCCAATCAGTATTTGTCCTATGAGCTCAGAAGACATGATACACATTACACTGTTTTAAAGGCCCACATCCCCACCTATCAGGGGGAAAATTACTGCCTCCACTGAGTATACCATCATCTTAGCCATCAAAATGAAGATATTTATGTGGCACCATCTCCCCTCCCCTCATGCTTTTATGCCCCTATCCATCTACCCTTATTCATTCTTTTAAGTCTAATTTATCCAGAATGGCACAGGCAGAGATAATGGGCCCTTTGTAATGAAAACCAGCCAAGAAAGGAGATGAATGCACCTTTACTTTAACTAATAGGATCAGTGCTATTATTTAGTAAGGAGTAGAGTCAAAGACATGTTAATAACTGAAATGCATTTTTTCAAGTATATAATACACTATAGGGTGTTTTCCTCACAAGAGACTATGAGGTTTTGGGAAAAAAATGTAGCTTCATAGGCGGTAAGCTATGGTTGCCTTTAGGTAAATTAGGAGGTAAAATAGAGCAAGCTAGAGGTAAGGCACCTGCCCTTGGAGATGACTAGAGGGTACTAACCAGCAGCCTATTCCCCAGGCCAGGGAAAAGGAGGGGGTCTTGCCATAAGATTATATATATTAAACTCATATAATGGATTTGAAATACACTGAGCAGTTCATATCAAAAAAGACCAGTTAACTTTATAAAGAACTTCTACAAAGTAATTTTTAAAAATACCCTAATAACTCAATGTAAAAAAATGAGTATATAAATTAAATGGATTTAAAAAAACACAAAAGGCTTTTAAACATATGAACATGTGCTTAACCTCATTAATATGAGAATACAATTTGAAAGTATATATAATTTGAAACATAACATTTTTGCCTAACCAATTAGCAAACATCAAAAAATGTGATACAAAGTTGATGAGACCAAGGAAAGCCTCTTTGAGGGCAGTTTGCACTGTGTATAAAAATTCTGAGTTCACATATCCTTAACTCAGTCATTTCATTTTTGGGAATTTATCCTATAGACACACTTGTATACACAAGTATATACAAAGCTGTGTATGGCAGCATTGCTCATGATGCAAAATATTAGAAACCAATGAAATTCATGTCATACAGGACACATAAATTATGGTACATTCAAATAACAGCATCTCAAGGAATCATTACAAAGAAAGAAGCAGACCTTTTGTGGGATTGAGCTGGTTGTCTCCCAGTAATGTGGAGGGGACTGACTTCATCCTGGCTTTTTGATACTTTTACATTTGGAGAAATTTTACATATTTCTCTAAGATATTCTACCTAGATACTTAAATCTTAAAGCCTTAGCCATTTTTACAGTCCAGCTCTTTAATTTTCCTCCACCTTTCCTTTTCTTTCTTTTTCTTTTCCTTTTTCTTTTTTTTTTTTTTTTTGAGACGGAGTTTCGCTCTGTCACCCAGGCTGGAGTGTAGTGGTGCTATCTCACTGCAACCTCCGCCTCCCAGGTTCAAGTGATTCTCCTGCCTCAGCCTCCCAAGGAGATGGGATTACAGGTGTGAACCATTATGCCCGGCTAATTTTTGTATTTTTAGTAGAGATGGGGTTTCACCATGTTGCCCAGACTGATCTTGAACTTCTGACCTCAGGTGATCCACCCACCTCAGCCTCCCAAAGTGCTGGGATTACAGACGTGAGCCACTGCACCCGCCCCTCCCCGCTCCTTTTCAATAACATGAGTGTGAGTCCAGCTTGTCTCCAAAGCCTGCCTTATTCTAAAGCATCCAATTCTAGGGACTCTTTCACCAATGCCTGTGACTCGTGGCCCTGATGAAAGTTATCCATCCTTGCAAATGACATATGAGGAGGTGTCCCACTCAGAGGCTCTCTCATCTTCCTTCCTCCGTGGATCTATTTATTCAGGAAAGCTCTAATTCTTCCACTAGTCCCAGAGTAAAACTACACATTTCTGCAGAGAAGAGCACAGTGAAGAATGAAGATAAGATCCAGGAGAAGAAACAGAAGACCAGAATCATGTTCTCTCCGGCCCAGCTGTGTGTAATTAATGATGGATTTCAGAGACAGAAACACCGCAGCCTCCAGCAGCTGCAAGAACTTTCCAATACCCTGAATCTTAGCTACAAACAGCATACAAGCTAGTTACAGAGAATGAAAGCTAAGAGGTGGTAGAAAGCCAACTGACCAAAGAATAAGCAACAATATGACTCAGGGCTCAGCATCTACAGAATACCCAGGCCTCTACTCTTCCTACCACCAGGAATGCCTGGGGAACACATCTGGAAACCTTCCAGTGTGGATCAACCATTCCCAGAAAAGTCAGACTTGGCACCCAGAAGACTAGAACAACCAGTCCCGGAAAAATCGGTTTCATAACTGTGGGGAGGAATCTTGGTAGTCCTGCATGCAGCTCCAGCGAAATTCTCCTGCCAGTTTTTGGAAGCTGTCTTGGAAACTGCTGGGGAAAGCTATGATGTAATACAGCAAACCACTAAGTATTTCAGTGCTTCACAAATCATAGGTTTATTCCTAAATTACTCCATGAACATGCAGCCTGAAAACGTGTGGAGATGAATATATTAACTCGATTTTAGTCTGGGTAGTGGCGGAATTCTTCCTTTTTCCCTCCCTCCCTCATAGGATTTTTCTTGTTTTACAGCTCTGTATTCTGCCTTGATATACTGGTTTTCATTGTACCTATTGGGTCTATTTGGGGGTGGGATATGACTGAAGTCTAATCAAAGAGGTTTCAGTAACCTTGGCTGCATGGTGGTATCAGTACGAGTTTGGCTGCTTAGGTACAAATGAATAAAATATCCACAAAAAGAGAGAAAAATGCAGATTTTTATGTGCTAAAATGGAAGGAGCTCTAAGACACAGAAAAGCACATATGGGACGCTAGCATTTGTGTGAAAAAATATATGTACGTAGCTGTTTGTAAAAGCACAGGCTATTTCTGGAAGGAGATATGAGGAACTGGTATCAATGGTTGCCAACTAAGACATGAATGAGTGACTAGAGTACTGGGTACCCTTTTGTCCTTTTTTTTCTTTTTTTTTTTGAGACAGGGTCTACCTCTGTCGCCCAGGCTGAAGTGCAGTGGTGTGAACATGGCTCACTGCAGCCTTGACCTCCTTGAACTTGTCAAGTGATCTTCCCACCTCAGCCTCCCGAGTAGCTGGGACCACAGGCACATGCCACCATGCCTGGTGAATTTTTTTAATTTTTTGTAGAGATCGGTCTCACCAAGTTGGCCAGGCTGGTCTCGAAATGCTGGGCTCAAGCAATTCTCCCACTTCAGCTTCCCAAAGTGTTGGGATTACAGGCATGAGCTACTATGCCCAGCTCCTTTTGTACTTTTTGAACTTTGTGATCCTCTGAGAATTATCCGTTCAAAAGATAAGTTAAATACACTCACACCCCCATTAAAAAATAAGGAAGTGATATGAACAGACAATTCGCAAATGAAATACACTTAACAAATTAAAAAAACAATTGCGTTAGTATTCATAAAAATGCAAAGCAACTCAGTGAGATGTCATGTTTACACATAAAAGTTGAAAATAACTCAATGCTGACAATGGTGCAAGGACATGCACTTTAACACACTGTTGGCAGGAATCTATGCTGGCAGCCTGCCTGGGCGACAGAACGAGACTCCGTCCCCCCAAAAAAAGGGGTAAAATATCAATACATGGTATAGCAATGGTACAGCATAGATAAACCTTGAACACATTGTGCTAAGTGAAAGAAGCCAATCAAAAAAGAACCATATTATATAATTCCATTCATATGAAATGTCTAGAACAGGGAAATCTATAAAGACAGAAAAGAGATTTAGCGGTTGCTAAGGATAAGGGGAAGGAGGAGACGGGGTTAAAGATAATGAAATGTTCTAAAATTGACTGTGGTGATGGTTGCACATATGTGTTAATATACTGAAAAAAACTGAATTGCATTTTTTTTTTTTTTGAGACAGAGTCTGAAGCTGGAGTGCAGTGGCACGATCTTGGCTCACTGTAACCTCCACCTCCCGGGTTCAAGTGATCCTTATGCCTCAGCCACCTGAGTAGCTGGGGTTACAGGTGTGTGCCACTGCACCAGGCTAATTTTTTTTTTTTTTTTTGAGACGGAGTCTTGCTCTGTCACCCAGGCTGGAGTGCAGTGGCATGATCTCAGCTCACTGCAACCTCCACCTCCCAGGTTCAAGCAATTCTCTGCCTCAGTCTCCTGAGTAGCTGGGATTACAGGCGTCCGCCACCATGCCTGGCTAATTTTTGTATTTTTAGTAGAGACGGGGTTTCACCATGTTGGCCAGGCTCGTCTCGAACTCCTGACCTCGTGATCCACCCACCTCGGCCTCCCAAAGTGCTGGGATTACAAGCGTGAGCCACCATGCCCAGCCGAATGTTTTTGTATTTTTAGTAGAGATGGGGTTTCACTGTGTTGGCCAAGCTGGTCTCAAACTCTTGACCTCAAGTGATCCACCCACCTCGGCCTCCCAAAGTGTTGGGATTACAGGCGTGAGCCACAGCATCCGGCCTGAATTGTATTAAATGAGAGAACTGTATGGTATGTACATTATATCTCAATAAAGTATTTTGTAAAAGAGTTAACTAATAGCTTTTATTAGGATGGGATATTGGTTTGCTCATTAACCAGCTTCTTCTTGGAAGCTCCAGAAAGTAGAAGAAGCCTCCCAACTTGATTGCTTCTAACCTCGAACAATGACTCAATTCCAAGGGTACTGAGAATGTTATTAAATGTTCAGAGTTGTTTAATGTTCAGAATGTTCAAAGTCTAACATATGTTTCTTTCCTTTTTATTTTTATTTTATTTTATTTTTTTAAGAGATGGGGACTCACTATGTTGCCAGGCTGGCCTCTAGTGATCCTACCACTTCTAGCTTCCAGAGGAACTGGGATTACAGGTATGTACCACTGAGGTCAGCTCTAACCTACTCTTGAATCAACCACTATTCCCAGAATGCATTTAACACCAACATTCAACAAATGTTGTATTCCAGTGGGAGTGTTTGAAACATGCTAGGTCCTGTGATGGGCACTCAGGTCAACAAGGGAGACAGTGACACTGTCCCAAGCTCTGAGACTGTTCTTTTTTGAATCAGAATCTAATAAAACCCACGATCAACCCCAACCTCAAAGTGTCAAGGTGAAATCCACTTCCTTTGGCCAAGCTCTTTCCTCCTTTAAGATTCCAGGTAACCTGAGTCATTGTTAGGTATGCTAGTAGAACAATGGAATCTAGTTTGCCTTTCTAAAAACCTGTTGAAAGATAAGGACTGACAGAGGCTGTGCAGGTGGCTCAGGCTTGTAATCGCAGCACTTTGGGAGGCCAAGGCAGGAGGGATCACTTGAGGTCAGGAGTTCGAGACCAGTCTGGCCAACATGGCGAAATCCCGCCCTACTAAAAATACAAAAATTAGCTGGACATGGTGGCGTGCTCCTGTAATCCCAGCTACTCGGGAGGGGTTGAGGCATAAGAATTGCTTGAACCCAGGAGGTGGAGGTTGCAGTGAGCCGAGATAGTGCCACTGCACTCCAGCCTGGGCAACAGAGTGAGACTCCATTTAAAATGGTAGTAATAATGATAATAAGGAGAGATAGAAAAAAAAATAGTGAAAAGAAGCAGATGGAAGATTTTATGAGATAATTTTACAACCTCGAATGAGGGTCTTGGGTTCCCACAAGACCCTTCCCTGAGTGAGTTGGTGCAGCTGGCTGAGGGCTCCTCCCCTCCTGGCCCCTCCTGGGCCTCTCCCGCAGACCTGTCCTTTCCATTATTTCCCTACTCGTGCTTGTCACTGTGCACACTTACCCCTCCTCCTTCTACTGTGAGTGATCATCCTGACTCATCAAATATGCGGGGAAAATGGAAACCTTATTTCGGACCCAAGTTTTTGAAGATGAGTGATAGTTGGATTGCCTCAGTGGGGCAGGAGATCCATTATCTAGCTCATTTTCACGAGGTAGATGCCAACTGAATTACAGTCCACTGATTTATTAGAGCTGTTTAAAGACAGGTGATCCAGTGTTCATTTCTCAAATGCTATAAAGATAATTTGATTGATTATATGCCCTTTGTGTTTAGGGAACCCAATATCCACAAGAATTAAGAGTCACCATTCTTATGCAAAAATCAAAGCCACTTTGATTTAAGAAATGCAGCAAGGGACCCGTGAGGGAAACCTTGAGCCTGGCTCTACCTGAGACAATGGCACCTGGGACAGCTGCTTAAAGACAAGGAAGAGAACACTAACCACCAAGAAAATGTCTCTACTGTGCACCAAGGAATTAGAGTTCAGAAACAGTGGTGTTAACTTTACCTGCTTAGCAAGATAGAGTTTGGTGGTAGAGGATCTCTTGGTCCTGGATTTATACACGTGGAGAAGCTGCCAGGGGGCCAGGAGCCATAGGTAGCCCAAGGGAATCCACACCAGAACAGTTTGCTCAAAACAAAGTGGCAGGTCTGCCTCCGGACTGTCCAGGAATGAGGAATTCTGGAGACCAAAGGGGAAGGATTGTTGCATACATGCATTGTGAAGACAGAAAACCACCCTGCAGCACATCCCACTGCTTTCACACAATTTAAATTCAACTCCATATCCATATCCAGCCTTACCCTTTAACTATCCGTATTTTCCTATTTGTGCACATGGATACAAATTCACCATTTAATGACAAATGTAGTCACTTTCTGGCCAACCCACCCTCCAAAAACGTGTCTTCTTGTGATTCTAAGTGAATTTTGTACCAGCTATTCTGAGTAAACCTCACCACTGCATTTGCCAAATTATAGGATGAAGAAGGACTGTTCCCCAGTTTAAAGGACAGAATAGTTCCCTGGGATATAAAAAATTATTCAAGTTTCTAGCACTAACTGAACTCACTGGCAGATATTCAAACATGCAGGCGCCATGCAGGGAGAATGCTTAGTCATACTGTAACATTTGCTCTCTGATGGCCCAAAGCGCTTACATTAAAAACCTGGCCAGTTTCAGCACAGCAGTGACAACAGCATTGTTGGACAGAAGGCTTCCAACCAGCAAGTTTTGTGCAGTCTTTGCATTCTGCGATAAATGGAAGTGTCTTGTGAAGTGGAAGTTGGGGGGTGGGGGGTGGGCACCAATTCTTGTATCTGAGTCACATGAGTGTGGATTTTTCTTTTCCTATAAATAGTTAAAAATTGTTTTATATGATTATTTATACAGACTCTTTAAAGAATTGCTTGCGATGCCCTGACCAAGAAAGTTTGTCAGGTAGTTCTCAGAAAGAATTCTCAAGAGATGGCCTGTCTAGATACTATAGCCCATGAAGATCCACCTTGCCGTGGTATACACTCCTGGCCTCGAGGGTCTTGGGACCCAGGTCCTTTCTAAGACACGAGGTGCTGCCCAGGTGCTCTGCTATCTCATCCCTGCCCCTCTCACCTCTATATAAGGTTATCAAATGTTAGAATTCAGAAGAATCACTTAAGATACTTAAACTACATTTATTGCCCCAGGTGATTCTGATGCTGAGGCTAGGAGTTTGCAGATGATACTTTCTCACCAAACCCTTACTAAAATCACTAAATCTAAGGTCCTTTTTTGTTTTCTATTCCACTAGACCTTTGATACTGTTGATTGGCCCCTATCTTGAAATTTTTTGCTATCTATGACTCCGTAATGTTACACTGTTCTTGTTCACCCTCTAAGTGGTGTCTCTTCTTTTCCTTAAAAACAATATTACCCAACTCTAGTTGTTCAAAAATTATTTCAATGCTCATGATGCCCAAAGTTGCATCCCTAGACTCAACTTCTAGTCCATATCATTAGTTGCCAGTTCTAGAACTTATCATTATCATTTCAACATCAACATGTCTCAGCAAGACTCAGTCACGGATCTTCTCTTCCTTCTACTAGCAAAGTATGCAACAACAATTCTCCTTCCTCACACGGATTAAATTGGAAGGTTTTTACCTGTTTCTCTTTAGAGAAGGCAATTTTGCGACTAGCTAGTACAAGAGTCTGATATAAAAAAACATATGACAGAGAATAATTTGCATTACATTTCCCAGATCTTATATCCTCTGGAGATATTATGAATTATGCTTTCTAAAAAGCCTGAGCTTTAGACCAATTGCACATCTAACATTTCTGGTTCTTGTTGGTGACCACCCTAAGTTAACTAACTACCACTTGTTCTGAGTCTGAGAAGAGTCAATATGAAGATAAATGTAATTTCTCACCCAAAAAGTAGAGTTGCAGAACTTCTCCAGCATGATTCCTGGACTGCGTCTGGAACGAAGACTCTTCTATTAATATGATTGTGTTGTTTCTTCTTTACTTGTTTCATCAAAGAAAGTGGAACAGGAATTATCTACCATTCTGATGTTCTCCGTAAAGGATGACCTTTCATCCCAACCATTTAATCGTTAACCTTGCCTAGATGCATGTTACATTGAAACAGTGGATGGACATGTGACTAAAAAGCCCTAGGGACAGGGAGACTCACCAGTTCCCAAAGTACAAGAGGCCTCTGTAGGAGTGGCCATACATAAAAGGAACCACTGAAAGATGTCAACAGAGCTGGCCAACAAATCAAGAGTGCACAGTCTTTCATTTTCCTAAGGACATATGACCCACAAAGGGCAGCATCAGTAGAGGGGCAGGCACCCCTAAATGTGCAGTTTCGCTTCTGCTGCAAGATCTTAGAGTTTATAGAAATGTGAAATATCCTTCTTCCTTAGATTTTTAATTAAAAATATAGAATCTAAAACATGGTTTAAACATGATGTAAACTTTCTTTGAAGAAGTCAGGTTATAAAATAGCTTATCCAGTGTGAGCCTATATGTTATATACATAATACAGGCTTTCAAAAGTTCTATTTGCCTGAGAGGTAGTATGCCAAATGGGAATGAAGCCTTTGCCAGGCATTGTAAATATGATATCATGATAAAACATCAGGGCCAGAGGAGAGGGGTGATTCTGTAAACAGAGTGGTGGCATCAGTCGCTAGAAACTGTCATCGACCCAACCTTTTCTTTTTTTGTTATTGTTTTTTGTTTTTTGAGACAGGGTCTTGGTCTGTTGCCTGAGCTAGAGTGCAGTGTTGCCATCATGATTCATTGCAGCCTTGACCTCATGGGTTCAAGCGATCTTCCTGCCTCAGCTTCCTGAGTAGCTGGGACTACAGGCACATGCCAACAAGCCCAGCTAATTAAAAAAATGTTTTCTGTAGGGACGGGGTCTCACTATGTTGCCCAGGCTGGTCTCAAACTCCAGGCTTCAACAATCCTTCTGCCTTGGCCTCCCAAAGGGCTGGGATTGCAGGCATGAGCTACCGTGCCCCACCTGACCCAACCTTTTGTACTGTCACTTAAATTGCTTTAAGAACATGCTTTTTTCATGATATCATGAACCACCCATGCGGTATCCTAGCTAAAACATAACCACCCATGCAGTATCCTAGCTAAAAAAAATTGGCCTTAAATCTGGTCAAATTCTAGATCTAACTACCGGATTATAAGAAACACAGGAACATGCTAAAGGACTCCATTGGAATGCAATTGTCAAAATCCAGAATGTGGGAGATTCTATAGTGCAAATGATTCCATTTTTTAATAAATAAATTAAAAGAAGGAAAGGAGTCAAAGGAACTTACAAATTACAAGAGAATCAAGAGGCATATCAGCCAAATGTGAATTGTATGGACCTTGTTACTGATTTTAAAAGTCAAGTATACACATAAAAAAAATGAAAAGGCAGCATTCAGTGTGGGAGAAAATATTTGCAGACCATATAACTGATGAAGAGTTAATATCCACAATATACTATAAGGAACTCATACAACTCAATAGCAAACATACACTAACAAATTAAAAAGTGGGCAAAGGACTTGAACAGACACTTTTCCAAAGAAGACATATAAATGGCCAACAGGTATATGACAACTGAATCAACTTCACAAGTCATCTGGAAAACACAAATCAAAACCACAGTTAGATACCACCTCATACCTATTAGGATGGCTATTACAAAAAAAAAAAAAAAACAACAAGATAAGTGCTGGCAAGGGTGTGGAGAAAAGGGAACCCTAGTATACTGTTGATGGAAATGTAAATTGGTCTGACCATTATGAAAACATATGGCAGTTTCTCCATCATTTTCCATACCACTCACCAGAAGAGCCAGGAAAGGTCAGCTGTGGAACTAAGAGATCTCACTTGGGGCAGGGTGCACCTTTAGGCTGCATACTTCTCTTGGCACTGGTGGTAGGACTCGGAGTCCGGGGGAACTCTTGGTAAAACTTTGAGAAATATAAGGTCAAGGATTAACACCTAATTTTCTTTTTTTAATTTTTTTGTAGAGCCTCAAACTCCTGGGCTCAAGCGATCCATTCGCCTCGGCCTCCCAAACTGCTGGGATTACAGGCATGAGCCATCGTGTCTGGCCTAAACGTTCTAAGTAATCAAAAAAAGAGAGGGTGGAGAATCTAAATGTTCATCAAAACAAGTTGCTTAAAGTATAAAATATGTACTCATAGGGAATATTGAATGAGAAAAGCAAGTAAGGAGCCAGGAAGTCATGAATCTTTCCTAACAATAACTAAAAATCTGAACAAATAGAAAAATCAATAACTCTTCTTAGATCTGTAGAGAGATAAGGTTACAGGGCAAACTGAAGAGATAAACAAGAGAATATCAAAAATCACAATTTACTGGCGCAGAAATCTCAGCAGGGGCCGGGCGCGGTGGCTCACGCTTGTAATCCCAGCACTTTGGGAGGCCGAGGCGGGCGGATCACGAGGTCAGGAGATCGAGACCACAGTGAAACCCTGTCTCTACTAAAAATACAAAAAATTGGCCGGGCGTGGTGCCGGGCGCCTGTAGTCCCAGCTACTCGGAGATGCTGAGGCAGGAGAATGGCGTGAACCCGGGAAGCGGAGCTTGCAGTGACTTGAGATCACGCCACTGCACTCCAGCCTGGGCAACAGAGACACTGTCTCAAAAAAAAAAAAAAAAAAAAAAAGAAAAAAGAAAAGAAATCTCAGCAGGAACCAGGGCTAGGGCAGGAAAACCTGAACTGTAATTGAATTGCCGGAGGCCCAGTGTAGATAAGTTTGAGAGAGAAAAATTCCAGAGTGACTCAGCCATAAGGAGGGGATGATCTCCACACTTTCATGAGTTTACCCATAGGAATTCAAAGAGGTTCTCAAATATTGTTCTCTTTTTATTAGAGAAAAATCTCCTCCTGCTTCCATGTCCCTGGCAGAGGGGATAGGAAAAGTAACCATTTGAAATATACCTGGACACTCTATTCTTCTCTTCTAAACAAAGTCTGCCCTTGGGAAAAACTGTTTAAATAGAGCCTAATGCTCTTGATTTATAGGAGCCTAAATGATGCCGGAGAAGGGAAATAAGAACTCCAGTCTCTTCTAGCCTTCCACATGAAAACTGAAAATACCCAGCTGCAGCCCACTCTAGCCATCACGTCCCACCTAACAGGGATCGGGGCAGATAGGAACTGAGAAGCACTTGTGAAATTCAGTCTAGAGACACAGGTTTACTAAAAGACTGAGACCTCTTCACAGAACTATAGAACTCTTCCTCTCCCCCTCCCCCACTGTATACCACACTACTAAAGGTCTAGTTACAGCACTTCCTTTTACTCCGTATATCCTGTCCAGCTATGAAGAAAACATTGCCAGGCATACTAAAAGGCAAAAAAAAAAAAAGAAAAAAAAAAGGCTTTAAAGAGACAGAGAGCAAGCCTCAGAACCAAACTCAGATATGACTGGGATGTTGGAATTATCAGACCAGAAATTTAAAACAACTATGATCACAATGCCAAGGGCTCTAATGGATAAAGTAGACAGCATACAAGAACAAATGGGTCGATGTAAGCAGAGAGTTTAAATTCTAAGAAAGAACTAAAAAGAAATAAATACTAGAGATCAAAAACACTGTAATAGAAATAAAGAATGCCTTTGATGGGCTTTTTGGTAGACTGAACAAGGCTGAAAACAGAATATTTGAACTTGAAAATAACTGCCAAAACTGCAAAAATAAGTAAGACTATATAAACAGAATCTCCAAGAACTATGGGACAACTACAAAGGGTATAACATATGTGTAATGGAAATAGCAGGAAGAGAATAACCAGAGAAAGGAACAGAATAAATATTTGAAGCAATAATGAAAGAGAATTTCCCTCATACTAATTTCAGACACCAAATCACAGATCACAGAAGTTGAGAGAACACCAAGTAGAACAAATGCCAAACAAACAAACAAAAGCCCTACAACCAGGCATGCATATATAAGTTGCAGGAAATCAAAGATAAAAAATTCTGAATGAAGCCCGGGGAAAAAGACCTTACTTGTAGAGGAGAAAAGATGAAAATTATGTCCAACTTTTCCTCAGCAAGCATGCAAGCAAGAAGAGAATGGAATGAAATATTTACAGTGGTGAGAGAAAAAAGCCACCAACAGCCAGCATTCTGTACCCACAAAATTATTCTTTAAAAGTAAAGAGAAGCCAGGCACAGTGGTGCGTGCCTATAGTCCCAGCTATTCAGGAGGCTGAGGTGGAGGGATTGCTTGATCCAAGAGTTTGAGTCCAGCCTGGGCAGCATAGTGAGACACTCTCTCTCTCTCTCTCTCTCTCTCTCTCTGTCTCTCTCTCTCTCTATATATATATATAAAATAATAATAAATACATAAATACATTCTCACACAAACAAAGACTGAGGGAATTTGTTGCCAGTAGACCTGCCTTGCAAGAAATGTTAAAAGAATTCCTATAGAGGAGTGGTCCCCAACCTTTTTGGCACCAGAGACCAATTTTGTGGGGAATGGTTTCAGGATGAAACTGTTCCACCTCAGATCATCAGGCATTAGATCTCATAAGGGTGTGCAACCTAGATCCCTCACATGCACACTTCACAATAGGGCTCACACTCCTATGAGAATCACATGCCTCTGCTGATCTGACAGGAGGTGGAGCTAAGAAGCCTGCTGCTCACCACCTGCTGTGCAGCCCTAACAGGCCTTGGACCAGCACCAGTTTGTGGCCCAGGTGCTGGGGACCCCTGCTTAAGAGAGAAGGAAAATGATATAGGTCAGAAATTTGGATTTACATAAAGAAAGGAAGAGCACTGGAGAAGAAATAAGGTGAAATAAATTATTTAATTCTAACTGACCTAAAAAATAGCAGTTCACTCAAAATAATAGCAACAATGTATTCAATCATGCATATTTCTGTGTATATTTTTAAATGCTTATGTATAACAAAAATGAATGACAGCAAAGACATAAGGGATGGGAGGGAGAATTAGGATTATTTTGTTATTATAAGGTACTCGCACTACCTGTAAAGTGCATAGTGTTCTTTGAAAGTGGACTTGGATTCATTGTAAATGTGTATTTAAAACTCTATGGCTGGGATCCTGGGCACTTTGGGAGGCTGAGGTGGGCAAATCACAAGGTCAGGAGTTAGAGACGATCCTGGCTAACATGGTGAAACCCCGTCTCTACTAAAAATACAAAAATTACCTGGGCGTGGCGGCACATGCCTATAATCCAGCTACTCAGGAGGCTGGAGAATCACTTGAACCCGGAAGGTGGAGGTTGCAATGAGCCGAGACGGTGCCACTGCACTCCAGCCTGGCGACAGAGCTAGACTCCGTCTCAAAAAGAAAACCAAAAACAAACAAACAAACAAAAAACCTCTAGGGCAACTGCTAAAAATGTAAAAAAGAAAAAGAGGAAGTATAACTGATATGCTAAGAAAGAAGAGAAAATGTAATCATATAAAACAGTCAACTAAACCACAAAAGTGAAAAAAAGAGTGGAAGAAAAAATAGGAAAAGAGAACAAAGACAACAAAGAGAAATAGTCACCACAAACATGGTAGATAATAATCCAACTGTATCAATCATCATATTAAACATCAATAGTCATAATATACCAGGCAATGGAATATTATTCAGTGCTAAAAAGAAATGAACTATTGAGCCATGAAAAGATGTGTAGGAAACTTACATGCATATTATTAAGTGAAAGAAGTCAACCTGAAAAGGCTACATACTGTATGATTCCAACTAGACGGCATTCTGGAAAAGTCAAAACTAGGGAGACAGTAAAAAGATCAGAGGTTGCCAGGGGTTAGCAGGGAGGGAGGAATGAATAGGTGGAGCTCAGAGCATTTTTAGGGCAGTGAAATTATTCTGTATGATAACTATAGTTGTGAATAGATGTCATTATAAATTTGTCCAAACTCATAGAATAGAGAAAACCAATAGTGAACCTTAGTGTAAACTATGGGCTTTGTGTGATAGTGTTATGTCAATGTAGGTTCATCAGTTGACACAAATGTACCACTCTGGTGGGGGCTGGTGATAAACTGATGATGAGGGAGGCCATACATAATGGGGGCAGGGCATTATGTGAAGTCTCTATACTTTCTGTTCAATTTTGCTGTGAACCTAAAACTGCTCTAAGAAATAAAGTCTATTTTAAAAAAGCAAGTGGTAGAATAGTGTGATTCCATTTTGATTTAAAAAATTATGTATTTACACTTAACAGATTCAAACAATATAAACGTTGATTCAAATAAACTATTCACAGTGGTTATTCTTGGGGTGGGGGAAGGCAGGGGCTTCTGAGCCTTTCTTTTTTACATTAATGAATGTAAAAAATGAAATGAATGAATATGAAAGTTCCTGCAGCCCAAAATGGGTTCTAAAAGGACTGACAGAAGCATTGCAGAACCATGATCTGTAATCTTCTGGAATCACTGAGAATCATAAAAGCATCAAAAGATGGGACGAATGCCTTGATATTTTTAATAGGGATAGGAAGGCTGTACAATGAAACACTGCAAAACATAAATAAAGGAGTCAGGAAACCTGAATTCTAAACTTAGCTCTGCTGGTCCTATGTAAAAAGATTGATCCCAAATCTCCTCTTAATGGTCTCAAAACATCTCTTCTTAATGACTCAGTGTGGGTGTGCTGCAGTGTAAATCATGGATTGCACAGAGATAATTCAATAGAAAAGAATGACTCATCTACATGATTCAGGAGAAAATATGCTGTATCATTTCTATTTAGCAAGCAAATGTTAACTAATTAAGTTTTGCACTTAAATAACTTTGAAAAATCTACAAAAGTTCAATGTCCAAGATAAGCAGAGTGGTCCACTTTTGGTTAATCATTAGAGATAGATTTAATAAGGATTTTCATTCTTGTGTAGTATCTTGGAACACATATCCAAATTTAAGTGAGAACAGTAAAAACATTGTTTTCCCTTCACATTTTTTAAATTGAGCTAGTAATTCATGTTCCTATAAAAAATTAAAAACTGTAACTAGGAAATAATAAAATAATTACTCCCAAATTCTCCCCCCAAGAATAATATTAACATTTTTATACTTCCAAAACAAACAAAAATCTTTTTAGAGGCCGGGCGCAGTGGCTCATGCCTGTAATCCCAGCCCTTTGGGAGGCCGTGGCAGATGGATTGCCTGAGGTTGGGAGTTCGAGACCAGCTTGACCAACATGGAGAAACCCCATTTCTACTAAAAATACAAAATTAGCCAGGCGTGGTGGTGCATGCCTGCAATCCCAGCTACTCGGGAGGCTGAGGCAGGAGAATGGCTTGAACCTGGGAGGTGGAGGCTGTGGTGAGCCAAGATCATGCCATTGCACTCCAGTCTGGGCAACAAGAGCGAAACTCTGTCTCAAAAAAAAAAAAAAAAAAAATATATATATATATATATATATATATATATATATATATATATATATATATATATATATATAGTTTTGGAATATCCAGGGACCAAAAAAGACATACAGATAATTGAATTAACATGAATTTTAAAAAAAACTTTCTTCTATTGTAAAACTATTCTTCCTGTAATTATTAAAAATTGAAATACAGTGAAATTCTTTTGAATAAATTCAAAGAATATGTTAAATAATGAATGAACTCATTGAATTAGACTTAGGTTCTATAAAAAAGAGTTAACTATTCAAAGTTTTAGATAATTTTTACAAAGAGTATATACTTTTACAAATAATGAAAGTTATCAGTGGTACAGAATGATGTTCCTTGTATATTTAAAGGATAAACTTTTAACTTGTGACAAACTACCGCAAATGGGCTGAATTGTTCCGTATTTTTTGGGCAACAGGATATCAACATAGAAAATAAATGATTAGGCCGAGCACGGTGGCTCTTGCCTGTAAATGCAGCACTTTGGGAGGCTGAGGCGGGTGGATCACTTGCGGTCAGGAGTTCCAGACCAGCCTGGAGAACATGGCAAAACCCCATCTCTACTAAAAAATACAAAAATTAGCCAGGCGTGGTGGTGAGCTCCTGTAATCCCAGCTACTCAGGAGGCTGAGGCAGAGAATCACTTGAACGTAGGAGGCAGAGGTTGCAGTGAGCCGAAATTGTGCCATTGCACTCCAGCCTGGGTGACAGAACAAGACTCTGTCAAATTAAAAAAAAGAAAGAAAGAAAGAAAGAAAGATTAATTTAGGTCTTTACTTCATATCATCCCATACAGTACATCCTTGATAGGTCATAAAATACCAGAAAAAAATGAACTAACATAAAAAGATGCACTAGACAAAAAAATACTCTTCTGAGTACTGGAAACAAAGGATGATATTATAAAAGAGAAATATGTATACATAATTTTTAAAGAGAATGTTATAAAACAAATATTAATATTGAAAGCAGCCAAACTGAGAATATATCTGATATAAATAACATGGGGGGCAATATAAACAGTAAATTATCACATGGAAAAACATATAGATAGCTTCACAAGCAATTAAATACAAGTAAATTATCAAACATTTCGGAAAGAAACTGTTAATAGTGGTTAATTGCAGAAGAGCTAGAAGACTGAAAAAAATAAGCTAAAAAAAACCCCACACATATAAGGGCTGGATGCAATGTCTCACGCTTATGTAATCTCAACACTTTGGAAGGCCAAAGCAGGAGGATCACTTGAGACCAGCCTTGGCAACATAGCAAGACCCCAACTCTACAAAAAAAAAAAAAAAAAAAAAAAAAAAAAAATTAGCCAGTTGTGGTGGTGCATTTCTGTAGTCTCAGCTACTTGGTAGGCTAAAGGTGGAGGATTGCTTGAGCCCAGGAGTTTAAGGTGGCAGTGAGCTGATTGTGCCACTGCACTGCAGCCTGGGTGACAAAGCGAGATCCTGTCTCTATTTTTTTTTTCTTTTCAGAAAGCCCAGACCTTACAAGACACCTTGTCTCTCGATCTCTCTCTCTCTCTCTCAAAAGAAAGAAAGAGAAATATAAGATGGTGAATGTTGTAGGATATTAGCATATTAGTTCCCTGAAAGCATCACCAACACAACCTGTTGATCAAAACAATCTGTTGATAACACAAAGCTGTGTTTATTTTATTTTATTTTATTTTATTTTTTTTTTGAGTGTTTCTTTTTTTTTTTTTTTTAAATTTTTTTTTTTTATTATACTCTAAGTTTTAGGGTACATGTGCACATTGTGCAGGTTAGTTACATATGTATACATGTGCCATGCTGGTGTGCTGCACCCACTAACGTGTCATCTAGCATTAGGTATATCTCCCAATGCTATCCCTCCCCCCTCCCCCGACCCCACCACAGTCCCCAGAGTGTGATATTCCCCTTCCTGTGTCCAAGCGATCTCATTGTTCAATTCCCACCTATGAGTGAGAATATGCGGTGTTTGGTTTTTTGTTCTTGCGATAGTTTACTGAGAATGATGGTTTCCAATTTCATCCATGTCCCTACAAAGGACATGAACTCATCATTTTTTATGGCTGCATAGTATTCCATGGTGTATATGTGCCACATTTTCTTAATCCAGTCTATCATTGTTGGACATTTGGGTTGGTTCCAAGTCTTTGCTATTGTGAATAGTGCCGCAATAAACATACGTGTGCATGTGTCTTTATAGCAGCATGATTTATAGTCCTTTGGGTATATACCCAGTAATGGGATGGCTGGGTCAAATGGTATTTCTAGTTCTAGATCCCTGAGGAATCGCCACACTGACTTCCACAATGGTTGAACTAGTTTACAGTCCCACCAACAGTGTAAAAGTGTTCCTATTTCTCCACATCCTCTCCAGCACCTGTTGTTTCCTGACTTTTTAATGATTGCCATTCTAACTGGTGTGAGATGATATCTCATAGTGGTTTTGATTTGCATTTCTCTGATGGCCAGTGATGATGAGCATTTCTTCATGTGTTTTTTGGCTGCATAAATGTCTTCTTTTGAGAAGTGTCTGTTCATGTCCTTCGCCCACTTTTTGATGGGGTTGTTTGTTTTTTTCTTGTAAATTTGTTTGAGTTCATTGTAGATTCTGGATATTAGCCCTTTGTCAGATGAGTAGGTTGCGAAAATTTTCTCCCATGTTGTAGGTTGCCTGTTCACTCTGATGGTAGTTTCTTTTGCTGTGCAGAAGCTCTTGAGTTTAATTAGATCCCATTTGTCAATTTTGGCTTTTGTTGCCATTGCTTTTGGTGTTTTGGACATGAAGTCCTTGCCCACGCCTATGTCCTGAATGGTAATGCCTAGGTTTTCTTCTAGGGTTTTTATGGTTTTAGGTCTAACGTTTAAATCTTTAATCCATCTTGAATTGATTTTTGTATAAGGTGTAAGGAAGGGATCCAGTTTCAGCTTTCTACATATGGCTAGCCAGTTTTCCCAGCACCATTTATTAAATAGGGAATCCTTTCCCCATTGCTTGTTTTTCTCAGGTTTGTCAAAGATCAGATAGTTGTAGATATGTGGCATTATTTCTGAGGGCTCTGTTCTGTTCCATTGATCTATATCTCTGTTTTGGTACCAGTACCATGCTGTTTTGGTTACTGTAGCCTTGTAGTATAGTTTGAAGTCAGGTAGTGTGATGCCTCCAGCTTTGTTCTTTTGGCTTAGGATTGACTTGGCGATGCGGGCTCTTTTTTGGTTCCATATGAACTTTAAAGTAGTTTTTTCCAATTCTGTGAAGAAAGTCATTGGTAGCTTGATGGGGATGGTATTGAATCTGTAAATTACCTTGGGCAGTATGGCCATTTTCACGATATTGATTCTTCCTACCCATGAGCATGGAATGTTCTTCCATTTGTTTGTGTCCTCTTTTATTTCCTTGAGCAGTGGTTTGTAGTTCTCCTTGAAGAGGTCCTTCACAACCCTTGTAAGTTGGATTCCTAGGTATTTTATTCTCTTTGAAGCAATTGTGAATGGGAGTTCACTCATGATTTGGCTCTCTGTTTGTCTGTTGTTGGTGTATAAGAATGCTTGTGATTTTTGTACATTGATTTTGTATCCTGAGACTTTGCTGAAGTTGCTTATCAGCTTAAGGAGATTTTGGGCTGAGACGATGGGGTTTTCTAGATAAACAATCATGTCGTCTGCAAACAGGGACAATTTGACTTCCTCTTTTCCTAATTGAATACCCTTTATTTCCTTCTCCTGCCTGATTGCCCTGGCCAGAACTTCCAACACTATGTTGAATAGGAGCGGTGAGAGAGGGCATCCCTGTCTTGTGCCAGTTTTCAAAGGGAATGCTTCCAGTTTTTGCCCATTCAGTATGATATTGGCTGTGGGTTTGTCATAGATAGCTCTTATTATTTTTATCATGGTAAGGAAAAACACTACCTTGACATATGTTGGTCTTTTTACTATGAACTTATTTAAGTGCATAATAACAAATTCATTCTTATAATTTATATTTGGACTATTATTATAGATAGTTTTGTGAATTGAGAACATGAGAATGGCCAAATTAGTGGGCCCAAGAAAATTTGCTGAACAAATATCTTTAAGCCTACTGCCAAGAGTGTAAAATATGTATTTCTCTGTGTGTTTATATATGTTCAGACATACAAGTAGAAATTTTCAGAGTGCTTTTATTAGCACTTAAAATATTAGCACTGTAAAATATGTATTTCTCTGTGTGTTTATATATGTTCAGACATATAAGTAGAAATTTTGAGAGTGCTTTTATTAGCACTTAGCTTTTCAGCTAGTTTTTTTTTTTAACTTGTTGTTTTGGGACATATTTGAGAGAGATTACCAAGTGGTAATTTGCAAAAGGAGTTTGCAGTAAGAGGTCTACATCTTATTGAAAGAATATCTTACTTTGAGCTTAAATTATTTTACCATTGAGGTTGCATCCACAGAGCATCGAGTACAGTGCTGGGTACAAGGATATGGGCTAAAGTGTGCTATTCTCGTAATCATGACTTCTGACATGAGAGACAACTGTGTTGTATCATGTATCCAGGAGAAGGAGATTCTGTTTCTTTTGACCTATAAAGAAGGTAAGGGCCATTACTTCGGTATCTTGTAAGTGGACCCTTGTGAATGAGTTGAAAGATCTCCAAATAGGATCACTTATTTACAGGTGCCTTATCTTCACAGAAACTATAATTGACTTCTAAACAATTTCAAGGTACAAAGTACTTTATGAAGTCGACTGAACTCTGAGTGGCTTATGTAAGCTGTATGGTGGTTTAAAAGCCATTGAACTCAGCCAACCCAAATGACTTAACTAGTAAGATAGTTTTCCTAAAGATAGGATATCTCTTGCAAATGACTGTCATACTGTAACAGAGCTTTGGAAGGTTCTTAACCCTACTAACAAAGGTCACTAGCAACTGCTAGAGGGAAAATGAACTTATTCTCCAATTATATTAAAATTCTTCTAAAGGGTATACCCAACTTCGGCTGGGCATGGTGGCTCACGCCTGTAATCCCAGCACTTTGGAAGGCTGAGGCGGGCAGATCACTAGAGGACAGGAGTTTGAGACCAGCCTGGCCAACATGGTGAAACTCCGGCTCTAACAAAAAAAAAAAAATTAGCTGGGCATGGTGGCATGTGCCTGTAATCCCAGCTACTCAGGAGACTGAGGAAGAAGAATCACTTGAACCCAGGAGGTGAAGACAGCAGTGAGCTGAGGTCATGCCACTGTGCTCCAGCCTGAGCGACAGAGCAAGGCTTTGTCTCGAAAAATAAAAAATAAAAAAAAAAAAGGGTATAACCAACTCGAAGTGACTTGAATGAAAATACTTATTGGTTCAAATAACCAGAACCCACAAATAGACCAGTTCTCAGGCTTGACTTACTCTAGTGGCTCTGCTCCAACTTCCTCTCATTCTTTGTTTTGTTCTCTTTCGCCATCAGCGTAATCCTCAAATAGGTGGGTGAGATGGCTGCAACAGTTTCAGGACTCACACCCACACACCATAACATATAGTAAAAGACGGAAAAGGTCATTTTCAGTAGGTCTCCCAGAAGTAGAATCCACCAGCAAACTTCTCCTGGTATCTCAGTGGTGTAAATTCCTGAATCAATTCCTTACAAGGATGAGGTTACTCTTGGATTAATCAGGCCCATCCTGAAGCTGTGGTAAGGTCAGCCTTCCCTAAAGCACATGGGCTACATGGAAGAAGAGTGATTTCTAGGACAAAACCAGGGTTGGAAGAGAAGGGAGAGATGAAGTCTGGACAGGAAACCAATGATGTACGTTAGAAATAAACCTTTAGTTTTATTGTAGTCCAGATTCAGGACAATGTGGGAAACAATCTCTACTATTTATTGTCATATTGTAAAAAGAATTTGTAGTGGCTTAGAAAAACATGTAAAATATAACAAGATACAATGTGAGTGAAGAAAAAAAGAATAGAAAAAAGAAGATAAAACGAGGGACAAGCCCATTATACAAAATTCATTCAATAGGATCCTGTCCACTTGCTACATGTGGGCTGCAATTTTGACTCTGAGCTTCCTTCCTATGTACCAATGAAAGGAGGGAAACTTAATCAGAGACTATATCAGTGAGGCTTCTTTTGGTTGCAAGGGACAGAGATCCAAATCAAACTGGTATAAACAAAAAAATGAAAAAGAAAATGTATTGGCTAATTTAATAGAAAAGTCCATGAATGATCTAGCTTTAGGCGCAGATGGGTTCAGAGTCTCAAACAACATCCTTAGGACGTTTGCAACTGTGTTGGTTTCGTTCTCAAGTAGGCTCTTCCCACTTGGTGGTAAAAATGGCTACGAAAGCTCTAGACTTACATGGTCCTCATGACCAGTAACCCTAGCAAAAAGAGTGTCTCTTTCCTGACAGCTCCAGGAAAAGTCTTTCGTAGGATTCTGAACAGCCCTGTTTGTGTTGTGTTCCCAGCTCTGGACCAATGAATATGAACAAAGGAATGAGGCATTCTGACTGGCTAGCCAATTCCCCTCCCATGGGCAGGGGAATTAAATCTATGTGATTAACAGTCGCACCAGGAAAGCATCATTATTCAGGGGCAGCTTCAGAAAGGAAAAGAGCTAGGCAGACAAAAAAAAAAATGTCTTTATAATGATATAATTCCATATACAAACCAATTGTTCAGAAGCCCAGCTACTCCTCAGGCTAACACTTAAGAAAAACATTCTCTTCTAGGGCTCCAATGACACACCTATATAAATATTTTATACAGCTGTTTCTAATTTTTTTTTTTGAGATAGTGTTGCTCTATTGTCCAGGCTGGAGTGCAGTGGTGTGATCTCAGCTCACTGCAACCTCCAGCTCACTGCAACCTCCATCTCTAGGGCTTACGCGATTCTCCCACCTCAGCCTCCCCAGTAGCTGGGACTACAAGTGCGCACCACCATGACCAGCTAATTTTTGTATTTTTTTGTAGAGATGGGGTTTTGCCATGTTGCCCAGGCTCATCTCAAACTGCTGAGCTCAAGCGATCCACCTGCTTCAGCCTCCCAAGGAGCTGGGATTACAGGCATGAGCCACTGTGCCTGGCCTCGAATACATTTTCAGTATAGACTAGTGGCATAATGCCAATGTGGTCTGATATTTTTTAAAAAAATTCTGTGAGGAACCAGAGCAATACAATCCAAATACACAACATTGTGATTTTAAAGGATAAAATTTTTCATCTGCACAGGAATGGGTGGATTGAATATTTTCGTCACAACTCTTGGTTGTAGGGGAAAAAATATCCAATCAAACCAGTGTAGCCAGTTTACCGAAAGACGTAAACTAGAGAACAAATAAGAAATAGTATTTTGCTCCCACCTGTGTCTTCAACTGTGCCATGTGAAACTCTCTTCCCTTGTCTTTTTTTTTTTTTTTTTTTTTGAGATGAAGTCTCGCTCTGCTGCCCAAGCTGGAGTGCAGTGGTACAATCTCAGCTTGTGGCAACCTCTGCCTCCTGGGTTCAAGCGATTCTCCTGCCTCAGTCTCCCGAGGAGCTGGGATTACAGGCACGCGGCACCACGCCCAGCTAACTTTTTTTTTCTTTTTTTTTGAGACAGGGTCTCGCTCTATCATCCAGGCTGGAGTGCAGTGGCGCGATCTCGGCTCACTGCAACCTCCGCCTCCTGGGTTCAAGCGATTCTCCTGCCTCAACCTCCCGAGTAGCTGAGACTACAGGCGCGTGCCACTATGCCTGGCTAATTTTTTGTCTTTTTAGTAGAGACGGGGTTTCACTATGTTAGCCAGGATGGTCTTGATCTCCTGACCTCGTGATCCGCCTGCCTCAGCCTCCCAAAGTGCTGGGATTACAGGCGTGAGCCACACGGCTAATTTTTGTATTTTTAGTAGAGACGGGGTTTCACCATGTTGGCTAGGCTGGTCTTGAACTCCTGACCTCAGGTGATCCGCCAGCCTCGGCCTCCCAAAGTGCTGGGATTACAGGCGTGAGCCACAGCGCCCAGCCCCTTCCCTTGTCTTGACCACATCTCAAGGCAGATCCTACAGCTTTTTGGTCTCTCTCAGGTATAAAAAGGTCCAGGCTAATCTAATCTGAAACTTCTTTCTCACATCCATTTTTAAACAGCCTTATTAAGATGAAATTACATGCAATTCAACCGCTTGAAGTGTACAAGTCAATGGTTTTTAGCATATTCACAGAGTTGTGCAACCACTGCCACAACCAATTTGGGAACATTTTTATTACCCACCAAAAACATCGACAACAACAACAACAACAACAAAGCCAACATCCAATTTAAAGCTTCTCTCCTGTTCGAGAACAGCCTGGCCAGCACGGTGAAGACCCATCTCTACTAAAATCACAAAATTTGCTGGGTGTGGTGGCACGTGCCTGTAGTCCCAGCTACTCAGGAGGCTGGGGCAGGGGAATCGCTTGAACCCGGGAGGCAGAGGTGGCAGTAAGCCGAGATTGTGCCATTGCACTCCAGCCTGGGTGACAGAGTGACTTTGTCTCAAAAAAAAAAAAAAGGAAAAATAGTAGAGTAGAGATGTTCTTAAACTGCCTAAAATGTCGCTGAGGCTGCATATGCTTTATTTATATTTATTTGTTTATGTATTTATTTGTAGAGATGGGACCTTGCTATGTTTCTCAGGCTGGTCTGGAAGTCCTGGCCTCAGGAGATCCTCCCACCTTAGCCTCCCAAGTCACTGGGACTGCAGGCTCGTGCCACCATGCCTAGCACTGTTTTAGTTTTTAGATGCCATACACGTTTGTTTTTGTGGTAATTCTTAGCAAGAACTTTTTTAAAAGATGGGTCGCAGTCCTGTATGAAACCCACACAATCGTTCAGTGCTAACCGCTGGCAAGTTAGTTAACACCTCTAGACCACAACCACATGGCTGTGTAGTAGAGTGGTCACATGCATGTCGTGGACTCTGGATCTAGCTACCTGGGTGCACAGGACTTAAGTGCTCCGTCCCTCAGTTTCCCCATCTGTGAAATGGGGATGACTGAGCTAATACCACCTGCCTCACAGTTTGCAGCAGGGATTCGATGAGTGAACACTTGGACGGTGCCTGGAATAGTGCCTGGTTCCTAGGCAGCGTCCTGTGAGTGTTAAATAAAATATCTTTTCATGCTGATTTTCCTTTCTGCTTTGACATGCTGAGATTCTGTTTTAGCTGCAGGATGGTTTGAGTATGGCTTTGGTTTTCTATTAAAGCTTCTTTGATCTCTTAGCTCAACCATTTCAACAAAGCATATGGTCTCTGCTTGCAGGGGATCTTGTGTGGGTGCATTTTCTGGTGCTCTTTGATAAGGAGTGGGGTATGAACATTTGGTTTGGGCATGACAGCTTAATGACTTTCCACAATAACTTCTTATATCAAAGATTATTTCCCTTAAGCCTGGGAGTTGAAACAATATATTTTGCTAGAAAATAAATAAGCTTGGAAGGAGGAAATGAGAATTTCATTATGACTTGCGATGCTTTTGCCTTTTAAAATTTCATGACATGTGCTTTCATTAAGTAAAAATATCCCTCCTTCAAAAAAAAAAAAAAAAGCTTCTCTCCTTTATTGGCTCAGGGACCAGTTACTTCTGGGGAACAAAGTCTCATTACTTTTTATCATTTTTCCTTGTTATTCAATTCCTCCTTCCCTAATTCCAGGATTCGAGCAGGGAGGTGAGAACCTGGAGAAGGGGTACAAAAGTAATTTTGCTGGCTCAGGGACCAATGATGAATTTTTCAGTATGTGGGACTTCCAATGCAAAAACCGGAAAAGTTCCAAGCAAACAAGGATGGCTGGCCACCTTATGAACTGGTGCTGTTTGTAAATCACTCTTGCTTGATCAAAGGCTAACCATAAACGTTTTCAATGGGCCAGGTGCGGTGGCTCACGCCTGTAATCCCAGCACTTTGGGAAGCTGAGGCGGGTGGATCACGAGGTCAGGAGTTTGAGACCAGCCTGCCCAACATGGTGAAACCCCGTCTCTACTAAAAATACAAAAATTAGCTGGGTGTGGTGGCGTGCGCTTGTAATCCCAGCTACTCTGGAGACTGAGGCAGGAGAATCATTTAAACCCGGGAGGCAGAGGTTGCAGTGAGCCGAGATCACGCCACTGCACTCCAGCCTGGGCGACAGAGCAAGACTCTGTCTTGGAAAAAAAAAAAAAGAGTTTTCAATATTTCAGCTGCTTTCCAAGTGGTCCAACCTGTATTCTGTCCTTCAGCAGTATAATTTCCCACTAGTAATGTTAAGTTTGATTACTGGGTTAAGGTGAAAACAACCAGATAGTCAATTATGACATTTTCTATTTTTATGACTAGCAAGTAACCTATAGGGTGATATTTTGGCACTGTGGATATTCAGCTCCCATTCAACATTTACCAAACGGTTTTAGCATTGGTAATCTTTGACTGATTTATTTCATTTGGAGTTAGTTACAAAACTGTTTTCTAATTCTAAGAGATAAATAATGTTGCTATGAACATTCATGTACCAAGTTTTCGTGAGGACATATGTTTTCAATTCTCTGGGAGTACATACCTAGGAGTGGAATTGCTGGGTCATATGGCAACTCTGTGTTGAACATTTTGAGTAATTCCCAGACTGTTTTACCAAGGAGTGGCACCATTTTACATTCCCATCAGTGGCATATGAAGGTTACAGTTCCTTCACATTCTATCCAACACTTGATATGGTCAGACTTTTGGCTTACAGTAATCCTAGCGGGTATGAAGTGGTATCTCATTGTGGTTTTGATTTGCATTTCCCTAATGACTAATGATGTGCATTTTTTTTTTTTTTGAGATGGAGTCTTGCTCTGTTGCCCAGGCTGTAGTGCAGTGGCGCAATCTCGGCTCACTGCAAGCTCCGCCTCCCGAATGATGTGCATTTTTTCATGTACTTGTTGGTCAGTTGTATACCTTCTTTGGAGAAATGGTTATTTTCTTTTTTTTTTTTTTTTTTTGAGACAGGGTCTCGCTCTGTCGCCCGGGCTGGAATGCAGTGGCACGATCTCGGCTCACTGTAAGCTCCGCCTCCCACGTTCACGCCATTCTCCTGCCTCAGCCTCCGGAGTAGCTGGGACCACAGGCGCCCGCCACCACGCCCGGCTAATTTTTTGTATTTTTAGTAGAGACGGGGTTTCACCATGTTAGCCAGGATGGGAAATGGTTATTGTTTATTGTTGAGTTGTAAGTGTTCTTTGCATATTCTAGATACAAGACCCCATTGTATATATGATTCGCAGATTTTCTTCCATTCTGAGGGTTGTCTTTTCACTTTATTGATGCCACTTTGAAGCATAAAAGTTTCCAACTTTGATAAAATCCAATTTATCCAATTTTTTTCTTTTGTCATTCATGCTTTTGATGTTATGTCTAAGAAGGCTTTGCCTAACCCAAAGGTCACAAAGATTTACCCGTTTTCTTCTAAAAGGTTTTTTAGTTCTTAAATTTAGGTTATGACCCTTTGAGTTAATTTTTGCATTTGGTGTAAGGTAAGGGTCCAACTTTATTCTTTTGCATGTGGATATCCAGTTGTCTAAGCATCATTTGTTAAAAAGACCATTCTTTCCCCCACTGAATTGTCTTGGAATCCTAGTCAAAAATCAATGGACTATAATGTAAGTGCTTATTTCTGGACTTTCAATTGTATCCTATTGAGCTATATAATTATCTTTATGCCAGTACTACATGGCCTTGATTACCATAGCTTTGTAGTAAGTTTTGAAATCAGGAAGTATGTCATCAAATGTTGTTCTTCTTTTTCAAGATTTTCTGGCTATCCTGGGGCATTTGCGTTTCCAGATGGATTTTAGGATCAATTTGTCAACTTTTACACAAAAAGGCAGTTGGAATTCTGCTAGCAATTACATTGACTCCGTAGATCAATTGAAGAGTGTTGGAATCTTAAAAGTAGTAAGTTTACCAATCTATGAACATGGGATGTCTTTCCATTTATTTCTTCATTGTTAAGTCTTTTAAAATTTCTTTCAACAATGTTTTGTAGTTTTCAGTATACTGTCTTACACTTTTTTTTTTTTTTTTTGAGACTGAGCCTTGCTCTGTTGCCTGGGCTGGAGTGCAGTGGTGCGATCTTGGCTCACTGCAACCTCTGCCTCCCAGGTTCAAGTGATTCTCTTTTCTTAGCCTCCCAAGTAGCTGGGATTACAGGTGCCCACCACCACACCTGGCTAATTTTTGTATTTTTAATACAGACAGAGTTTCACCATGTTGGCCAGACTGGTCTGGAACTCCTGACCTCACATCATCCACCCGTCGCGGCCTCCCAGAGTGCTGGGGTTACAGGTGTGAGCCACTGCATCTGGCCTGTCTTACGCTTCTTTGATTACATTTATTCCTAAGCATTTTATCTTTTTGATGCTATTATAAACTGAACTTTTATTAACTGCATTTTAGGATTGTTTGT
This sequence comes from Homo sapiens, assembly GCF_000001405.40. Classification (NCBI taxonomy): domain Eukaryota; kingdom Metazoa; phylum Chordata; class Mammalia; order Primates; family Hominidae; genus Homo; species Homo sapiens. The sequence goes on along the minus strand of NC_000010.11, from coordinate 99,762,934 downwards.
TGCTAGTGTAAAGCAATACAATTTATTTCATATACTGATCTTTCCGAGAGTAGGAAAACTCAAAGTGTTTTTTCTATTCTCACAACAATCAACACAGAGGACTTTTATGACCAAATGTGGGGAGTGAGGGTCTCCCTGACACACACCAAGCAAGCAATCACTTCTGCAGCAGACACCAGCTCGGTGTACTCTAATTCAATCTCAACATTATCTACCTGAAGATAGCATCAGATCCCACAGGTTGAGGGCTCAGTCCCCAAGACTGTCCCCCAACTTCCCACTCCTCACCAGCCAACTTCCAACATCAATTGCAAGCCCCAGATTATTTTGCCTGTGCTTGTCACCGACCAACTATAAATCTGAATTCCCACAACCCCCTCCTCAGGTTTGATTGATTTGTTGGAGTAGCTAACGGAACTCAGGGAAACATGTTTAATACAATAAACATGTTTATTATAGTTTTTTTTTTTTTTTTTTTTTTGATACAGAGTCACTCCATCACCCAGGCTGGAGTGCAATGGCGCGATCTCAGCTTTCTGCAACCTCCACCTCCCAGGTTCAAACTATTCTCCTATCTCAGCCTCCTGAGTGGCTGTGATTATAGGTGCGTGCCACCACACTTGGCTAATTTTTTTTACTTTTTAAATTTTTACTAGAGACGGGGTTTTGCCATGTTAGCCAGGCTGGTCTTGAACTCCTGATCTCAAGTGATCCACCCGCCTTGGCCTCCCAAAGTGCTGGGATTGCAGGCATGAGCCACCATGCCCAGCCTACAGGGGCTTTTTTTTTTCTTTTCAACTTGTACTCTTCAGGGGATACATGTGCAGATTTGTTACAAAGATATATTGCAAGACGCTGAGGTTTGGAGTATCACTAAACCCATCACCCAGGTAGTTGGCATAGTACCCAATAGGTAGTTTTTCAGCCCTTCCCTCTTTCCTTCTCTCCCCACTCTAGTAGTCCTCAGTGTCTATTGCTCCCGTCTTTGTCCATATGTAGCCAATGTTTCGCTCCCACTTATAAGTGAGAACATGGGGTATTTGGTTTTCTGTCTGCATCAGTTTGCCACAAAAAAATGCCACAAAACACATTTATCAGTAAGGAAAAAATGCCACAAAACACATTAGTAAGGAAGAGAATCGAGCATCAAGATTTAAGGCAGAAAGGGAAAAGCTAACTCTACTGTTTTGTGCAAATGCAGTCAGGTTTATTATTAGGACAGCCCTTGTCTATATAGCAGCTAACCCCTGAGCCTTCAAAGGAAAAGATAAACACCAGCTGCCAGTCTTTTGACTGTACAAGAGGGCCTGGACAATCAGAACCCTTTTTCTGGATTGGTCCAATCAATGATGTTGTGGTTAGGATATACTGGCACCAGGCTTCTTGTACAGGCTGCAGAACTGTGAGCCAAATAAAATTTCTTTTCAAGTTACAAAGCCTCAGGCATTTATAGCAACACAAATGAACTAAGGAAGACAACTGGTACCAAGGAGAGGGTGGTTGCTATAAAGATACTTGAAAATGTGGAAGTGGCTTTGGAACTGGGTAATGGGCAAAAGTTGGAAGAGTTTAGAAGGCTCAGAAGAAAACAGGAAGATAAGGGAAAGTTTGGGATTTATTAGACTGTGTGAGCGGTTGTGGCCAAAGTGCTGACAGAAATACAGACAGTAAAGGCCACGCCTTTCTAAGCAGCAAAGCGTTCAATAAGTGGTGAGGCCAGGCATGGTGGCTCATGCCTGTAATCCCAGCACTTTGGGAGGCTGAGGCAGGAGGATCATTTGAGCCCAGGAGTTTGAGACCAGCCTAGGCAACACAGTGAGTCCTCCAACTTTACATTTTTTTTTCTTTAATTAGCTGGGTGTGGTGGTATGTGCCTGTAGTTCCAGCTACTGGGAGGCTGAGGTGGGAGGATCATTTCATCCCAGGAGATCAAGGCTGCAGTGAGTCATAATCCTGCCACTGCTCCAGCCTGGGTGACAGAGCAAGACCCTGTCTCCAAAAAAAACAAAGTGTGGCTGCTTCTAACAACCTACAATCAAATATGTGAACAAAGGAATGACCTAAAGTCAGAACTTAAAAGCAGAGAATAAAAATTTAGCGAATTTGAAGCCTGGCCGTGTGGTAGAGAAGGAAAGGGCATTTTCAGGAGAGGAATCCAAGAATATTGGATTAGCCGAGTCCAATCACTTGCTAGAGAGATTAGCAATGATAAAAGGGAGCCAGGTGTCAGAACAATGAGAAAAAGGCTATGAAGCCATTTCAGAAATCTTCAAGGCTACCCCTCTTATCAAAGGCCTAGAGGCCTAGGAGGATGGAATAGTTTGAGGGACAATCCCAGGTGCTGCTGCTGTGTGGCTCCTGCCTCAGGATGCTGCTCCCTGCATCCCAGCTCTTCTGGCTCCAGCCTCTCTGGAGGATGTAGGCTATAAGCCTTGGTAACTTCCGTGTTAAGTCTGCAGGCACACAGAATGCAAGTCATGGCTTGCCAGCTTCCACTTAGATTTCAGAGGAGTATTAGAAAGCCTGAGTGCCCAGGTAAAAGCCTGCCACAGGGGCAGTCCCCACAGAGACTCTACTAAGGCAATGCAAAGCAGAAATGTGGGGTTGGAACCCCTGCAGAGTCCCCACTGGGGAACTTCCTAATGGAGTTGTGGGAACATGGCCACTGCCCTCCAGACCTTGGATGGTAGAACCATCAACAGCACGCACCCTCAGCCTGGAAAAGTCACAGGCATTCAACTCTAACCCATGAGAGCAGCTCACTTGAGCCATGCCCAGAAAAGCTGCGGGGACAGAACTGCATAAGGCTTTGGAGCCCACTCCTTACACCAGTGTGTTCAGGTTGTAGGATGTGAAGTTAAAGTAGATTTTAGAGCTTTAAGGTTTAATGTCTGTCCTGCTGGGGTTCAGATTTGCACGGGGCCTATTGCCCCCTTTCTTTGATTTCTCCTTTTTGGAACAGGAATGTTTACTCAGTGCCTGTACCACCACTGTATCTTGGAAGCAAATAATATGTTTCATTTCATAGGCTCACAGCTGTAAGGAACTTACCTTGAGTCTCAGATGAGGCTTTGGACTTTTGAATTGATGCTAGAACAAGTTAAGACTTTGGGGATGGGAAGATTATATTTTGTAATGTGAGAAGGACATGGGATTGGGGGGTCAGGGGCAGAATACTATGCTTTGGATACGGTTTGTTTGGCCCCCACCAAGTCTCATGTTGAAATCTGATCCCTAATGTTAGAGGTGGGAGCCTAATGGGAGATGCTTGGGTCAAGGCAGCATGTTCTTCATGCATGTCTTGGTGCTGTCCTATTGTCCTATTAGTTCTCACCCTATTAGTTTCCCCAGACTGATTGCTAAAAAGAGCCTGGCACCTCCTCCCCCTTCTCTTGTTTTTGTTCATGCCATGTAATCTGTACATTCTGGCTCCCCTTTGCTTTCTGCCATGAATGGAAGCTTCCTGAGGCCCTCATCAGAAGCAGATGCTGGTGCCATGCTTCTTGAACAGTGTGGAGACAGAAGTGACTTTATTTTAAATGCTAATCCACCTGGCTAACCCTGAGTCCAGGAATGCCTCCAAAATGTTTAGTTGATGTATTACTCTTTATGTAGAAACACCTATTCGTTACAAGTTTCCTCCAAAACAATCCCTGTTGGTGCAGAAATCATACGCTGCAATTCCTGTAGCCACCTATACATTCTTACCAGACCACCTATACTTTTTCCTAAGATATAATCCCTGGGTCTGGGGGGTTATGGGGCAGAGTTCTCTACCTGTCTTGCAGCCACCCAAGACCATGCTTCTGTCTGTAAATTCCCTCAATAAACCATACAATACTGACAAATTGGATTTGTCTGCCTCGTTTGTTTTCTCAACTCCTTCTGGCTTTGAATATATATGGCCCTTTCATGGAACATGTAGCTTGCAGAACTGTAAGCCAAATAAAACCTCTTTTCTTTATAAATTATCCAGCCACGGATATTCCTTTATAGCAACACAAATGGACTCAGACAGACACTTTGTCCCTTAAGTCAGAAGGACCTTGCCAATAAGGGACTGTCTTTTAAAGTTCTTTTGATATTGAACAATGCCCCTGGCCATGCAGAACCCCAAGAGTTCAACCCTGAAAGCATCAAAGTGGTCTACATGCCCCCAAACACAATGTCTCTAATTTAGCCTCGAGATCAAGGGATCATAAGGACCTTTAAGGATCATTACACATGGTCCTCTATGAAAAGGACTGTCAACACTATGGAAGAGAACCCTGATTCAACATTACGAAAATCTGAAGGTATTACATTACTGAAGATGTCACTATTGTTAACAGAAAAACCCATGAAAGCCATCAAGATAAAAACAAATTCCTGTTAGAGAAAACTGTCCAGATGTTGTGCATGACTTCACAGGATTTAACTTAAGTTTTGGGGGAGTCAAAAGTTCTATGTAAGTTTTAGACTGTATGAGGGGGTCAACACTCCTAATGCCTTCATTGTTTGGGGATTAGCTGTACTTCCCAGTGCTATGTTGTAATCTTAACTGGTATTTCTCCAAAGACAGAAGAATATATTTCCTCTTAGTTGTTGTAATAGATACAATTATCCAGGGACAGATTAACTGATTTTTGATTTACCAAGATTAAACAAAAAAGATAGTGAATGCATGTAAATTAGGATTTAAGGCTGATATAAATGAGGTTTCCTGGCAGAGAACAGAAAGACAAATAGTGATGGAGAACAGCTGGCTAGTAAAATATAAGATCAAGCATAATGCTCTGCTTAAACTGTTGGTAGGGGTATTTAGAAAAAATGGTTTGCAAAGTAATAAGCCCACGTTACATGGGCTTTTTCTACTATTTGGGGGAAAAACAGCTTATCTAAGAAACAAAACAAAAACATTACTTTAGAAAAAAATCTTTAGCTCTATTTAGAGATCTCTGCAACGTTCTTTTAATTTCTAAATTATTGCTTTTATACAATGGAATAAATACATATTCATGTTTGTTTTTCAACAGTGTCACACTCCAAAATTTTTGCAAATACTACAAAATTCTATTATTTTGAAGAGATGGCAAATAGGCAATTATAACATCTGATAATGTCAACCGAAAAGAAACCTTCTTTAAAACTTCCTTGCCATTCTCTTCAAAGTTCTCGTATCACTGAATCTCCTTTCTTTTTCCTAAAAGATCTCAGGCTATTTGAGCTCACCTGTGGTTACTTCCCAGCCCCTATTGCTCCTAGATCTCTTCTCTTCCTCCTGAGGTAACTCTATGCCCTTTTCATATAAATCGTGTAGCCTCTCTAGGCTTCTTCCAATTTTCCTCTCTCCAGCCACTGTCCTCATTATACCAAAAAAGTCCAAAGATTAATAAATATTTAATATAAATAATTCTTTGTAAGACAGGAAAAGATGTGAATACCATCCTATTTCAGTATTTGGATTTCTTAAAACATCTGCATTATTTTTGTACTTCTGGATAATGTTCATATGATGTATTCCTTAATAGGACACATTTTAAGCAAAATAAGTTCACATTAAATCCATTTTATATCACATTTTTACTGCTTTCGCTTTAACTATGACTATGCCTTTAACCATGACTTTCTCCCTTGTCAGTACCTTATCCTAGTTCAGTGTTTCTTGACTATCATGTCTAAGGAGATTTTTTGGTCACTCCTTTTCCCTAAACACTCCTCTCTCCTGAAATTTTAATACCATAAATACACTGTATATTTGTTATGGACTGTATGTATATCTTGCTTTATACATAAAGAGGGGTTTGGATCATAATCCCCAAAGACACAATCCTGAATGCTATAATCCTGAATGTTGAAATCCTGAAAGATCAAAGTCCCTAAAATCTAGGCTGGGTGTGGTGGTTCAAGCCTGTAATCCCAGCGCTTTGGGAGGCTGAGCCAGGTAGATCATGAGGCCAGGAGTTCCAGATCAGCCTGGCCAACATGGCGAAACCCCATCTCTACTAAAAATATAAAAAATTAGTAGGGCATGGTGGCACACACCTGTAATCCCAGCTACTCAGGAGGTTGAGGCAGGAGAATCACTTGAACCCGGGAGGTGGAGGTTGCAGTGAGCCAAGATTGTGCCACTGCACTCCAACCTGGATGACAGAGTGAGACTCTGTCTCAAAAATAAATAAATAATAAATAAAGGCAAGACTCTTCATATAAACATTCATTAGTACACAATCTGTGCATGTTATTCAGAGGCTTCCTGGCCAAGGGGAAGCTCTTTATGCTTCAGTTACTCTCCTAAGATAGGAACAACAGTTCTATTATCAGTGTGTTGTTTGTGTAAAATGAGATTATAAATATGAAAGTGACAGACACAGGTAGTGATGAACTTTACCATTGGGACCTGGTCATAGGAAAAATATTTCATTACTAGAATCCATCTTTCCCATCTGTGACTTCAGTAGAAAGAAACTGCTGCTTTGATAACTTTCCTAACCCCCCTCTAGTTTTTACTATAGGTCTTTGAAAATTGTCAGATGGATCTTAGAGTTAAGCCATTTCTTTCCACTTGCAGGATAAGTAACCTGTTGAATGCCAGAGTTCACATCTGTCTTCGTAAGTCTAGGAACTTTGATATTCTGTTTCCAAGTCTGGGAATTTTCACACTGCACCATTTTACTCTGTACCCTTAGCATCTTGCCCAAAGCAGCATATCCAATCAGCACATAATAAAAAGAGAAAGTGTGGAACCAAATAAGACAACACTTTTCCTTTCATACTTGTAGGCTACAGGCTGTATTTAGTGCAAGAATAAGAGACTATACTGTAATAGTGGAAATTTTTATTTTACAAATGAAAAGTCAAAATACTGCTTTGAATTGACCCTTAAGTCACACTCTGAATTCATACCATGCAGTTAAAATTTTCCCAGTTCATCAATTAATTCCACTGAAAACAGACTAAGCTTCTGTCTATGGAAGAAGCACAGACCAGCTTTAACCATGATGACAATCACTGGTAAGACTAAGCAAAGGAAGTGACTGTATCTCTGTTTCAAATTCTTTTTCTTCTTGGGCACATTCTCCATGGCCATGTGAAACTTAAAACAAAGATTGCGACTGTCCTGGCCAGAGAAGAAGGTTAAAGCTGTGTCATAGAGAATTGCAGATTATAGTTCTACCTTCATCCTGTGATATCCATGTCTCTCAGAGAGGTCTGGCTACACCAGGATGTTCTTTGCGATAGCATTCAAAGTCCTTACTTTGGTCACATCTGTTACCTTTAGGGAATATTCTGAGCAAGAAAGTGAGGCTCCCATGGCAACAGATGAATTTCTGTAACAGAAATAATAAAGGAACAGATAATTATGTTATTAAATGGGCCCTCCTACTGCCGCTTCATTTTATAGACTATTTCATGATACAAGGGTAGGTCAAGTATGCTGGACTAGTATATTCCATAATTTTCATCAATTAATTACTTGAAACATCCAGCAGCTGAATCCACTGGACAGTATACTTGATTTTATATCTGGAATTGTAAGTTCTAAGGCTCTTGCTTCCTTTTTTTTTTTTTTTTCCTTTTTAAATTACAGGCATGTATCACCACGCCCAGCTAATTTTTTTGTACTTTTAGTAGAGATGGGGTGTCACCATGTTGGCCAGACTGGTCTCGAACTCCTGACCTCAAGTGATCCACCTGCCTTGGCCTCCCAAAGCGCTGGGATTACAGGTGTGAGCCACCTCACCCAGCCAGCCATCTTGCTTCTTTTACATTGTGTTTTTCCCAATTTATAAACAGAAATATTCAACTACTATTAAATTGTAAGAGTCTTCTTAAGTATTTAAAAAACCCCATATAATACTCACAATTTCTTAATGGTAATATAATTTCAAAATAACTGAAAACAGAGAACAAATGTGAGGGAAGACTAAGTACTAAAGGTAGGAGGGAGAAAAATGACTGACTCTTCCATCCTTACACCATAGTTATTAACTTTGCTACAGGAAATCATAGGCGAATGGGCACATGTGCATATCTGACTCATTTGAAGCTCAACTGCAGAATTTGTTTACTATTAACTGGTCTAAGTTCAGCAATGCCTTTACAAGGCAAGGTTCACCTATGTTCAAAGAGCCTGTTTATTTAAGACAGGACAAGAACCATTTTAGAAATGTTTTTCAACTACAAAAACAACTACAATACTTATGTAGTAGTCACAATATTCCATTGATTAATCATGCCCCCATCCAAAGTTTTTCTATTTGGGAGAAAGTAAAAATTAATCTCATCCTTCTTATTTGAATCGAAGAATACATTTTTACCGAAACTTCATTCCCGAGTCTCTAGTAGACCGAGCAGAACAGTGGAATTCTGTAGCACCTGAACCCTCAAGGATCCTTTGTAGATTTCTGTCTGTTATACCACCTCCTGTTGCAAAGAATAAGTAACACATTAAGTAAAATAGAATTTTGCATAAAATTTAAGGAATAGTAACGACTGCTTACTTTACTTGGAATCCCCAAACTGAATTTCTCATTGATTCAAAAATTAGTCTCTCCCTACCCAGCTAGAATGAGATTAGAGAAGTGATAAAAGATATATAGGCTACAGACTCTGGGGAAGTACCATTAAGTTTATAGAACATGTATGATAGAATCTTATCTGTCCATTGGCTAATATAACAATGCTATCCCTGCTTGTCCCTCAATTAAAGCAAAATCAAATTAAAAAGAAAGGTAAGGATAGGTTTGAGGAAAAAAATCTACAAAAGCACAACCTCAGAGATGTGTCTGAAAGAGAACCTCTGTTCTGTCTCTAGCCCCAGATGTAAAGACTACACTGACTTCATTGGAAACAGGAATAATGCAAGGTATTATACAGGTTATTAGTTACGATATCAGCTTTATACTTCATTTCACAGAAGAATCTGATTCTACTTTATTAAAACTGTACCACCAAATATTTTATGACATTTGTTTTGATGAACAATCTTTTAAATATTTATATATAAAGAATCATATTCTGAACTGATACTAGTGTATCATAAATATGAAATTAGTTTATTCATCTTTATATCCTTATCTCCCTATAGGATGTACTCAATATTTTAAAACTATGTACTTTGTATCTCAAGCCATTAAAGATGCTGAAATAACCTATTTTTACACACTCTTTCAGACTCATTAACTTGTCTTTTTTTCCTTAGTAGTACAGTAATATCACTGAGCCTTAAGAAATAGAAAAAAGGCTGAGTGTGGTGGCTCCCACCTGTAATTCCAACACTTTGGGAGGCCAAGGCAGGAGTATCACTTGAGCTCAAGAGTTTGAGACCAGCCTGGGCAACATGGTGAAACCCCGTCTCTACAAAAACATACAAAAATTAGCTGGATGTGGTGGTGGGTGCCTGTAGACCCACCTATTCAAGAGGCTGAGGTAAGAGGATCACTTGAGCCTAGGAGGCAGAGGCTGCAGTAAGCTGAGACTGCACCACTGCACCATAGCCTGGGCGACACAGTGAGACCCTGTCTCAGAAAAAAAGAAAGAAATAGAAAAAATACAGGCTGAGTAGATTTAGACTGAAATCCTGGCTTTATCACTGTAGCTCTTCACAGCTATGTGATCTTAGATAAATTATTTAAATCCACTGACCTCAACTTTTTTGCCAATAAAAGAGGGATAATACTGGCTACCTCACAAGCTTATTGTAAGGATTAAGAGACAAATATATTATTTCCTTCTATTCCTTCTAACAAATAACAAAACATCTGGCCACTGAAACACATGTTGCTAAGTTATCAGCAACTTAAGTACATAGGTAATACATCTTTCCAGACTCAGACTAACACAGCTCTATGGTTAAAAAGGATCCCACAGAACTAGTTTAATATTCTTCTCTTTATAGATGAAGAAACCAGAGCCTAAATATGTTGTAGGTTTCATTATGAAAGTTCCTAGAGGGCAACTACCTCTTTATATTTCTCAATGATGAATACTTATTAGGCATTCAGAATGACTTACCTAGGAGTTTTTACTTGCTGGTACTTATTCATATGAAATTGTAATACATTTGTGTTTATAAGTCTATTCTGTGAGCTCCTCAAGTAGGATTACTTTATTTCTGTTTTCATATCTATCACACAATTAGCATAAAATATACATAATTGTCACACAATTAACATTTACCTGATAAGGTTTGTTAAAGAAATTAATCACAAATATTTTTGTATGTAACATCTTTTGACCTGAGTCAGCTTCTTGAGAACGTAGTTTCTTGTGTAGCTTTGCATCCCAAGTAATGCCTTGCACACAGCTGATAACAATTGCATATTAAACAAAGGTACTCTTAATGTCAACAATTGTCTAAGTATTACTTGTCAAAACTATATATATTTAGTGCTAAATGGAAAAGCATCACACTCAGAGTCTCTTTAACATTCCTTGATTAACCAAAAAGGACCACAATTTGACAGATAATATATACTTTCTCTCTGCTTATGTTTCAAGGGCTTGTTATAGGTCAAAGCCTTCCTAAATATCTGACAATACCCCTTATATGGCCTTTTTTTTTTTTTCTTTTGACACAGGGTCTCACTCTGTTGCCCAGGCTGCAGTGCAGTGGTGCGATCATAGCTCACTGCAGCCTTGACCTCGGGCTCAAGAAATCCTCCCACCTCAGCCTCTAGAGTAGCTGGGACGTCAGGAGCACGCCACCATGCCCAACTAATTTTTTTACGTTTTGGTAAAGATGGTGTCTTACTATATTGCCCAGGTTCACGGCCTCTTTTTAAAAGTTACTCTTTATCTAGGTGTCACTATTTTGAACGCTGGTCAGTCTTGACATCACTAGTAGTGAGATGACCAGAGACTGAATACCTTCTGATGTGATGTCATATGATGTAAGTATGCAGAATCACCCATGAAGTATTCTGACCAAAAATATTTAAGCAGAGTCTATTCAAACCTCATGATTTAACTATTAGTTTATAGGATATACAGAGGCACGAGGAACAAGCTAAACAATATCATGAGGAAATAATCTGATAAATCCAGAAAGTAGGACATTTTACAGGGTAAGTGATCCAAACTTTTATTTTATTTTGAGACGGAGTCTTGCTGTGTCACCCAGGCTGGAGTGCAGTGGTGCAATCTCAGCACACTGCAACCTCCGCCTCCTTGGTTCAAGTGATGCTCATGCCTCAGCCTCCCAAGTAGCTGGGATTACAGGCACATGCCACCATGGCCGGCTAATTTTTGTATTTTTAGTAGAGACAGGATTTCACCATGTTGGCCAGGCTGGTCTCGAACTCTTGACCTCAGGTGATCTGGCTGCCTCAGACTCCCAAAGTGCTGGGATTACAGGCGTGAGCCACTGGGCCCAGCCCAAACTTAATAATGTAACTTTTTTTTAAAGCAAGAAAAATAAAAGGAAAAACATCTATATTAAAGATATTTTAAAAGATAATAGAACTGGGCATGGCAGCGTGCAACTGTAGTCCCAGCTACTTGGGTGGCTGAGGCAGGAGGATCGCTTGAGGCTAAGAGTTCAAGTCCAGCCTGGCCAATATAGCAAGACCTCATCTCTAAAAACAAACAAACAAACAAAAGATAACCAAAAATGTAATGCTTGTTCCTTGACTGGATCCTAGTTTGAACATATCAGCTATAAAAACCATTGTGGGGACAATTGGAGAAAGTTGAGTATTAAATGTTTATTGTGATAGATGTGATAATGGAATTGTCATTATGGTAACATCCCACCCTTTTTAGAGATAAATAAAGATAAAATGCCATGATGCTTTCAATTTAACTTTAATAAAATACCTCAGGATAGAAAAAAGATGAGACAAATTTGGCAAAATGTTAAATCTAGGGAATGAGCATATGAGTATTCATTATGCTATTTTCTACTTTTTTATATGTTTGAGAAACTTAATTAAAAAAATTAAGATTGTCTTTACATTTGTCTCACTCTTCTATGTTGTATTATCTAATTCTTTAAAAACTGCTCCAACTGTTCATTTCTAGTTAGCCATTATGAACTTAACTGATCTTATGGTTATCATCAGGATCATATGATTAAATTCTGGTTACAAGAAATAATTTGGCAATCAGAGATTTTCAGGAACTGAGACAGTATTATATTTTACCCAAGGATGTTGCCTAAACCTTTGCTTAAACCCTGTTTATTAGGACATTTGTCCTAAACAAAATATGATTAGCATCAAATTTGATGTGCCTCACCAGAGATGAACATCTGAATTCATAAAGTTCTATATAATGGGAGAGCAAATATGGAGAAACCTCAATCTCTATCTGCTTCCTTATTTGCTCCTCTTTGAGCTAATGCCTATTACAATATTTTCCTTCTTATCTAAACTTTTAAATTCTAGCACAGATCTCCCAGTTTTAAACATTTTAATCAAACTATATATTCTTCTCTTTAAAGATCATGTACTAATATGTAATGTACTAATACTCTCTCTCACATTTTCCTGCCTCCTTTGCTCTTCCTCCACTATAGTTCAGTGTTATGCTAGTGAATTGATAGATAAATAAATACCTGGCATTACCACAATCCTGCCTTTTGCCTGAAAAAAGAAAAAAAAAAACAAGTGAATTTTAATATCTTTCTCTTGAATGGGATAATAAGGCAGTGAGAATAGAAACATAAGTCAGAATATATTAAATTTTAAAAATTACTATTAATGTTTAATTTTTACTAGATCTTCTCTATTTCTTTGGGATCTTGGACAAGTAAGATGTCCAGCATAGTAAATTTGTCTCTAGAAAATTATCTTTCCAAAAAGTCATTTTCCCCCCCAATAAGTGCCATTTTCTCCTTCCCCTTCACCTATTAAGATGGTATATAAGCCCCCAATTCTAAGTCATATTTCTTTGTGAACTTCTGTATGTACTTACATATATATGTACTTATGTGATAAAATCTCTTTTTACTCCTGCTAATCTGTCTTTAGTCAGTTTAATTTGCAGGCCCCCAATAACAAACCCTGAGGATAGAAGAAAAGTTTTTCCTCCCTGACATGGTGAGTAAGAGAAAGTTCCTGCTCTCATGGAGCTTACACATTCAAGAAAGACGAGACAATGCACAGGGATATTTATACAATAAAATTCCAGGTAGCAATAAGTATAACAAAGAAAAAATAAAGCAAGTGAATAAATAAAGCAAAAAATAAAGTTAACAAGAGAGTGAAAGAGGGGAGTGGCTATTTCAAATAATTTAAAAATTGTTAGGGAAATAAATGGAACAAGGATGCTTCATATTCTCAAATGGCCTGAACAAAGCATCCATAAAACAAAACATTGACTATCTAAAAAGCTGAAATCACTTCAGAATGGAAAAAAGTCATATTTGCCTGTTTCTTCCAAATCAAGGCTTTCCAAAACATAGAGAAATAATATTTTTAAAGAAATGAATTCTACCATTTCTTTTCGCCTTCCATACAAGATTATTTAGAAGTATATGCTTATCTAAGGCTATCAAAGTGATTTAATAATATAGAGCAGTCACTAAATGTCAGATTTAATAATATAGAACAATTACTAAGTGCTATAACCTGAAGAAATCCCTCACAACTATTCTAGGAGGTAGGTGCTATTATTATCCTAACTTTGCAGAAGAGCAAAGCTGAGGTTTAGGATGGCTAGGTAATGTATCCATGGTCACTATTAGTAAGGGTCAAAGCCAGGGTTTAAACACAGACCTGTCCAATCACAAAGCCTATGCTTTAACTAGTATGTTACACTACTAGGTAGTTACTTCAGTGAAGTTAATGTATGAGAATATTTGAGTAGCTCTTCCTACTAACCAATAGATTAACATACAAATAACAGACATACACACACACATACACATTTTGAAATGCAATACATTACTATGGCGGTTATATCTTATTTGCTACTCCTTACTGAGTAACCTTTTAAAACTGGAAACCTGACTCATCAACTCTTCTATTTTAAAACACTTTAGGCCTCCCCGCTGCACCATGAAAATAAATACTTTAATAAGGTTTTCAAGGCTCTGGATATCATTCTGTCCACATTCAATATTCTGGCCATTCCTCAGTGTTTTAAGTTATGCTTGCTTTTGTTTATAGCCCTTGCTTATACTATTTGTTTTGTATGGAACAATTCCACCAACATCCCCTTCACCCTCACTCCCACTGCCCCCAACTTTTACACAGATAACTCCCAAACATCCTTCAAATGAGTAAAACACTGCAGTCTGGATGTCTTTTCTTCTGGGAAGCTTCCTCTAATTATTGCCAACCTTCATTTCCCCAAATTTGGGGTTAATTCCTCTCCAATGTACTCCTATAGTACCTTTTAAAAATAGAGCTCTATTAAAATTGCCTGCTCTATTAGAAGTGCCTGTTCTGCACTAAATTGTAAGGATAGTGACTACACACAGACACTTAGCCCTTGGTTACCCCCACAGTACAAATGTCCTGCATCTAATATATATTTAATAAATGTCTGTGAAACCATTACATCCCAGAATAGCAAAGTCACATCAGATCTTTAGGAGAAATTTCTGAAAATTATTTTCATGGCTATAGAAAAGTGAAAATAAGCAGATGTCTACACAGGAACATTAGTATTATTAATAATAGCAGTAATAACAGAACCTAACATTATTAAGACCTAGTATATGCCAACCACTGTGCTAAGCCTCTAACACATCCCATCTTTAGCAATCTTCTGAGAAACTCTAAAATAAGTATTAAACTCATCTCAGTTTCACACAGGGGGAAAGAGAGGCTTAAAGACTATTAACCTGCTCAACATCACATAGCAAGTATCAAACCCGAGTCTCAAACGCTCAACTCTCTCATCTCAAAGTCTGTACTCACTAACTTATAATGCCTCTGGACTGACATCAGAAAAATACACATACTATTAATTACAAAGTCACCTTCTGAGTGCTCTACAAATGATGCTAGCTCACCAGGAAAACTCATAAAATAGAAAAATATATTTCCTCTTATATTGACAGATGAGAAGAAATAAGATTATAATTTTAGTTTTGGAATTTACCTCCAGATGATAATTTTATATGGGATCCCCTGAATATACATGGGCTGACAATGAAAAGATGTGGCTTAAAACTGCAATGCTGGCTGGGCGCAGTGCCTCATGCCTGTAATCCCAGCACTCTGGGAGGGCAAGGAAGGCAGATGGCTTGAGCCCAAGAGTTCGAGACCAGCCTGGGCAACACAGCAAGACCTTATATCTAAACTAAAAAATAAAAATAAAAAGTAAAAAAAACTGCAATGCCCATGGCAGAGAAAAGGTAAAATTTGCTGTGCTTATCCAAGTTAGATCAGATCTTTAGGCACTATCTATATGTAATTTGATCTTGAAAGCCTTGGTTATTAAAAAGGCTTGTGTGAAAGAAATAAGAATTATATACATTATTGCCTGCTTGCTTTTCCTACAGAGTAACCACAAAGTCAGTAATATATAGTCTCACAAACTGGCTAAACAGCAGAATGTCAGGAGTAACCACAACAGAGTCTTAGGGGAAAAAAAGATAAAGTCCACGTACCTGCTCAATGAGTCGCTTTATTAGGGGTAGCCCTTCTAATGCTGAACTGTCACATCCACTGGTCAACACGCGTTCAAATCCCAAGGTTAAGAGGGTCTCCAGAGCTGCCATTGGATCATGAACCATGTCAAAGGCTGAAATAAATAAAACTGATGTGAATTTTGAACAGGTATCTCTAACGCAGAGTTTCCCAAAATGTAGTATACATGCAGTGGCATGCTGGACCTAGCTTGTACTGGCTTACAAAGGCCAATTATTAAACACTCAAGAATTCTGCAAGTCAGATTGTTAATCCACTGGCAGCCTGAAATTAGTGAAGGTAGGGCCAGGTGCAGTGGCTCGTGCCTATAATCTTGGCATTTTGGGAGGCCGAGGTGGGGAGATCACTTGAGCGCAGGAGTTTGAGACCAGCCTGGGCAATGTGGCAAGACCCCATATCTACAATACAAAAATTATCTGGGCATGGTGGTGTGCACCTATAGTCCCAGCTACTCGAGAGGCTGAGATGGGAGGATCACCTGAGCCTAAGGGGTCGAGACTGCAGTGAGCCAATTGCACCATTGTGCCCTAGCCTGGACGACAGAGCAAGACTTGTCTCAAAAGAAAAATAAAAATTTAATTAATAATAATAAAAAAATTCAGTGAAGGTAGAGTATTTAAACCACAGAAATTTAAAAATGCTACAAATCAGGGCTCTTTTTTCTAGGAGCCAGTTCATCAGCACACCACAGTCTACATACCACTGTGCATAATCATTTTAATAATGGTACACATTTAAATAGTATATTTACTTAAATGCAGATAAGAAATGAAAAGTTTTCAATATAAAGTAATTATAAAAGTTTCTATTTAAAATAAATTTACTTTTTTTTAACTTTTTTTTAAGTTCAGGGGTACAAGTGCAGGTTTGTTATACAGATAAACCCGTGTCTTGGGAGTTTGTTGTGCAGATTATTTCATCACCAAGGTATTAAGCCTAGTACTCATAGTTATTTTTCCTGATCCTCTCTGTCCTCCCACCCTCCACCCTCGGAAAGGCCCCAGTGTGTGTTGTTCCCCTCTATGTGTCTATGTGTTCTCATCATTTAGCTCCCACTTATGAGTGAGAACATGTGGTATTTGGTTTTCTGTTCTTATGTTAGTTTGCTAAGGATAATGGTCTCCAGCTCCATCCATGCCTCTGCAAAGGACATGATCTTGTTCTTTTTTATGGGTGCATACTTAAGATTTTATTTAAAGAAAATGATTAAATAAAAATGTGCACAGGTAGCACTCATATATGGTAAAATTTTAAATGTGATAGGCAGGTGAGTCAAATTTGGGAAACTGTTCTAAGGCTTCAGAAATATTGGACTAGGTAGAATGAAACACTGTACTCACCAGTTCTAGAAAAAGCCTTGGCTCACATTCTCATTACTGACTAATATTTTGGATTAATCTATTAACCCCACATACTCAAGGTTCATAGCATAAGGGTAGTTGTTTTCAACAGACTATATGAAGTTTCACTTCCAACCTACTTTTTTTTGTTTGTGAGATGCAGTCTTGCTCTGTCGCCCAGGCTGGAGTGCAGTGGCACGGTCTCGGCTCACTGCAACCTCTGACTCCCTGATTCAAGTGATTCTCCTGCCTCAGCCTCCCGAGTAGCTGGGATTACAGGCATGCGCCACCACGCCCAGCTAATTTTTGTATTTTTAGTACAGACGGGGTTTCACCATGTTGGCCAGGATGGTCTCAATCTCCTAACCTTGTGATCCACCCACCTCGGTCTCCCAAAGTGGTAGGATTATAGGGGTAAGCCACTGTGCCCAGCCCCATCCTACTTTCTAAGAGATTTCTCCCCTCCTCAGAGCCCTCAAAGAGTAAAGTGGTATCAGGAAACTGAAAACAGAAAATCTACTTCTGCTTTGGTTCTCATACTGCTACATGACATTGAAGCTCTAGCCTGCAGTGGATTAGGTGGTAGTGGTCCTCTGGGACAGGCCCCTTCATTTCACCCTTTAGTGTATGTAGGCAACTAAATCTACCACAGAGGATTTCCCTATTTTGGTGGCAGCACCTTCTCACCACTAAAACTATATTATGATATCTCATTAAATACATTAGTGAGAAAAATGTGGAACCCAAAAATTCTACAAATTTTGAAAATATGAAAATATTTTTGTTAAACCTATTGGAATAAAGAACAGAACAGAAATTTGAAGTAAAAAAATTTTTTTTGACTGTAGACTTCTTTTCATGTGCAATGGCAGTGCTCTCTGAAGGCAAAATAGATACTTGTTCTTCCATTTTACCAAGGTGTAGCCTAAGAGTATAGAAATTATAACTACCTGATTTTTTGGCCAGGGGTGGTGGCTCACGCCTGTAATCCCAGCACTTTGGGAGACCAAGGCGGGTGGATCACGAGGTCAGGAGTTAAAGACCAGCCTGGCCAAGATGGTGAAACCCTGTTTCTACTAAAAATCCAAAAATTAGCTGGGCATGGTGGCAGGCGCCTGTAATCCCAGCTACTCGGGAGGCTGAGGCAGAGAACTGCTTGAACCCGGGAGGCAGAGGTTGTAGTGAGCCGGATCGTGCGACTGCACTCCAGCCTAGGCGACAGAGCGAGACTCCGTCTCAAACAAACAAACAAAAAAAATTATATCTACCTGATTTTTTACAGGAAATATTTCTTTACAAGAAAGTATCACATTAAAAAATCACTGTGGTGCAGACAAGCTATAATGAAAAATAATTTTGTATACTATTGTGGACATCTGTTCATTGACTAGATAGTCAACACTAGATTGCATCTGTTTCTCCTTTCTCCCTTCCTAATAAGACCCAATTCTTCTCCAGATACCCAACTTTCTCTCCCCTTAAGAAGTCTCTATCTGTGAAACCCCACCTCACTGCTAGCCCCAGGGATGGTTTTGCCTGGCTTAAGATAGACAGTACCTTTCATTTCACCAGCCACAACAATTTATTCTTTTGGGGTTGCACATGACCTAATACAGTCTCAGTTAAAATGAGTCTCAGGATTCTTGCTTGGAATGCTATGATAGGTACACACACTTGAAGGCAATACTTGCTCTCTCCCTCGCTCTCTTATATCCCACCACCACCTACACCCACTTTTAACAACTTTTCATAACTAAGGCTTCAAATTTTCTAGAAATTGCACATCTCTACTTTTATAACTTTTAGTCCTAGGATCTAAAAAACCAATTGGTAACCTTGGAACACTACAGAATTGTGTTCCATAAAAAGGTGGTGGCAGTTGTTGAAATTAGAAAACTAACACTGTTCAATAGAACTTTTAAAATGAAAATGACTCACCTCGGTGGAAAGTGACTGGCAGAGGGCGGCAAATAGCTATAAAAAGAAAGTCATATAACAACATGAATGAAGATGTCATCACTGATTACTATATATAGAATTCTCCATGTTAGCTGAAACTTTTTAATACTTTCTTCGCCTAACAAGACAGTAAACTGACATAATAATAAAATGGCAGCCTTACAAATTCAAAAGTCTTATCTTTCCACAAATCTCTGATTTTTATACAAAAAAATGGTCGTGGCTTATCACCAAATGAAAACCATTTAATCTGACAACTATAAGGGCAGCATTACATCTAATACTTGTCCCTCTGAGGTCATTCAATAAGTACTTTGGTTTAGTAACATAGGTAGTTTGCTTCTGTCCTCTTTGCATCTTCCAACTTGGTGGTCCATCCTCACCAACTATAATACTTTTGAAGTTCTTGGTGCAGTGGTTAAAGGAACCATGGTAAATTTCCCTTAAATTTCTATTCTATGGGAACAGTAGCGGAGCCTAATCTATAGCAATTGAGGAGAGTTAAGAAGGCTTTGCCACACATACACCCCACCCCAAACATCTAAATAACTACTATTTGAAATACTTAGGTTAGTATAAGTGTCTGTAGCTATGACCGCAAAGTCAGTTTTGTGATGTTGTTTTTCTATATTGTGAGCATAAATACAATTATCATTAGAGGCTTTTACGTCTTAGATACAAATTCTTACCCATAAGGGACATACACAGCTCTTTGTCAATGTGTCCATCTTCAGTCAATGCCCCAAAAACCAAACCATCAGCACCATAAAGCTTGGCAAGACGAATGTCAGCCTTCATCACCTCAATTTCACGATCTGAATACAAAAAATCACCTCCCCGTGGCCGAATCATCACAAAAACTGGGATCTGAACACTCTGCTTCACTACTTGAAGGACACCTACAAGAAAAGAAAGCAGATTAAAATTCAAATGTGAGCTAAAAGCCAATGATATATTATTGGTCATTTACCAGACAAAGATGGCTCTAAAAGGTAGGACAGACACTGAGAAGAAAAATGTATATATGGTAGAAGGTAAGTAATAGCAAAGGGTTAAATAGAACGATTTAGAAAACAGAAGATGCTACAATTTAAAAGCACTTGTCAGTTGACTCAACAAAAATCCTTATGACTCAGAACCCTTTTATTGGTAGGTGACATTTGAAAGTGCAATAACTACCAGGCTCGATGTTCTGCCAGTACATTATTCCCCAAGATCCAATTTCTTCTTTCTAATTCATTACAGCTCTATTTAAAACCTACTGGAGAGATGGTTAAATAGCTTCAAAGTTCATATTCCTTTAATGGGCAAAGACATTTAGCAAAACCTTTTTTTTTTTTTTTTAAACAAGATACGTGAAAGGGAGCAAAGTTCTACTTATTTGTGATTTTATGCAGAGATCTATGCATAAAAGTACCTAAATATGCCATAATAAGTGGCTAGCTCATAAACCATCAATAGTATAAGGCTGTGACAGGCCCCATCAGTTGTTTACCCAGTATGAATTTCTTTCTTTTTTCTTGCTAAAAGAACTCCAATTTTGCATAGGATAGCAGTTGTCCAATACTAAGCAATGAATCATAATTGGTGTTACAAAAACAGACTGTACTCAAATTTACAGACATGCTCTAGGGATTTTAGAATGGCCAGGAATGCCCTCTTTTCATGTGAAGATTCCAAAGGGCTGTTGTGTATACAAACTTTTTACATTAAATAATGCTATTATCAACCTCAGAGTAGCATAACTTAGGAGACCACAATTCATACACAGACTTCTGCTTTTGGCCAAGACAGGGTAACAGTGACTGGATTTACCCTCCCACCTATAATAATAATAATAATAAAAAAACAGACAAAATATATGAAACAGTGGTTTGCAAGACACTGGACATTAAGCAGTGAAGGGCAATGATCCTTGAAAATGGTAAACAATGAAGTTAGTAAGTCAATTCTGATTGACCCAATTTACTGCCTTGAGAGTTTCTAGGCCAAAGCACAGGGATGGGGGACCCACATGGAGCCAAAACAATTCCCTGAGTTAAGGAGACAAAGCTTAGAGTTCAGGAAGACTGAAGTAGCTAGAGTTTATAGGAGACAGTACAGGGAGGACAGAAAGATAACACTGGAGTAGCAAAGACTATCTCAATGGTTTAAAAAAAGGATTTTTTTTAAAAAAGATAGGCTTGGTACGGTGGCTCATGCCTGTAATCCCAGTGCTTTGGGAGGCTGAGATGGGTGGATTGCCTGAGGCAAGGAGTTCAAGACCAGTCTGGGTAAAATGGTGAGACTCCATCTCTACCAAACAAACAAACAAACAAATGTAGCTGGACATGGTGGCATATGCCTGTAATCCTAGCTACTTGAGAGGCTGAGGCAGGACAATTGCTTGAGCCCAGGAGTTTGAGGCTGTAGGGAGCTATGGTCACACCACTTCAGTCAAGCCTGGACAACAGGTGAGACCCTGTCAAAAGAAAAAAAGGAAGGAAGGAAAGCAAAGAGAGAGAAAAGGAGAAGGAAAGAAAAGAAAGGAAAGGAAGGAATGAAAGAAGAAAGGAAGACAGATAACTCTGGAGGTCTGCAGAGAACCTCCTTTAATATTCAGCTGAGTACTGACCGGTGCATGCATGCAAAGAAACTACGCAAGGCCTGGGACAGAACCAATAAAAAGGATTAGAAATAATGTGCCTGTCATTCATACCAAGCTGTGAATAATGCCTATTCCACCAGCCAGACAGGAAAATTTCAAAATTCATGGTCACAGGGTAGAGTTCACAGAAGAATCCTGACTCAGTAGTAAGGAATAATTAGCTCTGTATTAACCACTGCTCCAGACTTGCCCAGCAAATCTTAAAAGCAAGACCCAAAAGGACCAAACTGTTTTGGAACATTTGTAGGAATTCAAAAATGTCTAGTAACCAATAAAGTAAAATTCACAATGTCTTGCATCCAATAAAAAATTACAAGGCAGGAAAATAAGATATATTATTAGATGATAAATCAAATGAAACAAACCCAGAACTGATATAGATGTTAGAATTCGCAGACAAGGTCATTATAACAGCTATCATAACTTTATTCCACATGTTCAAAAAAGTTAAGAGACATCAGAGACATAAAAAGACTCAAATTTCTACAGATGAAGACTACAATGTATGAGATGAAAACATACCAGGAGAGACTAATAGCAGATTAGATAGTGCAGAAGAAAAGGTCAGTAAGCTCAAGGACAAAACAATAGCAACTATGCAAAATGAAAACACAGAAAGGAGATTTTCTTTTAAATAGAGAAGTTCATCAGTGACTTTTGGGACAATTTCAAGTAGTCTAATGTAAGAATAGCTTAAGTCTCTAAAGGAGGGAGTGGAGAACAAGCTGCAAGCTGAAAATTTTCCAAATGTGATGAGAAGTATAAATGCACAGGTCCAAGAAACATGAAAAAACTATACTCAGGTACACCATAAGAAAATTGTTCAAAACCAATAATAAAAAAATCTTAAAAGTAGGTAGAAAAAAGAGACATATTACATAGAGAAAAACAAAGATATGGATGATAGCTTTTTGTCAGAAACAATACAAGCAAGACGACAATGGAAAAACATCTTCAAAGAAAAAAAAAACCTGTCAACCTAGAATTCTATACCCAGCAAAAATACCTTTCAAAAATGAAGGAAAAAGCTATTTTAGACATATAAAAGCTGAAGGAATGAATCACTAGCATACTTTTTAACAAAAAAAGTTAAAGAAAGTACTTCAGGCAGAATGAAAATGAAACCAGACAGAAATACGGGATCTACACAAAGGAATAAAGAACACCAGAAATGGTAGTTGCATGTGGGTAAATATATGATTTTTTTCTTATTATTTAAATCTCTTATTTAACAAAAGATAATTGACTCTTCAAACAAAACTAACAATACAGCATGGAGTTTTTGATATATGTATGAGTAAAATATATGACAACAATAGCACAAAGACCAGGAGGGGATTTCAATATACTAAGGATGCCAGCATGGAAAGATTTTATAAAAGCCTAATCCTTGATGTTACTACAGAGCAGCTGAACCGGTATTAACAATTACCTACCTACCTTTCAACTTTTTGATGTGAGAAAGAAATATGTTTGATCAAATCTTTGATTTTTTTACAATCATAAACATTTCTGATACAACATCCATAACATAGTTAACATGACATTAGTAAAGGACCCCAACGAAACTGATTATCAGTTGCTTCCAGGCTCTATGAACTCCAATCAGAAAACCTGGGAAAAATGGACACTTACCCATGCTGGGTGTAGTTCCCCCCTCTGATAAACCAGAACATAATTCAATCCGATCAGCACCTGTAATATAAAAGCATTGCTCAACACATTTTTAAAAAATAAGCTGTTATTAAACAGCAACCTGTTTATATATATTTTTTCCAAATATAGAACAGTCTTAGAAATCATCTCAGAGAAATCAAATTATAAAGCTAGAGTAAAACTCTGTTTTTAACTCAGCTATACTCTGCAGCCCACATTGTGTTACTCATACTCAAATTTAAAAATTAATTAAAGTTAAGCTAGTTCTCTTAAATTTTTGTATTATAGGGTTGCCTCTCTATGTACAGGAAAGTAACATAGAATAAAGATGTTTCTTAAAACTGACTATAGTGGAATACTGAGTCTTTGTTGATAAGAAAATAACATAATATTTCCCAAAAGGGTCTTTATTATTCTAAGCTTTAAAAAACACAAAGCTACTTTTGAGTAGCTAAACCAAGATAATTTCAAGAATAAGAAAATGCTGAAACCAAAAGAATTATTAGGCTACCAAGGTCACATCAAAAGATCTCAGGAACCAGTTTGAAGAAGCTCTCACTAGCCAAAGATAGAACATTTTGTTCATCAATAAGCAGAATAACTACAATGGATTAAAACACACAAAATATATCTAAATCTACATTCATAATGACAAAACAATTCAAGGGAAGACAGAGAACAAATTCATTATTCTAAAAAGTATTATAATAAATAAGGGAAAATAAGCAAGCATTTATTCTGCCTTTCTTATACAAACCATACTTCAGCATAACCAAACAGAGGATGAGGGAAAGTTCTTTACAGAACTATTCTAGTTCATAAGTGAAAAATAAATGTCACCATTTTGCAACCCCTACTAAAATATGGGTTGCTAAATTTATTAGGTGAAAAGCTGACAGAAAACCTTAAGGATAGATTAGGCTGGCAATACCTGAACTCCCTGTTCAATCTTAATATCACAAAAACAGAAAAAAACCAACATGTTATGTCCTCCTGATGTGATGCAACAGGAAGTATATAATGTTATCTATAAATAAATTTTGTCAAAACTGAAATCTGAATCTGATTAGGCCTCTGGGCTAACTACCTTTATAGGAAATACAGTGGTCAGAGGACTATGTTAAACGATATCACACATATAATTAGCAAAATTGAGAGTATGGGATACTCTAAAAGATGAATATCACAGTTGCTTAACAAATAAATCTTAAGAAAGTAAACAAAGAATTAAAGAAAAAAGCAGGAGAAACTTACAGATTTAAAGAGACTTAAGAGGCATATAAAACAAATGAAATGTTTGGCTCTTGATTCAAAGAACTGTACACACACACACACACACACACACACACACACACACACCCTGTATGAGTCAACTGGAGAAATCTGAAAACTGGGTTATTTGACGATATTAAGAAATGATTTTTTTAAAGGTGTGTTAGTGACATTGTGGTGTTTTGTTCTTTAAAAGGGACCTTATCTTAAACAATATACATTAATAATTCCACATTATTTATGGATTTCTTATATATGTATGCATACTAGGCCTTTGAAAACAATAAAGAACTTAAACAACAAAAAAAGAGTCCTTATTTTTTTTTTTTTTGAGACGGAGTTTTGCTCTTATTGCCCAGGCTGGAGTGCAATGGCGTGATCTCGGCTCACGCAACCTCCGCCTCCCAGGTTCAAGCAATTCTCCTGCCTCAGCTTCCCGAGTAGCTGGGATTACAGGCATGCACTACCACGCCCAGCTAATTTTGTATTTTTTAGTAGAGACGGGGTTTCTCCATGTTGAGGCTGGTCTCGAACTCCCGACCTCAGGTGATCCGCCCGCCTCGGCCTCCCAAAGTGCTGGGATTACAGGTGTGAGCCACCGCGCCCGGCAAGAGTCTTTATTTTTTAGAGACACACACTGAAATATTTAAAATTAACATGATGTCTGGGATTTGCTTCAAAGTAATCTGAGGTTGGGAGAGGAAGGTAGGACTATAAATCAGGGGTCAGCAAACCATGGCATGTGGGCTATGGGCACATAGCTTGTTTTGGCTATGGCCTGCAAACTAAGAATGTTTTTGTATTCTTTTTGAAAAACAACAGCTTTATGGACATATAATTCACTAATACAATTCACCCATTTAAAAGTGTACAATTCAGTACTCTTTAGTATATACACAGAGTTTTGCAACCATCTCCACAAGTAATTTTAGAACATTTTCATCATCCCCAAAACAACCCTACACCCTTTAGCAGTCACCTACCCTTCTCATGCCTCTCAGCCCTAAGCAACTATTAATCTACTTTCTGTCTACATAAACTTACCTATTTTGGATATATATAAATGGAATCATATGTTGTATTTTCTTCCACTGGTTTCTTTCACTTAGAATAATATTTCAAGATTCATCTATATTATAGCATGTATCAGTACTTCATTCTTTTCTATTGCCAAAGTAAGAAGGATTTTTTTAACTTTTTTTTTTTTTTTAGACAAGATCTGGCTGTGTCACCCAGGCTAGAGTGCAGTGGTGTGACTGGCTCACTTCAGCCTCTGCCTCCTGGACTCAAGTGATCCTCCCACCTTAGCCTCCCAAGTAGCTGGGACTACAGGTGCTCACCACCACGCTTGGCTAATTTTTCTATTTTTTGTTGAGACAGGGTTTTGCCATGTTGCCTGGGCTGGTGTCGAACTCATGAGCTCAAGTGATCTGGCAGCCTCAGCCTCTCCAATTACTGGGATTACAGGTGTAAGCCACTGCACCCGGCTGATGTTTACATTTTCAAAAGATTTAAAAATAAAATAAGTGATAAAGATCAAATGTGTCCAGCAAGGCTGAAAATATATATACTATGCAGCTCTTCACAGAAAAAGTTTATTGACCCCTGAAATAAATGAAAAACTGGCCATGTGTTGAAAATGGGTGAAGATGAGTGATGCATACATGGGGCTTCATTATCCTATTTGCTCTACTTTTGTATATGTTTATTTTTCCATAATAAAATTTTTTTTTAATTTTTCTGAACCTGAGATGATGGAAATGTCTGTGCTTCCCATTAAAACAGGTTCAGAGTACAACAGAAACTTTGAGGGAAAAATAGATAATGTTCAAAAGTAAAAAAGATAAAATTCCTCATGATGAAGTCTCTGAAGTCATCTTTAAGTTAATGGTTTAAAAAAATTAAAATTTTGCTAAGTTCAATAAAAAATCAAGTCATTGAGTAAGTACTATTGTCGACACTTGACTTAAAATGTGACCCACTTGGGGAGAGGGAGAGACTAGATCATAATTTTCCAGTAGGGTTTCTAATTGGTTGTTTCTGAAAGCATTATGAGGGATGCTTAGAGATCACAAGGGCTTCTGAGATAAGCACACAGGATTAATTTTCAGACTCTTAAAAGGGTAGCCAACGGTCATTCACTATCTGATTTCTCTTACCTCCTCTTTCTGCATTCACAGCTGATTCCACTGAATCAACACAAACTTCCATGAGAAATCCATTTGCTGCTCCTAAAATACATGGAGAATGGTAAGAGTTCATAAAGGTTCTATCCATCCAGACCAATTTACCACAAAGGGTTTACATTCTGCTGCCAAAATGCAAATGTCCAATAACAGGTAATAGATAAGTACACTAGGGCCCATGAATGCAATAAAATATCACATTAATTATTGAATTGATGCCTATAGACTGAAATAGGTACACAGACAGATGTATAAAAAATTATACTGAGGAAAATGTCTATCGAATGCCAAATTAATCTTCCTAAAACATAGACCTCATCATCACATTCCAGCTGAGATTCTTACAATGCTTCTCAATGCCTGCAGAATATATTTAAACTTCTTTATAAGGAATATAGGTTTAAAAGCAGGACAGACTTCAAATCCATGTCCCACCAACTATTTAGTGTGAGATCCTAGATTAGTTACTTAAGTTTTCTATAAAACAAGGTAGATTTTAGTATGTACCTCAGAGTAGTGAGGATTAAATTAGATAATTCATGTAAAGTATATAGTCTCAAGAATCAAAAAGTATTAGTTATCTGGCCGGGTGTGATGGCTCATGCCTGTAATCCCAGCACTTTGGGAGGCCGAGGTGGGTGGATCACATGAGGTCAGGAATTGGAGATCAGCCTGGCCAACATGGTAAAACCCTGTCTCTACTAAAAATACAAAAATTAGCCAGGCATCGTGGCATGCGCCTGTAATCCCAGCTACTTGGGAGGCTGAGGCATGAGAATCGCTTGAACCCAGGAGGTGGAGGTTGCAGTGAGCCAAGATTGTGCTACTGCACTCCAGCCTGGGTGACAGAGTGATACTCTGTCTCATTCCTTCTTATGCTTCCAGATCTCTCCAGTCCCTACCGCTGGCTCCCCAATGCCTTCTCCTCAACCCAGAGTTCCTTCTGGCTTCATCTCTGAATAAAATTTTTCAAGGAACATTTCCATGATTTTTTCTGTCTCCCAAAGTAGAAAATTTTATGTCCCTCTTTTGAACTCATTTAACTCTTCATGAGTTATGAAACCCCAATTGTTCCTTCTTAAAATATGAATTACTTTCTACCTTTTATTATTTATGCAGATAAATATCTGATCACTTCTACTTGACTTAGAGTTCCTAAGTTTGTTTTTTTTTTTTTTTTTTTTTTTTTGATACAGAGTCTTGCTCTGTCGCCCAGGCTAGAGTGCAGTGGCATGATCTCGGCTCACTGCAACCTCCGCCTCCCAGGCTCAAGCAATTCTTGTGCCTCAGCCTCCTCAGTAGCTGGGACTACAGGTATGTGCCACAACACCTGGTTAATTTTGTATTTTTTGTAGAGATGGGGTTTCGCCATGTTGCCCATGCTGGTCTCAAACTCCTGCACTCAAGCGATCTGCCAGCCTCGGCCTCCCAAAGTGCTGGGATTATAGGCATGAGCCACCACGTCTGGCCTCCTAAGTAAGGTCTTTATGTGAGAAATCTTTATCATCACCCACACCAAGCACAGTATCTACCATGGTACACAATAATCAAATATTTACTAAAAGCTGAATAATTACAACAAAATTAATGTATTTATATTACAAAGTGTGATGTAAACAGAGTTTTGAGTTTTTTTCCGGGAGCACATAATTTAAAAAAATGAACGAAACAATGCACACTTCATGTAATGACACTTACTAGAATGTTCCTCACATACTGGTAATGGTCACTTCTGGTGGGGTGTGATTTGAAATTATTTTTATTTTCTTCTTTTTACTTTTCTTTATTGCTTTATTTTTTCTACCCAATATTGCTTTTATAATTTAAAAAAGCAATTTTTACTTTGAAAAACAAATAAAACAAAAACCTATCATCTGCTAACATCAAACTGCAATTGCCTTACTTATTTAAGACTATCAGTCCCTGTCCGGCGCGGTGGCTCACGCCTGTAATCCCAGTACTTTGGGAGGCCAAGGTGGGCGGATCTGAGGTCAGGATTTTGAGACCAGCCTGGCCAACATGGCGAAACCCCATCTCTACTAAAAGTATATAAATTAGCCGGGCGTGGTGGCGGGCGCCTGTAATCCCAGCTATTCAGGAGGCTGAGGCAGGAGAATTGCTTGAACCTGGGAGGTGGAGGTTGCAGTGAGCTGAGATCAGGCCACTGCACTCCAGCCTGGGCGACAAGAGCCAGACTCCGTCTCAAAAAAAAAAAAAAAAAAAAAATACTATCAGTCCCAAACTGTGAAAGGGTTAAGTGTCAATCTATGCTCTTAACCAACAGCTCTGCATTATTAACTCCATGAGTTTCCTGGTAGCTACCAGACCAGCTGTCAGATCAGTGGCACTGGCCGATGCTGATGCTGCCGGGGGACTATTTGCCTCACACAAGAAAGGACCCTAGGCAGGAGAAGATGGAGAGATGTATAAAAAAGGCTATGACAGAAGGCAGAGCAAGGCAGTTGTCCCAAGCAACAAAGTTATAGGATCAAAGGAGAAGCAGCAGCAGTTCTCAAAGTGTAGTAGTCCAGAGAGCTTTGGGAGCCTCTGAGACTTTTCAGAGTCTGCAGGGCTACAACCGTTTTCTTAATAATTCTAACACTTTATTTGACTTTTTCACTTTAATTCTCTCACAAGTGAGAGGCGTTTTCTTTTTTGAGGCAGAGTCTCACTCTGTCACCCAAGATGGAGTGCATTGGCGCGATCTCGGCTTACTGCAACCTCCGTGAAGAGGCGTTTTCAAGAGGCTACTTGACATGTTAGACTGAATGAAGCAGCGGGCATGAGAATCCAGCTGTCTTCCATTAAGATATACTGAAGAAACTTGCAAAAATATATTTCCACTCTTTTGCTTTTTTTGTTGTTGTTGTTTAGGAATATTTCTTTTTCAAAAAAATATTATGTCAATATGTAATGGGTTTACTATGGTTATTTTCTAATCAATATTTTAAAATTTTGTTTTAATTTTATTTTTATTTTTTTGAGACGGAGTCTCGCTCTGTCGCCCAGGGTGGAGTGCAGTGGCGCGATCTCGGCTTACTGCAACCTCCGCCTCCCGGGTTCAAGTGATTCTCCTGCCTCAGCCTCCCGAGTAACTGGTATTACAGGCGCCTGCCACCATGCCCAGCTAATTTTTGTATTTTTAGTAGAGACGGGGTTTCACCATGCTGGCCAGGCTGGTCTCGAACTCCTGAGCTCAGATGATCTGTCCCCCTCGGCCTCCCAAAAAAAAATTTGTTTTAATTTCTAATACAGTCAAAATAGATAGATGTAATCCACATAAAGAAAAAATCTTTGAGGATTCTTGATAACTTTTAGGAAGGTTCCTCTTCACGGAGGAAGAGGGACTTGCCAAATTCTCTGGCACCTGCCATGCCATGCTACCCTGGCACTCAGGAAGAACTCGGGTCTTGGAGCAGCCACAAGCTCGGCCACTTGGTAGCTGCGTGACTTTGGGGACCAAGCCCCGTCCCCGCCGTGGCAGCTACAGGTAACTGCAGGTTAGGAACTGGGCTCCGCGCTCGACAATTAACTATCCCAGCGGAGTACTGGCTGCTGGTGCGGGCGGTACTGGCATCCTCGTGTGGCGACGGAAAAAACGTGAAGCTGAAGTTAACCAACTTGCACAAGGTCGCAGGGCCGTTATGAGGGGACCCCGGGACTCGAACCTTGGCTCCACAGCTGAGCCATTCTCGCTACCTGCCCCTCGTCACGCCCTCCGTTTCCACACCTTTAACGCCTCAAAGATAGAAGGTGCCGCCCAAGGGGCTGGAAGGAGCTGAGGAAACGACTCCAGAAGAAATCACCACTGACTACGACTCCCGCCGGCCCGCCCCGGGGAGCCTTCGGCCGACCGTCCCCTCCCCCGCCACCTTCCGCACCGGCCTTCCCGGACGGTATCCGCGCTCGTTTTCGCTCAGAGGAGGCCCCCTGCCTTTTCATGCTCCACGCGTTCCTCCCTCGTGCGCCTGCAGTTTCCACTTGGAATTTGGGCTCCGGCGCGCACCAGCTAAGAAGCGCGTCAACAGCTGCGCGCGCCCGTGCGCGCGTCCCCGACACCTACGCCCCAGCAGCCCCCGCGAAAGCGGAGTCGCAACGCAGGCGCACTTCTGTTCGCTCCGGTCCCCAGAGAAGGCGGGGCTCCCGCTGCCCGACCCGGAAGTGCTTCTCTTTTCCTTGGCGGAGGAGGGAGACCACAGAGCCCTGGGTTGTGGAAGAGGTGGCTGTTCCCTGTCATCAGTATGCAGCGATTGCTCTTTCCGCCGTTGAGGGCCTTGAAGGGGAGGCAGTATCTGCCGCTCCTGGCTCCTAGGGCAGCGCCTAGAGCACAGGTACCGCACTGCAGCGGACTCCGAGTCGCGGGAGCGGGGATGGAGTGAAAGGGCCGGGATAAAGATAATGTAGAGCCCCACATCACGTTTCCGGAGCTCCTTACAGTGCACTCACAACGCATAGGTTCAGATCAGAGCCCCTAGGTTCAGATCTGGAACATTGACCTGCTGTGTGGTATTGGCCAAGTTAATTAAACTTTCTGTTCTTCAGTTTCCTTATCTGTAAAATGGGGATAACAATACCTACTTTAAGGTTTGTTATGAGGATTACATTCTTTAATATACATCAGGCCTTTAGCACATGGTAAAAGCTGAGTAATTTTTACCCATATAGTTTATTTTTGCTTAAAAAGTTCCAAGTAGTCAGATGAGGAAGTATTACTGCATCCTACAGAGAAGGAAATTGAGGCTTAAAGTTACTTTTCTAAAGGTGACTCAGTTAATCAGAAATAGGAAACCGAGCATGGATCTTTGGACTCACAGGGATATAGTAAGAAGAGGGCATGCATTTGCTTAACTAGTAATTATTGAGTGGTTATTATATATTAGGAACTGGAAAAAGAAAGATAAATATTACAAGACTCCTGCCCTGGAGGAAGTCAGTTTATTCATTTGCGAAATCCTTATCATGGTCTCATTATATAAAGGAACAGTGTTAGAAACAAAGCTAGCAGAAGGGAGAGAGCAAGACTGACCGGACACTGCCACCCCAAAGCTCATAGTTTAGTGGGAGATACAAACAGATGAACCTGAAGGTAGAGTGATGTGCTGCATAACAACATTTTGGTCAACAACAGGCCACAGATACAGTCATGGTCCCATAAGATTATAATGGAGCTGCCTTTCCAAGTGTACCTTTTTTTTAAAAAAAAATCTTTTTCTCTAAATTTCTTTTTTAGAGACAGCGTTTTACTTTGTCACCCAGGCTGGAGTGCTGTGGCATGATTATAACTCACTGCAGCCTCCAGCTTGGAAATCCTGGCCTCAAGCATCCTCTTACCTCAGTCACTTAAGTAGCTAAGACTACAAGTGTGTGCCACTGTGCCTAATTTT
Source organism: Homo sapiens (assembly GCF_000001405.40). Classification (NCBI taxonomy): domain Eukaryota; kingdom Metazoa; phylum Chordata; class Mammalia; order Primates; family Hominidae; genus Homo; species Homo sapiens. The sequence continues at coordinate 99,730,906 of NC_000010.11, read as the reverse complement.
TGAAAAAATAGAGATAGGGGGTCTCGCTACATTGCCCAGGCTGGTCTCGAACTACTGGCCTCAAGTGATCCTCTCACCTTGGCCTCCCAAAGCCTTGGGATTATAGGCTTGAGCCGTTGCACCTGGCCCCATTTTTAAATCTTTTATACCATATTTTTACTGTAATTTTTCTATGTTTAGATAAACAAATACCATTGTGTTACAGTATTCGGTACATAATATGCCATACAGATTTATAGCCTAAGAGCAATAAGTCATACCATATAGCTCAGGGGTGTAGTAGGCGATACCATCTAGATTTCTGTAAGTACTTTTTTTTTTGAGAGATGGAGTCTCACTTCATCGCCTAGGCTGGAGTGCAGTGGTGAGACCTTGGCTCACTGCAACCTCTGCCTCCCAGGTTCAAGTGATCCTGCCACCTCAGCCTCTCAAATAGCTGGGATTACAAGCATACACCACCATGCCCAGCTAATTTTTGTATTTTTGGTAAAGATGGGGTTTCACCATTTTGGCCAGGCTGGTCTTGAATTCCTGACCCAAGTGATCTCCCTGCCTCTGCCTCCCAAAGTGCTGGGATTACAGGTGTGAATCACTACACCCAGCCTTTAGATTTGTGTAAGTACATTCTATGAGGTTCACACAATGATGAAATTGCTTAAGAATGCATTTCACAGAACATGTGCCCCTGTTGTTAAGTGATGCTTGACTGTACATTACAGTGTATTAAGGGCTTTCCAGTGTGCTGTGGGAGTGACCTATTGCAGACCTTGAAGAGCCTGGGAATACATCCCAGAGGAGGTGACATGTAAGCGGAGATCTGCAGTAGGTATTATTAATCAGGGGAAAGGAAGTGTACAAGCCAGAGAGAAATGTTGAAAGACCTAGAGGTGAAAGAAAATATTCCATATCTGTAAGTAGAGTGAAGTCTGAGGGAAGTATTCAGAGATGAGAAGATTCATGTAGTTGGGGATAGGTTTGAGTGAGGCTAGATTTGAAAACCAATTGGAAAACCAGTTGGAAGGCTGATGCAGTAATCCAGATAAGAGATGATGACTTAACAAGACATGGCTGTGGGGATGCTATGGTACTTCGCGCTAATCAGAATGGGGTTGAGTGTGGGTAGCAGCCATTCCCTGTTTCTCCAGTTGTAATTTGTCTATCTTGATCTTTAGTGTGATTGCATCAGGCGCCCTTTGAGGCCAGGGCAATACAGCACCATCTCTGAAGTAGCTTTGCAATCTGGAAGGGGTACAGTGTCCCTTCCCTCAAAGGCTGCTGAGCGGGTGGTGGGCCGATGGCTCCTGGTCTGCAGTGGAACAGTGGCTGGAGCAGTTATTCTTGGTGGAGTAACTAGGTAAGTAATTTGCTCGTAGTGAGTCAGGTATTTGGATCATCAGTAGAAGCACAGGTTGACTGAGGAGAAAGGATTTTTTTTTTTTTTTTTTTTGAGACAGAGTCTTGCTCTGTTGGCCAGGCTGGAGTGCAGTGGTGTGATCTCGGCTGACTGCAACCTCCGTCTCCTGAGTTCAAGCGATTCTCCTGCCTCAGCCTCCCAAGTAGCTGGGACTAGGCGCGTGCCACCATATCTGGCTAATTTTTTGTATTTTTAGTAGAGACAGGGTTTCACCATGTTGGCCAGGCTGATCCAAACTCCTCACCTCAGGTGATCTGCCCACCTCGGCCTCCCAAAGTGCCAGGATTACAGGCATGAGCCACCATGCCCAGCTGGAGAAAGGAATTTTACAGAGCATCTAGTCTAGCTCCCTCATTGTATAGATGGAGAAACCGAGGCCTTAAAGAAGGAACATGTCTGATGGCTTGCCCTGCCATAGAACAGTTGAGTGTTTTATTAGTAGGAGCCTTCTATAAAGACTGGTTTATGTCTTAACTGGTACCTGTGCATTGTTTATGTATCTTTTCTCTTTCAATCAGAGTCCAAGTTTGTCTCAAAACTTTTTTTACAGTTTGTTTGAATTAAACCCAAAGAAGTTCTGTACATCACAATTGGTTCATGTTTCTTAGGTTTGTTTAAATCTATCAAGAGACTATAGATTTAGACACTCCTCCCTTTCCCCCTCTTCTAGTTGCTGAGGAAACTCTAGTCATTTGTCCTATGGTTATGCACAGTTTAGATTTTGCTGACTGCATAACTGTGTGATATTTAACATGTTCCTTTGTCCCGTCTATTTCCTGTGAATGAGTAGTTGGTTGATCAGATTCAAATTAGGGATGAGGGAGCAAAATACTTCAGTAGGTGAATAGAACATTCGTGAATATCTGGTGTCTATTATAGATGTTAACAGCCATTAATTACCATTGCCTAGATCCATTATTTCATTAGCGTAGCAAAATTATAATATTTTATTAGCTCAACTCTAAAAAGCTTTCCCTCATCATCAGTTTGGATATCCCAAGGTATAGTTTGTATAGGAAAGGCAGGATACATACTTGATTCTTCTTTCCCTTTATTTACCAATTTTCAAAATAATAAATTGGTCCCCCAAATCCTCCAAAGGCAACAAATAAAGGATTTGAATTTTTAAGGCTCATTATGAGATCATAGGTTCAAACACACTCGATAATGTTTCGGTCCGTTGTGATGATGGTGTTAGTGATTTGCTCAGATTGTCCCATCTTTAGTCAGTGGGCATCTCCTGAAATTGGCTCTAGTGACTTTTTGGCAGGGCCCTAATTACCTTTGATAGTTTCCTTACTTTCTAGTATGACAAGATGTTCCGAGCTCATCTTGTGCATTTCTTGCCTCAGGCCTAAAATCAGGCTTTTACTCTAGGAATCCTAATTCCTTTTGGTAAAAAAGTTTCTAGTTTTAATCAAATGTGTCTTCCTCAAATTCTCTTCACATTCCACGTCCCTTATTTCAAAATACCTTATGTGTTATATAGGTTGTTATGAGCAAGTGAAACAAATTTGAATTTTATTGTCTTTAAATTCACCCAAGAATCTAAACCTGTATACATGTAACAGGTCTCTTTTCCCTGGGTAAGGAATGTTGGTTATGCATTTAGAACACATTTCTTTGGCTGTAGGGGTTGATTTTACCTGTTGAGGAATGCTAGTGAAAGGAAGAATTGGGAAAAAAAAAAGAATTGGGGAGAGTTGAATAAAAGGATTGAGAGAATATAAGGGTAAATAAATTTGTACCTGATGGCAGCTGTTTCTGACAAAATTCCAAGCAGTAACAGAGAAATGTCTCAAAAGAGGAAACAAGGAAACAATGTGTTTACCTTTAACAAGGTTAAGTTCAGATCCACTTGTTGCTATAAACCTTTTGTGAGTAATCCAGCCTCACGCATACACCCCAAAATTTCTTTCCTATCCTAAGGTTGACAGAGTCTGGCCTCTCGATGGTAGATTGGCATTTAATAAAGGAGATGAAGCCACCTACAAGCCAAGAGGAATGGGAAGCAGAATTCCAAAGATACCAGCAATTTCCAGAATTTAAAATGTAAGTATTAGAGAAAATTAGGTAAACATCCCAGTAGGCCCATTTGATCTTTTGGACTTAAACCCTTCAGAATGGTTAGATTATTTCATGAACTTCGGTTCAGTTATGTTTAGTCAGCTTGTCTTCTAAGCCCCCAAATCCAAAGTCATCCTGAGGTCGTTGATGAGGAAGAGGGCAGACCTACCAAGTTGCAGGACTGAGAAAGAAAGGTTTTGCATTCCGTAAGAAAATAAAAATCAGAAGGATGTTTCCTCCTCCTCCTTTTTTGACTTTCCATTTCACCCAGCTTGAATCATGATATGACACTGACAGAATTCAAGTTCATCTGGTACATGGAGTACTCACACCGAATGTGGGGTCGCCTTGTAGGCCTTGTGTACATCCTGCCTGCTGCCTACTTTTGGAGAAAGGGCTGGCTCAGCCGTGGCATGAAAGGACGTGTTCTTGCCCTCTGTGGCCTCGTCTGCTTCCAGGTAAGATTTATTCAAGGTTGAGAAACCAGAAATGCTCCCAGGAGCTTCCTAGTTGGCATTGTTTTTTTTTTTTTTTTTTTGAGACGGAGTCTCGCTGTGTCGCCCAGGCTGGAGTGCAGTGGCGCGTGATCTCGGCTCACTGCAAGCTCCGCCTCCCAGGTTCATACCATTCTCCTGCCTCAGCCTCTCGGTAGCTGGGACTGCAGGCACCTGCCACTATGCCTGGCTAATTTTTTGTATTTTTAGTAGAGACGGGGTTTCACCATGTTAGCCAGGATGGTCTCGATCTCCTGACCTCGTGATCTGCCTGCCTTGGCCTCCCAAAGTGCTGGGATTACAGGTGTGAGCCACTGCGCCCGGCCCCTAGTTGGCATTCTTTTTAAGGAAATAATCTCTGAGGCACTTTAATAGAATAGGTAAGAGCATGCATTTTAGTGTCACAGGCCTAGCTTCAAGCCCCAGCTCTGACACTTAGGGTAAATTACCTAACCTCTGAAAGCTATGATTTCTTTACCTGTAAATGGGGATAATAACAGTGCCACCATGTACAGTCGTGTAAATATTAAATGAGATAATCCATATTTAAAGTACTTAGCTTAGTGCCTGGAATCAGTAAAGCACTCAGTAGTATATTTTCATGTGCTGCAAGATGTAGTTTGTTTCCCATCATGGGTGTCTCCCTAGGTTCTTGTCTCTCCTCTTTTTCTAACTTGTCTGCTATAGGAAAGAGGGATCCCTGTGCTAGAATGCCACAGAAGCATACAGGAAAATTCCAAAAGAGAGAAACACTTTGTGGGATGAAGGATTGTAGAATACCCATGTAGCTGAGAGATATTCAGATATAAATGGCAATTAAAATCACGTAAGTTGAGCGCCTCTTAAGGAAAGACTCCCACAGTTAACAGGTTAGTACTGCTAGAATGATGAAAAAAAAAAAGTTGGGTGAAACTGAGCAACAAATTAAAAGAGAAGACACATAGGAGTATTTGGGTCAAGGTTTAGAGATCCTAAAGGAGATTATCAGGGCATCAAAGAAACATCAAAATTTAATCAGGAGGAAGCTAATTGGTTAATTTAACTCAGAAGTGGTAAGAAAATGAGTCAGTTAGAAGGGATTAAGGCCGGGTGCAGTGGCTCACACCTGTAATCCCAACACTTTCGGAAGCCAAGGTGGGGGATCAGGAGTTCCAGACCAGCCTGGCCAACATGGTAAAACCCTGTCTCTACCTAAAATACCAAAATTAGCTGGGCATGCTGGCGTGGGCCTGTAGTCCCAGCTATTTCGGAGGCTGAGGCAGAAGAATTGATTGAACCGGGGAGGCGGAGGTTGCAGCGAGCTGAGAGGTTGCACCACTGCACTCCAGCCTGGGCAACAGAGCAAGACTCTGGCTCAAAAAAAATAAATAAAGAAAGAAGGGATTAAGGAGGGAGATGAGAGAGAAGAAATAGAGGCAGCAGAAACAATAATCAAAGTCTAATAGTAACCAGAGAAAGGCATGTAGAACAAAATGAAAGTTAACATTTTAGAATTAGAAAAACAAGCCAACACTGAAAACACTATTAGGGAGGCAGAAATTAAAGATGTCAGATAAGGTATGGGAGAAGAAAGTGGGCTAGTGAATCAACTGTGTACGTCTTCATCTTTCAATGTCTCTTGCAGATGAAATCAAGGTAATTAGAATATCCAGGGTAATCTTGAAAGGGGAGAGAAATGCCCAAAAAGATTTCCTGAAGAGTATATATTTAGAAGTGGCAGAGTCCACCTCTTTGACCTGATTCTACTGGCAAGTGGGAGTGAAAGGGCTGTCTTATTTCATATGATTGGAACTAACAATTGTTTGGTTAATTGAAAAAGCCAGTTAAAGCAGAGAATCATAGAATATGATACATAACATAAACTTTTAAACTTAAATCTGTACGTTCATTACCAACTTTTACAAAATCAAGGCCTTTTCTTTGACTATGCGTCCCCAGATTGGCATTCAACTGCAGGTTTCTTATATCCCCATAAACTGTGGTTTTGCTTAAAGCGGAGTGGGAACTTAGATATTTGCAAAGCGATCTGCATGCAAAACCTTATTGATTTTTATGATTTTCCCCTGAAACTTTTATAATTGTCTTATTCCAACCTAACTTGACAGTAGATGTTTTTAAGCATTTACCTTTATTAAGTTTCTCCAAAACATTCAATCTAGTTTTATGAGATATATCCATGGACCTTTTTTTTTTTTTAAAGCTCATCAGCTACTGTTAGTGTTAGTGTATTTTATGCATGGCCCAAGACAATTCTTCCAGTGTGGCCCAGGGAAGCCAAAAGATCAGACACTTCTGATCTAAATAGTAGTTAAGTATTAATGGTGATATGTGAAGAACTGTGGATAAATCATGAATCTTGGGACACTGCGTATTGGGGAGGGTATGGAAAGAGGAGGGGTGGGGTAGAGAGTACTCCTGATAGCTCATTTCCTCAGTAAAGTTGAACAGATCAGGCCGGGTGTGGTGGCTTACGCCTGTAATACCAGCACTTTGGTAGGCTGAGGTGGGCGGATCACGAGGTCAAGAGATTGACACCATCTGGCCAACATGGTGAAACCCCATCTCTACTAAAAATACAAAAATTAGCCAGGCGTGGTGATGCGCAACTGTAGTCCCAGCCACTTGGGAGGCTGAGGCAGGAGAATCACTTGAACCTGGGAGGCGGAGATTGCAGTGAGCCAAGATCCCGCCACTGCACTCCAGCCTGGTGACAGAGTGAGACTCTGTCTCAAAAAAACAACAAAAAAAAGAAAGTTGAACAGATCATTTTAACCTTGTTTTGTTTGCTTCATCTCTTGGGGGTTCTAGGGTCTGTTGGGATGGTATATGGTGAAAAGTGGACTAGAAGAAAAATCAGACTCCCATGACATCCCTCGGGTCAGTCAGTACCGCCTTGCTGCCCACCTGGGATCAGCCCTGGTTCTTTATTGTGCCAGCTTGTGGACCTCACTGTCACTGCTACTCCCTCCGCACAAGGTAAGAGTTGTGTGCAAATATCTGTGTTCAAGACCCCGCTTTTGGTTCTTTTGGATATATATCTAGAAGTAGAATTGCTGGATCATATAGGAGTTGAATATTTTGCCAACATTTTCTATTGGCAAAGGTGAAACAAATTGAAAAATAGAGTGGGAGGGAGTACCAACAACAAGAAATATCCCAGTCGCTTTACCTCTGACTCCTAGAAGGGATGGTGGATGGCAAAGTGAGAAAGATCAGAACAGAGGTGTTTCTGAACTTCTGGTGTGGACAAGAGCTATATTGTTCGTTAAATGGGGACCTGCCAGTTAAGTCTAATAGTAAACCTTAGTGATTTTGTCTGAAGTATTTTTCTGTCTGCTGATTAAAGCAAAGTACTAGTTTTTCATTTTATGCTTTGATTTAAAAGCAAGGTATAACATTTTTTTGAGGCCTTCATTAATAATAGAGGTTCCAAGACACCACACCCTTATAGGACATTTTTTTCCCTAGAATTTTTTTTTAAATGAGTCTTGGCCAGGCGCGGTGGCTCACGCCTGTAATCCCAGCACTTTGGGAGGCAGAGGCAGGCAGATCACCTGAGGTTGGGAGTTTGAGACCAGCCTGACCAACCTGGAGAAACCCCATCTCTACTAAAAATATAAAATTAGCCAGCCATGGTGGCACATGCCTGTAATCCCAGCTACTCGAGAGGCTGAGGCAGGAGAATTGCTTGAATCCGGGAGGCAGAGGTTGCAGTGAGCTGAGATGGCACCATTGCAGTCTAGCCTGGGCAACAAGAGCGAAATTCCATCTCCAAAAAAAAAAAAAGAGTCTTATATTAGGTATTGAAATCATGGGTTGACCTGAGTAAGCTGTTCCTGGAGAAAAGTTTGAGATGACAGCAGGACTCTTAAGTCGAATCATCCATTAGGTACTTGGAGCTAGTAGCTAGATCCCAGTAAGGACTGGACGTGTTGTCTTGGCAGTCATTCCCACAGAGAAGCCAAATTGGGTTGAAATATTGATACAGTAGACAACCACTGAATAATTCCACATCTGAAAAATAAGGAATTATTTGAAAGTCTCCTGACTTTCAAAGCCAAACTTCATTTATTTACTTATGTATTTATTTATTTATTTGAGATGGAGTCTTGCTCTGTTGCCCAGGCTGGAGTGCAGTGGTGTGACCTTGGCTCACTGCAACCTCCACCTCCCGGGTTCAAGCAATTCTTCAGCCTCAGCCTCCCGAGTAGCTGGGACTACAGGCGCACACCACCATGCTCGGCTAATTTTCTGTATTTTTAGTAGAGACAGGGTTTCACCATGTTGGCCAGGCTGCTCTTAAACTCCTGACCTCAGGTGATCCACCCGCCTCGGCCTCCCAAAGTTCTGGGATTACAGGTGTGAGCCACCGTGCCCATCAAAGCCAAACTTCTAAAATGAATTCATTTTAATTCAGACTTCTAAAATGAATTCATCTTAATGAATTCATTTTGCCTGCATCTATAGCTGCTGCTTCCTGACAATCTATTCCTTCTTTTCAGTCCCTGTAATTATCTTCCTCACCCAACCCAATACATACACACTCACACATTTACCCACACTTACACATAAACCCACACACTCTTGCTACTGAAATTGTACTCTTAAAGGTTACTGATGACTTTATCAATTGTTTTTCTCTGTTAGTTTAGATTCACCTAATTACAAAAAGGATTTGAGATGCTACCCAATGAGCCATATAGTGCTATGCTGTCCAACACAGTAGCTACTAGCTACATATGGCTATTTAAATTTTAACTAATTAAGGCTGGGCACGGTGGCTCACACCTGTAATCCCAGCACTTTGGGAGGCTGAGGCGGGTGGATCATTTGAGGTCAGGAGTTTGAGACCAGCCTGGCCAACATAGTGAAACCCCCATCTCTACTAAAAGTTAAAAAATTAGCTGGGCAATAGTGGCGCGCACCTGTAATCCCAGCTACTTGGGAGGCTGAGGCAGGAGAATCGCTTGAGCCTGGGAGGTGGAGGTTGCAGTGAGCCAAGATTGTGCCACTGCACTCCAGTCTGGGCGACAAAGTGAGAAAAAAAATTTTTTTAATTAAATAAAATTTATTTACATAAGCTTTTTGTTTATTTAAACTTTATATTTAAATAAAATTAATTTTTTATTTAATTTTCAGTCATACTAGCCACATGTTTCAAGCTCTCCTTAGGTAGATGATAGAACTTTTCCATCACAGAAAGTTCTATTGGACAGTGCTGATATACTGTCCTATAATATGTTAGTAATGATACCTAACTTTTCATATAGTAGAGTGTAAGCCATTTGAGGGTGGCATAGTCACCTGTTTATAAAGTTCTTATTCATATTTGATGATTCACTTATTAGTATTAGAAGTTGGTAATAAGAATAAAAACAAATTTTGATTTTATCAAAAACACTAAATGGAGGAATCTCTAAGCACTTTATGCAATTTTGATTCTGACTATATTTGCTAAACACTAATATCACACACATGAAAATCCAGTCCTGATCTTAAGCTACATCCTTTCAACCGTGATGAAGCATTGTTTCCTGAATAATGGAAATCATTCAGTTTTTGAACAGATGCGTAATGAGTACCTATGTGCCAATCACTAGGCTAAGATTGCTCTAGTAAAAAAGATGGCAGTTCCTGCCTTCACAAAACTTATGGGGTAGAAGGGAAAACAGATAGTAATCTATAATTATAATAAAATACAGTACATGTTGGAACAGAATATCTGCCAGGAGTACTTAACCTAGTCTAGGGGTCAGAGAAGATCTGATCTTAATTTGTCACTTGGGTTTGGCCTTAGAGATCTTTGCTGCCTCTCATTGTTCCTGCAACACAGTTTAACTGAATGATTTTTTTTCATATTTAGTTGCCTGAAACCCACCAACTCCTACAGTTGAGACGATTTGCTCATGGAACAGCAGGTCTGGTGTTCCTTACGGCCCTCTCAGGTAGGACTCAGCTCATCAAAGATGACCTGTTTGCATTGCACTCTAAGCTGGGACCTCTTGCCTAATGCTTTGCCCCTTCCTCCTGCATCTTTATATTTCCTTTTCACATCTGTTTCTCTCATTCCCCCATCTTCACCCTGTTTCCTGTTCCTTTCTCTCTTCCAAAAATTCTACTTTACTGTCAATTGAACAAAAATATTGAACATCTACCTAGATCCAGATGGCCTAGGTTCAAATCCTGGCTTCACTACCTGTGAACTATATGACCTTTGCAAGCTCTGTAACCTCTCTGGGCCTTAGAGACCTTATCTATAAAATGGAGATTACGACAACAGTATGACTGCTAAATGTGAAATGTGTAGCATCGTTGTTGGCATGTAGCAAAGGCTACATAAGTGTTAGCTGTTACTATATATAAACATTGTTATCATCACATTACATCAACATGGGTCAGAGAAAAGGCTTGCCCTCAGAGATGGTTGCAGGTGGAGAGTTCATTGGCACAGAGAGACCAACACAGGATTTTTTCATTCTTTTTTTTGAGACTGAGTCTCACTCTGTTGCCCAGGCTGGAGTGCAGTGGCATGATCTCAGCTCACTGCAACCTCTGCCTCCCTAAATCCAAGCGATTCTCGTGCCTCAGCCTCCCGAGTAGCTAAGACTACAGGTGCACACCACCACGCCCAGCTGATTTTTGTATTTTTAGTAGAGATGGGGTTTCACCATGTTGGCCAGGCTGGCCTCGAACTTCTGACCTCAGGTGATCCACCCGCCTTAGCCTCCCAAAGTGCTGGGATTACAGGCATGAGCTACCATGCCTGGCCGTTTTCATTCTTTAACCCACACTTCCACCACTGCTGCTCTCATTCTAGAACTGCACTATCCAGTAGAGGAGCCTGTAGCCTCATGTGGATATTTAAACTTAAATTAATTAAGGTTAAATAAAATTTAAAATTTAGTTCTTCAGTCACACTAGCAACATTTCAGATGCTCCACAGGCACATGTGGCTAGGGGCTAGTATATTGGTTGGCACAAATATAGAATACTTCCACTCTCACAGAAAGTTCTATTGATAGTACTGCTCTGGACTAAAAATAATATTGATTCAAACCAATGAGCCACTCAACACTTTTATTTTTGGCATAAGAGCATGAATTTTTACTTCATAAGGGACATTTAAAAAAAATATGGAGTGGGTTGGGCATGGTGGCTCACACCTGTAATTCCAGCACTTTGGGATGCTGAGGCAGGTAGATTGCTTGAGCCAGGGAGTTCAAGACCAGCCTGGGCAACATGGTGAAACCTCGTCTCTACAAAAAATACAAAAATTAGCCATGTGTGGTGGTATTCACCTGTAGTCTCAGCTACTCAGGGGGCTGAGGCGGGAGGATTGCTTGAGCCCAGGAGGTCGAGGCTGCAGTGAGCGGAGATTGCGCTGCTGCACTCCAGCCTGGGTGACAGAGCAAGACCCTGACTCAAAAAAAGAAAAAAAGGCCAGGCATGGTGGCTTATGCCTGTAATCCCAGCACTTTGGGAGGCCGAGGCAGGCGGATCACCTGAGGTTGGGAGTTCGAGACCAGCCTGGTCAACGTGGTGAAACCTCGTCTCTACCAAAGGGCGCACCTATAGTCCCAGCTACTCGGGAGGCTGAGGCAGAAGAATTGCATGAACCCTGGAGGCAGAGGTTGCAGTGAGCCGAGATCATGCCACTGCACTCCAGCCTGGGGGACAGAGCCAGACTGCGTCTCAAAAAAAAAAAGAAAGAAAAAAGCGAGTGTGACCCAAACATTTCTGGATTTTCTTTGATAATAAATAATGGATCAGACATCCATTAATTCATGAATACCCTCTTTATTTGTTTATCCAGGATTTAGTTTATAAGTTTTGGGATTTTTCTCACTTCCGTATTCAGTCAACAAACATTTATTGAGCATTTGGGGAAGACAGATAACGCACAATAGAAACATAATGTGCTAGATGATATTTAGTGCCATGAAGAAAAATAAATTAGGGTCAGGAGACAGAAAGTGGGCTAGGATCATCAAGCGAAATCTCTTTGGTAAGGTGACATCTGAGTGGAAGCTGAGGAAATAAGGGAGTCAGTCATGCAGACATCTGTGGGAGAGCATTTCTAAAATAAATCAGTAGCACTCAGTGGCGGGGTGAGGAGGGCATCAAAATCACTAAGGGAATTTTTCTAAGCTAATAAGCCTCTCCCCCTCCCCCCACACCACAGCCTCTACTCCACTTCTCTAGAGGAAGCAGAATCTTGGGGTGGGAGCAGGTAAGGATGCAGAGATTTGAAGTTTCCTTGGTGATTGTGATGTATCTTCTCTGTTGGAGAACTCCTGTTGCAGATATGTCTATTATTCTCTGACTGTTCCCTTAGTTTAACTCTGGGATAACAGACTTTTTCTATATCAGAACTAGTATTTGGTCTCTTCTTCCTCTCATTTTAATAAATACCATTTACCTTGGAATACAGGGGCTTTTGTGGCAGGGCTAGATGCTGGGCTTGTTTATAACTCCTTTCCCAAAATGGGAGAATCCTGGATCCCGGAGGACCTCTTTACCTTCTCCCCCATCCTGAGGAATGTTTTTGAGAATCCCACCATGGTGCAGTTTGATCACCGGATTCTGGTAAGTGTAGTTGGTGGTTACCTGCCAGAGAGCACAGGAGCCTATCATAGGCTTTGGGGTGTCAGTGAAGCACTGATGGCAACACTGAGAGGGTAGAGCAGGAACTATATTTCCTGCTCTCTTTGGAAGAAATTTTAGGACCATTTCTCTAATCTAATGTCTTTGTCCTCATTATTCACCCCTGTCCCCCTACCCCAACCCCAGCCAAATTCTAGCTTTCAGGACGTTGCCAGCTTCTTAAAAGTTCAAATGTGCCTTTTACCACTTGGCAAGTGATAACCTCCCTCAATTCTGCACGTACCTAGAAAGTCATTTCAGCAGAAATGTGGTTGAGTAGAGAAGCGAATGCGGAGACCATAGCTGCTAAGCACGTAGCTCTCGGAGCTAAACCAGAAGCTCAAGGAGCCAGGAGCTTCACCAGTACTTTTCATTCTATTTAAGCGAATATGTTTTGAGGGTCTGCTATGGGCCATTCAAAGATTGGCTTGGAGGCCTGTGTGTGATGAATTGGAGCGGGGAAAGATGAGCAGTAAGGAGACTGTGAGAAGCATAGTGCTGCTGCGTAATGCCAGGGAGAGTGATGGAGATGGGGCCTACATGGTGGGAGTGGGACTTGAGAAGAATGATGCATTTGAGAGAGAATTTAAAGGAATAGAGAGGCTGGGCATGGTGGCTCACACCTATAATCCTAGCACTTTGGGAGGCTGAGGCGAGAGGATTGTTTGAGCAGGAGTTTGAGGCTGCAGTAAGCTGTGATCACGTTACTGCATTCTAGCCTGGGAGACAGAGTGAGAGCCTGTCTCTTAAAAAATTAAATTTAATTTAAAAATAAGAGCACTGGGCGCAATGGCTCATGCCTGTAATCCCAGCACTTTGGGAGGCTAAGGCAAGAGGATCGCTTGAGCCCAAGAGTTCAAGACCAGCCTGGGCAACACAGGGAGACCTCATCTCTACGATAAATAAATAAATAAAGGAAAAGAGTTAATAAGATTGGCTGTCAGGAATAAAGGTGAAGAAAGATCAAGTGAAATCCCAAAGTTTCTTCTACAGCATGCTTGAAACATGACCTACAGGGATGGGACCCTCAGAATGAGTGTGGAGCTAGAGGTGGGAGGATGTCATCAGATGGAGGTATGTTGAGTGTGAGATGAGAGCAGCACGTCCAGAGAGAGGGGGCCAGAGGGCTCAGCTGTCCAACGGGGGCTGGGCTGAGGCATGTTACCTGGTGTGGGCTGAGTCCCCACCTGCGCACAGTATTTTAGCATAAGTAAAGCCTGGTTGAAATTGTCATTGTGGACAGCACTGAAAAGGAAATGAAGTGAAATAAATGTAGAAATATGATAGAAAACATTCTCCCTGATACCGTGGAAGAGGAAGGAGACCATTATTGCCAGTCCTGGACCCTTGTTCTGAAGAGATAGGAATGAAAATGAGACTTTAGGTCTTTTTTAGCACCAGCTGGCAGCACCAGCACTTTCTCCACTCACAGCCCAGGAAAATAATAACCCTCATGTGCTGGGGTCAGCCCTGCTTTAAGAATATAGGATTAGAGATATGGTTAGGGATAAGGATGCAAAGAATTAAAAATGAGGGGGACACCCACATTGGAAGGTGGATGAGATCACTGGGAGTGAGGGTGTATAAAGTACATACAGAATCTTAGGTGGAGCCTGGGTGATACCGACGTTTAAGTGGCAAGCAGAAGAGGATGGTGGAAGAGACAGCCTGTGGAGGAGTGATCAGGCTGGGACTGCAGGGAGGTTCTCTGTGACTGGTACAGGAAAGTACTTCATGGTTGCTGAGTGGTTCTAGAGGAGATACATGTAAGGTGAGTTAGAAACCTGGCACTTCTATCTAATGTGATAGACTCTTTCTTCCCTGCAGGGAATCACTTCAGTCACTGCCATTACAGTGCTCTACTTCCTCTCTCGGAGAATTCCCCTTCCTAGAAGGACCAAGATGGCAGCAGTGACTCTGCTGGCTTTGGCGTATACACAGGTATAAACCACTTCTTTTTGTTCTGACAGTATCCCCAATACAAAGTTAAAAAAGGGGCCGGGCACAGTGGCTCATGGCTGTAATCCCAGCACTTTGGGAGGCCTAGGTGGGCAGATCACTTGAGCCAGGAATTCAAGACTAGCCTGGGCAACATGGCAAAACCCCATCTCTACAAAAAAAATACAAAAATTAGATGGGCATGTTGGTGTGTGCCTGTAGTCCAAACTACTTGGGAGGCTGAGATGGGAGGATCACCTGAGCCAGGGAGGTTGAGGCTGCAGTGAGTCAAGATCGCACCGCTGCACCCCAGCCTAGACAACAGAGTGAGACCCTGTCTGTTTAAAAAAAAAAAAAAAAAAAAGGAAAGGTGACAGACTAGGAGAAAATATTTTCCATATTTATAATAAATTAAAAGATTAATAACCGGAAAATAAGTAAAGGACATCAATACACAATTACCACAAAAACAATGATTAATGGCCAGTAAACATGAAAAGCTGTTCAGCTTCACTTATAATCAGAGAGGAGCAAATTTAAAAAATAAGTACCATTTTGTGCCTATCAAATTGGAAAAAAGTGAAAAAAAAGATAATCAGGTATTGCCATGGGCATAGGAAAATGGATACTTTCAAATATTCCTGGTGAGAGCATGAGTCAGTACAGTTTTTTCCAGAAGGCAATTTGGCAATATCTTTTTTTTTTTTTTTTAGAGATGGAGTCTCACTCTGTCACCCAGGCTGGCAATATCTTTTAAAAGTTAAATGGGTAATTCTTTGGCCCAGCAAATGAACTTATTAGTGTCAGTCCTAGAAACAGTCCAATGCAACAAAGACCTTTTGTATGAGAAAATTCATCATAGAATTGTGATAGTGAAAAATTGGAAACAACCTAAATAGTTAAAAAACTATGGGCCGGGCACAGTGGCTCACGCCTGTAATCCCAGCACTTTGGGAGGCCGAGGTGGGCGGATTACCTGAGGTCAGGAGTTCAAGACCAGCCTGGCCAACATGATGAAACTCTGTCTCTACTAAAAAATACAAAAATTAGCCAGGCGGGGTGGCACACGCCTGTAATCCCAGCTACTTGGGAGGCTGAGGCAGGAGAATTGCTTGAGCCCTGGAAGTGGAGGTTGCAGTGAGCCAAGATCATGCCATTGCACTCCAGCCTGGCAGACAGAGTGAAACTCTGTCTCAAAACAAAACAAAACAAAAAAAACTATGGTATATCCATACTGTGCGATACTGCACAGCAGTTTAATAAGATCTCAATACATAGTGTATATTGCTAAGTGAAAAAAAGCAAGTGACAGAACAATATGTTTTTTAAAAGCACAAAACTATATATTTATTTCTCTATAAACATACTAAAGTACAAGTATGCAGAAACTGGTAACAGTGACTACTCTGGGGAACTGGGATGGATTGAAGAATAAGGGGAATTTTAGGTTTATCAATTTTGTTCGAATTTCTTTCATTGTAAGCATATTTGCTTGTGAAATTAAAAATGTGTGTATTTTAAGTGCTCTGATAGGAGGATGTGGAGGTTTGTGTGTGGTTATCCACGCCTGGCCATTTTCAATGTGAACTTTGGGTTACTGCCTTTCCTATTGCCTTCTTTCCTTTGTGACAGGTGGGCTTGGGCATCAGCACGCTGCTGATGTATGTCCCAACTCCTCTGGCCGCCACTCACCAGTCAGGCTCCTTGGCTTTGCTCACTGGTGCTCTTTGGCTGATGAATGAACTCCGAAGAGTCCCAAAATGATTCTTAGAGGACCAGCCTCCTGGGACTGTGACTGCTTTTGAGAGCTCTTCAGAGATCATAAGAACTTGGGCTTTTCTACGAGATGACCTTGACATACCAAGTGGTTTCCAAATGGTCAACTTACTTAAAAATCTTTTCCTGTTTTGAGATAGTCACTGGATCAAGAATGCATTAAGTGTGGTTACCCTAAATGTTCCCTTTTAAATCTGCTTTTCATGTTGAAAATCAGTTTTAATGTAGAGAAAGAAATGTCTGCCATTTGCTGCTTAACAGGCTTTGTGTCAGGTTTTTCAGTGTTGGCAAGCTCTTGGTTCTACGTGGATGATTTCTACGTGGATGTTCTCCTGAGTCCTTAATTCTGCCTAAATAGAATTTCTTTATGATCTTAACTTCACTTCCATTAGGTGAAGATTGAAAGGATAGGATTGACATACCCAAAGTAGCCAGCTGGTCTTCAGCAAAAAAAAAAAAGCTAATGTCTTCTAATATCCTGATTTTCAGAAATGGGGAAATTGCAGATTTTGACAAGCTTAATGTGTATATGTAGCAAAATGGTTTTTAAGTACTTGGAAAAGGAGGTAATCGCCAAATAGTTCCATTTTTTTTTTTTTTTTTGAGACAGAGTTTCACTCTTGTTGCCCAGGCTGGAGTACAATGGCGTGATCTCAGCTCACTCTGCAACCTCCACTTCCCAGGTTCAAGCGATTCTCATGCCTCAGCCTCCCGAGTAGCTGGGACTACAGGCACAAGTCACCATGCCTGGCTAATTTTGTATTTTTAGTAGAGAAGGGGTTTCACCACATTGGCCGGGCTGGTCTTGAACTCCTGACCTCAGGTAATCCGCCCATCTCGGCTTCCCAAAGTGCTGAGATTACAGGCATGGGCCACCACGCCCAGCTAGTTCCTCTTTTGATAAGGCTGTTAACATTACAAGGTCAGAGAGAGGAATGGAATCGACAGTATAAATTGGTTCCTGAGAGGGTTTCCTAACAGCTTTGTAATAAGAAAAATATGGCCTTGATGGTGTAGTGCATGGACATCTACCCAGATAAACAAATTGTTGACTGCTGAATTAATGTGATTTTGGTCTCTATTGATATTTCATAGGGCCCTGTCTTATTCAACTTTACTTTTAAAATCAGTGATTTGGATGAAGGCATCAGAAACATCTGATTTGAGGATGGAGCAACCCAATATTGCTAATATAATAGATGACAGTGGCAACTGAAAACAGTCCCAGAATGACCCCATCGAGATGAAATTAAACAGATTAGAAATGTAACATACTCATTTAAATTAAATAAGTTGTATAAGTTTGGGCTGAAGAAACCTGGCCTTATATCATTTCATATAAAAAAGACGGGATTTTAGTTGTCCTCAGGTTCAATATGAACCAAGTAGTATTCATGTTGTTATTATATGATAACAGAAAAATTAGTGGTACTTCAGGTTTTATCAGTAGAAGTGTCACAGCCATAGTCAAAATACCCCTAACATACTGCATTTCACTCTGGGTACCAAATTTAAGCAAGATATTGATGGCCACTAAGTGTGTATCCAGAAGAAGAGATCAGAATGATGAGTCCAGAACCCCTGTCACACAGGGAATAGGTGAAGGAACTAGGGATATTTAACTGGAGCAGAGAACATCTGGAGAGAGAGCAAGATTCCTGTCCTTGAGAAGTTGAAGCCGTCTCATGCAGAAGAGGGAATGAGCTTCCATTATGCTGCAGAGCTGGCAGCAATGGATGAAAGTTGCAGGAAGTTAGTTTTAGTTCTGTAGAAGGCAAGAGTAGGGTAGACCAAATCAAATGCTCACTGGGGTCAGGCTGATGGAGACAGTAACACTGGCGAGCAGGTGCCCCAGCTCGGACTATACTGCTGAGTTCTGGTCTGTTGCTGCCACTCTACAGGTCCAGGGTTGTTAGATCTTCTGGGTTTTTGTTTTGCTTTTTGAAATAAGGAAAATAAGCTTATCTTAAGTTTATTTTTCCTTGGATATACCTAGATTCCATACAGTGACAATACAAATACAAAGGAAGAACATCTGGATTTCATCCTTGACCTCATTTACAAAGCAAAAAGAGATGCTGGATTCAGATATAAATGTTTAATTTTGCAGTGTTTAAGTCAGCAAATCTTCTGTTTTTTAAAAATAAGCCACATATCTAGATTTTTCTGTGAAAGCTCTCAATTAAGTGTTGGGAACTAATTTCAAGATTTTAAAAAATGTTATGCAGGCTTAACGTGTCTGAGAGCCATAAATGACCTAACGTTTCCCGTTAGTCTCTGAACTAGGTGATCTCAGTTCTCTTTCAACTCCAGTACTCTGTAAGTTTCTGTGACCTGTAGTGTACCATTCTCAGGTGGTGATATGGTTTGGATGTTTTGTCCCCTCCAAATCTCATGTTCAAAGTGTGACATTCAGTGTTAGAGGTGGGCCTAGTAGGAGGTATTTGGGTCATGGGGGCGGATCCCTTATGTATGACTTTGTGCCATCCCCATAGTAATGAGTGAGTTCTCACTCTGGTTGTTTATGCAAGAGCTGGTTGTTTAAAAGAGCCTGGAACTTCCTCCTCTCTCGCTTGCTCTCTCTCACCATGTGACACACTGGCTCCCCTTCACCTTCTGCCATGATTGTAAGCTTCGTGAGGCCCTCACCAGAAGCAGATGCCAGCGCCATGCTTCCTATACAGTTCTATGCAGAACAGTGAGCCAAATAAACCTCTTTTCTTTCTAAAAATTGTCAGTATTTCCTTATAGCAATGCAAGCCGACTAACACAGGTGATTCTTAGCAAAACAGTTTGTCAATTTTTCATAAATGCTGGACCCTGGCTGGGCTTATGCTATTGCCTAGAAGAGATTCCCAACTTCTCTCTTATTTGAATCTTAGAAAAATCCCAAAGCCCAAGCCTCATCTAAGACCAATTAAGTCACAATCCCTGGAGGAAGTAAAAGGCATATTTTTAAAGTTCCCCAGGTGATTCCAATGTGCAGACAAGTCTAGGGACCACTGGCTTAGGTCCTAATAGCCTAGTTACCTTAGAAAGTTCTGACTAGCTTATTCCCATTCCCTTCTAATTTCCACCCCACCTTATCATTTGATCTGCTATGTTGCTCCTATTAGTATGTTAGTAGGATATGGTCTCTTCTGGATAGAATCCTTCAAAGAAAGGGAACTGTAGTTCCTGAGGCAGGTTCCCACACCATCCTCTCCTGATCCTCAAACCCAGGTTGTCCTTAGTTAGTAACTGAGTCAGCAGAGGGCAGTATGACCCAACCCAAAGAACCATATATTAATGCTTCTACAGTTGCCTCCAAGGAAGTAGCAACTCATGAGTAAGTTAAGGTTTCAGATGTTTTACTTCATTTTTCTTTTATTACAGATGATGAGTACATTTGGAAAAACAACTGGTTGCATTTAGCTATATAACTGTATTATATCTATGAGCTTCTGGTGAATGATTATCTTAGGGTTTTTTTTGTATTTATGTTATTCCCAGCACTCCCAGACACATATCAAATATTGAATTAGTGAATGCATGAATGGAAAATGGATAATTACAGATTGATGTTCCAAATACCTTTTTCCAAAAAAACAAGTCATCACATACCTATAGGATTAAATAGATTTCCCTTAATATTTTCAAAGGTCTCTCTGCACTTACGTCCATTGTTTTTAAAACATGAAGGAAATTAAAACACATGGCTTTCTTAATCAGTCAACCTAGAATTTTTTGTCTGTAACTTAGACTGACAAATACTATCTATTGTAGCAGGGGTAATGACTAGCAACTCCCTAAAGCAATGTTGGTTGCAGAGATCAACACTGATAATCATGATTTTAGGATAACCAGTTTATCTACAGCTACCCTTGTGGTCCTGGGATGAATGGTGGGTTATATATCAGCATATGTAACACATATACCCATGTCCCTGCATAAGGGAGAATGCATCACCTCTCTAACATGCATCACACATTTTCCTCAACACTGACCTAAAATGTTTGTCAGTGAGAATTTTAAGAATTCAAAATTCAACAAAATTATTGTTTAATGTGAAGCAGTAGAAAAAACAGAGTCTTAACAACTCCCCAAAGCAATGTAATACAGGCAGCCTTTGGTTTTTTAAAGTGTAGATCATAATAAAAAGATGTCTTTCACTACACTCCGCAGAGGCCATTGATCAAGGTAGAAATAAAGGGGGAGTACATGGCATGTACTTCAGGACTTCAACTAAAGGGTAATTGTGGAATGAGAATTTCAAATACAACATAGTAACTGAAACACTAGAAACCAAAGTATGTGTCTGGGATCCCTGCTTGCAGAAAAACATTTATGAAGCTAGTAAGGGGCGTCTTCACCAGCAGCAGGCCAAATGCCGGCAAGTGCTCTGTAGGAGGGGCCACTTAGGAAAGTACCAGGGCTGCCTTGGAGTGGAGAAGGAGGAGTGGCCACCAGAGGGTATACAAGTGGTTGCCCTTTAAAAGAAGAGGCTCAGGAGCAGACATGTCTTTATGCTAGCCTGAAGTCATGCATGTGTGGCTATACATAGCCTGTGATTCAGAAGACTTTTCAACTTTGGTTTTCATAAAAATGGCAAGCAATGATGGATTACATTTTAAAAGTGAAAGCCCTTGTAGTATGAGTAATGATTCAGTTTTACTAATAAAAGGATCTCCGTATTGCTCAGATTTTCAGAGAAACAAAATGGTCAACTGGTGTGTTATTCCTTCCTCGTCCCTCTGATAACGGTACTGACAAACTGGAAAATAATGAAATATTAGAGCAAAAGAGAAATGTGTAATAACACAAGAGAAGTCTATTAGGATATAAGGAAGATAAGTAGACAGAGCAGGCTTAAAATGAAGCTTGAACAAGCCATCTGCAGAAACAGAAAACAGGGTAGATGGGACACCCAAACAGGGTGCCACAGCTTTCCAACTTAGATCCAGGTTATGAGAGAATGAGCCAAGAACACAACCTAAAAGTTTTCAATTTGAGGTATATTCACTGTTGCTATTCTATAGTATTAATCAAAATATTATTGACTAATAATCCTGTTATTATTAATCACAACTTTTGGTTTTGAGTCTTAGTTTTTTAACAGCAATATTTTTTGTAACACCAGGAAAATCCTCACAAGTTATTGCCCCAGGGGCTGGAATCTGGAGCTAGCGTCCCTAAGAGACTAATATGGGAGAATTTGAAACATCTGCTATTTCTACCATAATTCTTATTCCCAATCAACATTACACCACATACCACAGCAAAAAGGACAATTAGATACTAGTTTTGAATTAATTTGAAAAGTTTAAAGACAACAAAAAGAAACAGCCCTCTGTTTCTGTAACAGAGTCTGGAAACTGCCCAAGAATTACAACGAAGTTCTTTAATGAGGTAGATGTAATAGGCATTTATACCTTCATCTAGGCTGTAGTCATCTAATGAATTGCTTGGATGTTGTAGTAAAGGAAATTGTATAAAATTGTTTTAAAAAGATGTATAAAATTTAAAAGTACGAAAAGAAATACAGGAACAAGAATAGATGTAGTGAAAACTTGGCACTATTTCTGACAAAGTATTTTTTTCAAAGTTTATTCCTAAATGTGAGCAAAGCAGTCATAAATGAATGTCAGAAGCAGTTGTAAAGATGGGGCATGGTTAGTTGTGGCCAGCTGTTTTATAAAAAATAGATTCTGTTTATACTTGCAGAAAGATTCTGTTAATGAGCATTTCATTGTAGCTGACAAAGTAGTTGGGCTAGGAGGCCAGTCACTATGACTTTGCACATATTACAACTGCTCTAGGCCTCAGTTTTATCACCCATATAAATCAAGGGGGTTGACCAGAAGCTTTAAAACTCTTCTGAAATTTATTATGATTACTATTAGAAACTCTGTTCCCACCAACCTTATCATCAGGGGTTATGGATAAAATAGGAGGCTCTTTTGGGCAGCCTGGTCTTCTAAACCAAAGGACAAAATGCTCTTCCCAAAATCATATGATTTTTCTACCTTGTCTTCTGCCTTTAGTTTCTAATCTTGTCTAGCCTCTTTGTTTGATAGATGAGAACCGAACCAGAGATGGTAAGTGACTGGCCTGGGGTACCAGAGCTAGTAAATGACAAAGCCAGAACTAGAATCCAGGTCTGCTATTCGTTAAGCCTACTGTTCTTTCCCTTAAGTGATACCACTCACTTGTCTTTCATCCCTGACAAAAAACAAAACATAAAACTGTGAGAAGCATCTGTTTAGATGATATCAGTGAGAAGTATAAATTATTTCAAAAATATAAATATGGATGTGATAATAAATGTTAATGCCTAAAAACACTAGCTTAGCAAGTGCATGGCAGACATTTTTCAGCAATCACTGGATATGATCTTGAAGTTAAAGGAATCTCTTAGGATGAGGAGGGGGTGGGGCAGGATACTTTGGAAGACATTTGGAGAATAAATAGAAGATTGGTGGAAAGTGATGAAAATTTCCCAGACCAGAATAGACACTGTGGACTACTAGAGCAGGGAGGGAGAGAGGAGGGCATGGATTAAAGAACTATCTGTTAGGTACTATGCTCACCACCTGGTGATGGGATCTGTACCCCAAACCTCAGCATCACTCAATATACTCATGTAACAAACCTGCACTTGTACCCCCTGAATTTGTTCCTTGGTGTGGGAACAAAAGTTTCCCAGATTAAGGAAATTCAAGGAGCTAAAGTACAGAGAGAAAAAATGGTATAATTTGGCTTAGAGTTAACTGCAACTTAAGTGAATGAAATGCCACATAAATGGGTATTTTACATATTTTTCATTATGTTCTATGACAAGAATTTTGGGGAAAGTGATGGATTGTGCTATCACAAGACTAAAAAGCATCACTACAAGCCACGGACTCCTATTTTGATGTTTGTGACCTGTCTCAGTAATAACAAGAGTCCTAAAACAGTTCAGGTTCATTGTCTCTGTTAACAAGAGTGGTTGGTAAGATTCAAAGGAACCAGTGGAATGTGAATTTTATGACACCATAATTATCTTCATGGGAGAACCACCAAAGTGCAGAAATGCAAATAGAAGAGAAATCTTTAAAAACCAAAGGGTATGGCAAGATAGATTTCTGCTCCTAGAAGCAAATTATTTTATTATAAGGAAGAAATATATTTAAGTAATTGGCTCTCAGCAAGGAGTAAGTGGCTTTTGTTTCTAGCTAATAAGATTTCATTTAAAATCTATTAATTGGGAGAAGAGAATAAACAAAGGAGCCCATACCAATAATAAATATTCAGTTCTTCTGAGGGATATGACAAAATTTTCCTTCAGTACTGTGGAACTCCTGGAGACCTTGCTCATGGTAATAAAGACAAGCCTAGATACCATAATATTAAAGTAATGAACAGGAAATAACACATTAAACACTCCAAGACAAAATAAGAATAAGAAATACATATATATTGAAAAAGTGATAAATGTAGGTATCCTGAGATTCTCAACTATAAAAAGAACAGTAATAGCAATTTGAATAATACACATAAAATCCTTAAGAGTGTCTGCTACATAACAAAGGCATAACAAATAATGGCTATTATTACAGCCAGGATGAAGAATACTAATAAGAGCTTTCAAACTGGACCAACCACTACTTCCGTGTTTCAAGTTCATTTTTAGCACATGAACATGATCACTGTTAGCCAGTGAAGTAGCTTCTGACTAGATCATTGATTAGATCTCACAAAAAACCAAAAATAGTATATGGAAACCAAGATGAGAGCAAAAGAAAACGTTACCTGAGTAGGCAGCTAAAACATATTTTGACATTATTTTTAAGCAGCATTCATAAGGTTCACGGAGCACAGATAATAAAAGAAAAAGCAATGTAGAAGTCTTAAAAACCAAAGGAAATTGCTATGAAAGAAACCCTAATGAAAGGTAAGAGATTTCCAAAGGAAACAGAGGGCAGGTGCAGTAGCTCATGCTTGTAATCCCAGCACTTTGGGAGGCTGAGGTGGGAGGATTGCTTGAGCCCAAGAGTTTGAGACCAGCCTGGACAACACAGACTCCATCTCTAAAAAAATAAAATAAAAAATTAGCTGAGTGTGGTGGCGCACACCTGTAGTCCCAGCTACTCTGGAGTCTGAGTTGGGAGGACTGTTTGAGCCCAGGAGGTTGAGGCTGCGGTGAGCCATGATGTTGCACAACTGCACTCCAGCCTGGGTGACAGCGTGAGGCCCTGTCTCCAAGAAAAAAAAAAAGGAACAGAGTCTTTGCATGCTTAATCCATGTTTATCTAATTTTAAAACAATACAAGACTGGTCATCTTTTTATCTACCAACCAAGGGTCAGTATACTTATTTTTATCTTAGTTTATTTCTAGGATGATCTTAATTTCTTTTTCCCTGTTTTATGAAGCATTTAGTTCCTTTCTGTTCCCAGTATGAAATTTATTTTTGAAGAATTCTACTTTTGTTTTCTTTAAAGCCAGGGACTTTTTCCCCTATTAATCTAATCCCAAAAATCAAAGGTGACGAAAAGAAAAGAAAATGCTCCCAGCCGTGGGAGCATATTCGTGGAAAGGACATTCAAGGCTACATGTAGGAAAGGGTAAAATATAAGAAAGATTCCATGCGGACCCTGATGAAGAGAAATCCTCATGCAATTTAATGGCTAAATGTGGAGGAGAAGCAAAGCTCTGGAAGGGTAGTGGGTGAAGATGTAATTATTATGGCTTTTCCTCTCGCTTCATTAATGGAAGTGCTGTTTGTGACTCAGCAGTCTCTTAATAGAGGTTCTGAAAGTTGCCAGATGGCTTATTAACAGATTGATCTATTCCAAATTTGCTCCCTTTCAGACATTCCAAGAGTCATAAATTGAGAAACTTCTATTTCTCAGAAATAATTAATAAGAACTTTGATTTTATTGCCTTTGCCCACTCTCCTGATTCTGTTCCCCTTTTCTTTAAAAACAACCCAAATACATTCCCCATACTACATACTGATTTTAGCAGTGAAATGAAAGAACTCTCTTTATATCTTCCTGTGTAAGGGCTCACAAAAACAGGCCCAGGGAACAGTGACCTAAAATCAGACAAATCCAGGTTCCCAGTCCCCATCACAGTTTCTCCATCCTACTAACACACTTAAGGCTCAAAAAGCAAAATTAATGCCCAAACAGCCTGTGAGGCACATAAAAATGGAAAAATTTTCTATCCTCATCATACCAGGCATCAGATAAGATACTAAAATCTTCCACAGACCATTCATTTAGAAGGGGTTCTAACCTTTAAAATCATGTACTAACATCATCAACACTACGACAGGGATCTTGGATCACACCCATGATGGCTTCTTTGTCAAGGAAGCAAGGAAGTTATATCATTTTGGTGCCTGGAAATTCCTATGTGGTCGATTGAACTGCAAAGATCTTGGATCCCTGTTAAAGGTTGTGGATCTCCACATAAATGATATCTCTGTTACAGAGAAAGAAGGGGCTGCTGCACTTGCTAGAATGTCTCTGGCTTTGTATCAGATGCTACAAATTTCATTTCAACCAGGCTTCCAGTGTGCCAAATGCCAAACTTCATGCTTTAGCAAGGGAAGAAAAGGTGAGATTCTAGGAACACACCAGACCTCTCAGAAGGAGTCGAAGCCTGCTTCACTTGGACAAAGCTTGGTCCCCCGTATTAGCACCAATCTCCTGTCATTTAGTTCCTCACAGATTAAATTATAGCTTCTCTCAGAGAAGACCTGGGTACGGAGAAGGAATTACGGTAGAAAGTAAAGTAGAAATTCCAAGGGCAAATATCCACAAGGTCAGACATCACAGCATCTGAGGCTATATAAGAAAGTGGAGGAATTCAATGAGCAGCAACTCGGGGGTGCTCAAGCTTCTCTAGTCCTGGTCCAGCCTCACGGCCCCACCTGTACTCCCATCATGGGCACCACCTCTTCAAGCCACAGCAAGTCCAATGGAGCTGAGGCTCGTGTTTGTCGGTGGTGAATTCGGCGTAGCCGCAGAAGGTATAGGAAGATGGCCAGTAGCACCACCAGGATACAGGCAAAGAAGAGATAGTGGTTGTATACAAAGGAGAGACGGAACCAGCTACCATGGGCTTGTCGGACACCTTCCTGCCGAAGATCCCTAGGGAAGAATTAAGAATTTGTAGGTGGAAAAAACTGTTAAGTTTCAAAGGGAGACATTTACTGATTTGAAAGGCCCAGTAGTGTTATCACATTTATTCCATCCACATAAACATTTTATGACACCAGCTCCACAGAGCAGGCAAAGCTGAAGAACATCCCCCGCCCCAGGAGCCCTTCTGTGTCTTCCTTCCCACGGCCCCCAGAAGGGACCTCCAGGCTTACACCCTCCAGAATCTAAGCCAAGATGGGAAGGCCTTTGAAATTGAATCCCAAAAAATGAACAGAAAGGCTAGATTGATCACCTGTAACATAAGTCTTAAAATATGGCTTATAAATACAGTACTAATGAGAATAGGGTATCCCCTGAATCCAATAAAGAAATCAGAGTGTGTGTGTCTAAATCCTTTTTTTAAAGTTGCTATGCAGCCAAGTGCAGTGGCACATGCTTGTAATCAAAGCACTTTGGGAGGCCAGGCCAGGAGAATTGCTTGAAGCCAGGAGTTCAAAACCAGCCTGGTCAACATAACAAGACCCCATCTCTGCAAAAGAAAAATCAAAAAATTAGCTGGGCATGGTGGCGAGCACCTGTATTCCCAGCTACTCAGAAGGCTGAGGCAGGAGAATCACTTGAGCCCAGGAGTTCAAGGTTGCAGTGAGCTATGAACACGGCACTGCCACCACACTCAGCCTGGGCAACAGAGCAAGACCCTGTCTCAAAAAAATAATAAAAAATAAAGGTACTATGTTTCCTTAGGATCTAGGATATATCTAAATAAAGCTGTTACCTGATCAACTGTATTACAGTCAGATAAAAATAAGGCGATATGAAAACCAAGTGTAATGGTCCACCTGGCTAGAACAGAAGCCACTCTTCAGCAGTCCAGATCCAGATCTAGTTTTGTCTGGTTTGACCTGCAGTGTTCTTCTAGAATGCGAATCTCTAAACTGAAAGACTTCATAAAAAATATGGATTTCTGACTTTTCTGGACAGATGAGAACTGGCAAATGCTGGGACAGTGCTTGTGTGTGACAGTAACCAGCCCATTAACTGGGATACATGCTCCAGTTGTGGGCAACCCCCACCTAGCCCACTTCCCTCACTTCTGTCGCCTGCCTGGCTGCTGACGGTATTGAGTTTAGAGGAACAGACATCAAAGATACAAAATTCATCTGAGTTTATCTGAAATAGTCCAGGGTACAGGTACCTAAAAATTGTCCCAAATATCTGACAGTACATAAAAGTAAGGTATCAGGCTACCAGAGTTTGATGAAAGTAGCCCCACTAAAAACATCTCACGTCCTTTATTCTAATTCTGACCCACCAAAAAGCCTTCTAAGTCAATGACACAATGTCTGGAGTGCCTCTGTATGTTATGAAAGATTGCTCTAGACATCCTACCCCTGTTCTTTAGTCAGATGTGTTTTCCAGGGTAACCCAAGAATGACATTTTAGCTTGTCAGTATCTTGGAAGTGATTAGTAAGAGCTCAGTCCTAAAGACTGGTTTGTTGTGAGTAAACAAATAAAGCTGGATTTCTGAAACAGCAAAGCTGAGACTCCAGACCAGTAATGCTCAACCTTCTTTCTGTTCGAGCATGCCTGGTAGTAACAGTGGCTCACATGGAAGTAAAGGAGTTTGTTTTTGTGAGGGGGTAGAGAGGAAGGTCACTTAAGACCTATTCTAAGCTGGTTAAAAAAAAAAAGAAAGAAACCGATTCTGAGGCATCAACTGATATCCTCTGAGCTCAAGATACCAGATTGGTCAGTCTTACTTTACCTGAGTGGTAAGAATCGTGTTTTATATAGAATGGCTCCCAGCGTCCACTGAACCTCTCGGTCATACACCAGCTGGGCTGTCCGCAGGTTTGGGTAGTCATAGGGAAAGTGGAATCCTTCATGTAAGACTTGGTACATCCAAGCCGATTTAAAACACTGATATCTGTGTGACAAAAATAATTAAATTTTAAAAAAAGAGAAAAGAATTCTAATACTTTCCTTTGCAATAAGCCACTCCGTATTCCCACAAGTTATTAAAAGACCTACCTCCTCCCGCTTCACCTTCCTCACCTCTAAGTGGGTTATTTCTAAGTCAGCCTACTTATCTTGTGTTTACCACAAAGGCAATAATGATACTGTGGCTGTGTTTTTCTTTTTCTTTTTTTTAAGAGTCCCTATCTTCAGAGAGCATATTAAAATATCTACAAATGTAATTATAGGATGTTTGGGATTAGCTTCAAAACAACCCAGTTGAAGTAAGAGGGGGATTGTGGATGGGAAAACAGATAAAAACAAGATGGGCCAGGAGCTGATAAATGTTAGTAGGAAAGCAGGGTGACAGGTACACAGGAGTTGATTACACTATTCTAGTTTTGTTTATGTTAAAACAATTTTTGTTTTTTTTTGAGACAGAGTCTCACTCTGTCACCCACGCTGGAGTGCAGTGGCGCGATCTCAGCTCACTACAACCTCCACCTCCTGGGTTCAAGCAATTCTCCCTGCCTCAGCCTCCCGAGTAGCTGGGATTACAGGCACCTGCCACCAAACCCTGCTAATTTTTGTATTTTTAGTGGAGACAGGGTTTCGCCATGTTAGCCAGGCTGGTCTTGAACTCCTGAACTCAGGTGATCCACCCACCTCAGCCTCCCAAAGCACTAGGATTACAGGTGTGAGCCACCATGCCCGGCAATTTTAAACAATTTTTAACTAAAACATTTAAAAATGAAAGGACCAATGAACCATACTGGCAAAATGTTATTTGTTGAAGCTGTGTGATAGTTACATGAGGGTTTATGTTGCTATTCTCTCTACTTTTCTATATGTTTGATATTATCTATAATACAAAGTTAAAAAAAAAATCACTTTTGGCCGGGCCCGGTGGCTCATACCTGTAATCCTAGCACTCTGGGAGGGCGAGGCAGGCGGATCACTTGAGCTCAGGAGTTCAAGACCAGCCTGGCAACATTGCGAAACCCCGTCTCTACAAAAAAATACAAAAATTGGCCAGGCATGGTGGCACGTGCCTATAGTCCCAGCTACTTGGGGGGCTGAGGCAGGAGAATCGCTGGAACCCAGGAGGCGGAGGTTGCAGTGAGCTAAGATCATGCCACTGCACTCCAGCCTGGGCAACAAAGTGAGACTCTGTCTCAAAAAAAAAAAAAAATCACTTTTGTTGTCAAATCACTTGTTGAGAACTCTGTTTGGTAACCACTGATTTCTTCTGGCTTTGCTATAATAGGCTCACTATTTTGGCCCCTATCCCTGAGAAAATCAAGTCTGGAATAATCAAATGCTCCCTCAACATGAAATCTAATCTGCATTATTGCTCACTCTCCATTATAATCTGCCATCTAGATTTTAAGTCCACATCTAAGGAGGAAAGGGAAGTAACTTACTTGAGTCGATGCTCATCTGCATGTGATGAAAAGAGGCCATTCTTGAATCTCTGAGTTAGTACCGACCAAGCCATGCCACAGTAATCCTGGATCAACCACAGAGAAATAGTGCAACATGAATTTGGAGGCAAACTCTCTACCTTCCCCACAGTCACAGCTGTTCCATTTCTAAAGTTACTTGTGGGCTACCAGCTGACAAAGGAAAACAGAAATGGTGTGTTCATTCACTAAACACTGCGTCATACCCCTGTTTATTCCCGTCATCCCATGTCTAGCACCAAGCCAGCTTGATGTGGCTTCTGAGCCTCTTAGGCTTCAGAGGGGCTGAGGTTAGGACTAACAAATAGCAACGTCAAAAGACAAAGATAGTTTCATTCTACTCCACATAGGACTGACATGAGCAGGGAGAGCAGATGGAAGAGGATGGTTAGAAACCTGTCATTGGCCTCCCTCGGTGTTGTAATTCTCACCAAAATAATCATTCCTTTTGGTTTGTATGTCTGCTATGTGCCAGGTGCTGTTCTAGATGCCAGGGAATCATGCAGTAAATAAAACAGACAAAAATTCCTGTCCTCAGGAAGCTTACATTCTAGTGGTAGGAGACAGACAATAAACACACACACACACACACACACACACACACATACACACACACACACACACACGGTACGTTGGATAACATAAATGCTCAGGGAAAAATAAAGCAGGAAAGGGCAACAGGTAATATGGGGAGCGTTGTCATTTTGGATAGAGTGGTCCCAGAAGGTGGCTCTGGGAAGATAACGTTTGAGTCAAAGTTAAAAAGGTAAGGGAAAAAAATCGCTTTTACCTGGAAAAGATAATATGTTAAGCCCAATAACTTGAGCCTTTTGGTGTTCAAGGGAATAGAATTTGAAGAAGTTTTGAGATAAGAGAAAGAGTCAGGCCATGGATAGTTAGGGAGCTCTGGGCTCCAGAAAAACAGGGAGCGTGAAGGTCGTCCTGGAGGCTGGAGAGAAAGGAGCAAATACAAACCAGGTGTCCCACAGTATTTCTTAAGGACTGTCTTTTGGGAACAGAACAGTACAGATACTGCAGATATTATTTTGCTGGAAGCCTTACACTAAGAGAACCCTAGAGAATTGTAAGAAAGAAAGAGAAAGGTAGGCAGGGAAGAAGGAGGGAAGGGAGGGAGGGAGGGAAATATGAGGAGAGGCTGGGTACGGTGACTCACGCCTGTAATCTCAGCACTTTGGGGGGCCAAGGCGGGCAGATCACCTGAGGCCAGGAGTTCCAAACCAGCCTGGCCAACATGGCAAAACCCCATCTCTATTAAAAATAATAAAAATTAGCCAGGCATGGTGGTGGGCATCTGTAATCCCAGCTACTCGGGAGGCTGAGGCAGGAGAATCACTTGAACCCGGAAGGCAGAGGTTGCAGTGAGCTGAGATCATGCCAATGCACTCCAGCCTGGGCTACAGAGCGAGACCCCATCTCAAGAAAAAAAGAAATATGAGGACAGATTCTCCCATTCGTTTCTCTGATGAAAAAGATAGAGACACGCAACAATTCAAAGAGATGGCCCTAAATAAAGCAGAAAATGATAGAAAGCTGGCTAAACTTTCATCTGTCCAGGTACCAATGATTTAAACTTATATGATGCTTAAGTCCTATATATGCTCAGAGTGAATTTTTACTCCTCTATTTTAAATCTAAACAAACTTCCACCATCATTGCTTTTTACAACATCTAATATTCCCAGGGACCCCATACCACTCTGCCTCTTAATACCTCAACCCAAAAGAAAGATGGGCTTGCCCCTCTGGGTGATATCATCTCCAAAAGCACATTACAACAGAAAATAGCTAGCAAGAGGAAAAATACTGGAGGTGACATTTCTTGGGCATAAACATTAAACAAGACTATTGGAAAGTTGGAAGAAAAACCATTAGCCAACACAAAAATTTTATGCCTGGGTAATAATTTGGGTGGTATGACATCCATGGAAAATAAATTTAGTTAATTAGAAGGCAGTACAGCATAGCTAGATCCTTAAGTTCTCTGTCCACTTCCTCATCTGTAAAATGAGTGTTCAAAGGGCTCCTGCAAAGAACAAGTGAGATTCTGTATGCAAAGCCCTTTGCACAGCACCTGGCACAGAGTGAGGCATTCAATAAATGGCTGCTGCCAGCATAAGCCATGTTTATCATTAATAATTTACCTGAGCAGCCTTGGCAAATGTTGGCCCATGGTAGCGGCCACCAATGCGCAACACATCCTCTGTACAATAAAAAAACTCAGAGAAGCCGTAGAACTCGCTGTTGTTGAAGTCAATAGGCGATTGATATATGCCATTGAGTGAGGCCTGGCTGGTGTTGGAGCGAGCCAGCAGGGGGCTCAGCATTGCCCCACAAGACACCCAGTCTCCTCTTCCTCGGACATGTAAGACTTGGCTGTTCCTCTCCACCACATCTGTGAGTCCCACTGGCAGGCAGGGATCCAGAAATGGATTGTCGGGACTCAGACCTGTCTTCTGACCAAGCAATCTGCCACAATGACAAAAACAAACAAACAAACAAACACGTCATGCCTGTATTCAACCTAGTCTAAGAAACACAATGTGCATCAGAAATATCTTACTACTGGTTTTCATGATATCTCTAGAAACGAGGATGGAGTGCAATTTCATCACATAAACATTTAACTTCAGCAAGTTAAATTTAGAAAAAAAAGAGAGGAATATGGTGATCAATTCTGTTCGACATTTTAGTCAACATGTGTATTTCCTAGTCTGTAGTGAAATTGGAGATGTGAATCTGCTGTTCTCCATCTGGTCTTCATTCCCACGTACCTCCTAAAAGTGCAAGGACCTTATCGTGCGGAGTGTGGTTCTAATGTTTAAAAATACAACTGGTAGGGGGTGAGGTGGGAAGGACTGTGGGGAGAGATTCCTGAAGAGCAGACCACGGCAGTGGCCCATGTGCAATGGCTGGCAATGGTGATGGAGCCCATGCCTGCCTCTGAATGAGCAGTGCTGGAACAGAACAGGCACAGCACCAGCTCCAGGAAGCCACCTGCAGAGCCTGGAGCCTCTGAGTGGGGAGAAGACTGGAAAGCTTTGATTCCCACCATGGCCGTAACACAGGTCCAGTTATTTTGAGTTTATACTTGCCTAGCAACCATATTCTCATTCCTCAAAATGATGAGTATGAAGATCTGTCCAAGGACAGAAATTAAGTTGGGGTCCAAGTAACTTTGCCAATTGCAGTTAATTATTCATCAGTTCCTAAACAGACAGATGTTGAAGAGTGGACTTCTTAGAATGAGGATGCGCCCACAGGTGTAAAGACCGAGGGTGAGAATGGAATGAGGCAGTACAACAGAACACTTTACAACAACTGGAACCGACTATTTTAAGGATGTGACACCAACTGTAAGGAAAACTCAGAAAATTGTTATTGAGAAGAGACAATGATCATTTTGCCATCTCAGGAAATAGGTTAATAGACTGGCAGCTACACAAGATATGCCTTTTACTCATCAGTCACCTGATGTAGGTGACTTAGCTACTTGGCAAGAAAATACCAACGCATGGGAAGAAGATGCAGTCTGGCAAGAAGTAGTTTGGAGGCAGCAGAAAACAGCAGACAGAAAAGAAAGGAGTAGAACAAAAGAAGAAAATGGAAAAGGAAGCACAGCAGCTAATGAAGAAGGAAAACCAAAACTGGTGTGAAACTTTCAAAACAAATGATCTTCAAACATCATGGTGCCTGCAGGAGACATCTGAGCACCTCAACCCAAGCAATGTTTGTATAGATTTAGGAGTACTTTCAGAATACAAACACACCACTTGATTTTAATGCATTAGTCAATCATCCAGGGCACCAGGATTCTCCCAAAGCACCTTGAACTCCTAGAGACTAAGACTTACAAAAACAAAATAGACTTATGGGACAATATTTTCTTCAACATGCCGTAAATATAAGATAATTGATTGCTGTGGATAAATTATTACAAACGGGGTATACCAGTACTTCTTCAAGCTAGTGTTCGTAGCTAAATGGTTAAGTATACGTAGGTAAGTGTGTTGTTTGCTTAGTATCAGCCCTGCCCTTTCATCTGTGGTCCTTCTCTCCGTGACTGGGTTTCTCACCCTTCTGGTTACCTAGGCTAGACCCTCAGCACTGCTGGCCATCCTCCCTGCCCTACCTACGCCACCACAATCAATCACCCAATTACTTAAACTGGTTTCATTCCAAAATTTTGTGTAAATTTAATGATGGAAAAGAACTCTGCTTTCTCTTATGCTTTCCTTCAGTGTGCTTAATGATAAAATAAATAATTTTACAGACTTAAAAAACAAAAAAGAAACAAGAAATCCCACCACTGTTTGTACATTAAGGTCTAACTACTTCATCTGGTACTCAAATGAAGAATCTGTGATCTGTCCAATGCTAAAGGAAAAACTGACTATTATGAATTTGATGAGAGACCATTTTAAAAGTTAATTTTAACTATGCTTGCTTTTTATCTTTTAGACATACTACAGAACTGAACTCTCACAAAAGATGCAACTGCACTGTAATTCAACAAACATGTCTTGAACACTTCCATGCAGAAGGAACTGCTAGCAGCTACACTATATATTGTACATTTTAAACTGGCAATTTAATTCATCTCCCTTTTCCCATGATGTTAGGTCTGAATATGGGAAACAGCAAGAGATCACAATAAGCTACTGTACTTTATGAGTCCTAATAACAAAGATCAGAATGCACCCTCACCCAGAGTGGGACTGCTAATAGAGGTCTTTAAGAGATGCTACCCCATTGGCAGGGGTAGTCAGAAAGAAGGAGGAAGCAGGGACTTATCTGTCTTAGGAGGATGTGAGTATTTCTCCCTAATATCTGCAGCCTGACATTATATTTCAGAAACTCAGATCCCATATCAAATGTACCTGTTTTTGTTAAGAGTTTCATTCAGAACAAGGTCTTCGTAGCGCTGCCGGGCAAAGTTGCCTCCGAAACCCAGAAAAGTTGTGACATAAACCCTGTACACGTGTTCAGTGTGTTGCACATCACAGCCCAGGTTGAACTCAGCCAGCAGGATCTTGGCAGCTTCTTCCTATAATACAATACCAAGAGAAAAAGGGAATTTTAGTTTTGGTTGCCTTCTAGAAAGCTATGACATTGCTAATACACGAGGCTTCATTTCTATGACTACTCTTTAAAACATCTTAAGCATTCTTTCATCCTCATAGCATTATTTTAAACAAAGACACAAAATGACAAGACTGCACTAAAAGGTACAAATTAGACACTAAATTAAGAACTAAATATGAAATTAGAAACCCAAAACACTATCTGTAGTTATATAGGAGGTAGAATTACTACAGATATCATTTTCTCACATGTATTTTTCTGTATTTTCCAATTCCCTCAATGGGAATGTGTTATTTTAATAGGAAAACATCCTTTAATAAAAATAAATTTAAGGAACTCTGTGGATCATCATAAGATCTATTCTGTGGCCTTTTCTTTTTCTTTTCTTTTTTTTTTTGAGACAGAGTCTCACTGTGTCACCAGGCTGGAGTGCAGTGGCATGCTCTCGGCTCACTGCAACCTCCGCCTCCCGGGTTCAAGCAATTCTGCTGCCTCAGCCTCCTGAGTAGTTGGGACTACAGGCACGTGCCACCATGCCCAGCTAATTTTTGTATTTTTAGTGGAGACGGGTTTCACCATGTTGGCCAGGATGTTCTCGATCTCTTGACCTCATGATCAGCCCTTCTCAGCCTCCCAAAGTGCTGGGATTACAGGTGTGAGCCACTGTGCCCGGTTCTGTGGCCTTTTCTAACATTATCCAAGAAGCCCTAAGGTTCCTTATGACAGGTTTGGGGATTGGGAAAGTTCAATTTTATTGTACCGCCAATGAAAAGGTGCTATATTTTTTTCTTGAACCTCAAGGGCAGAGGCTGAATTAATCATATTCCTCAGCTCATTCCACATTATCATGGCAAAGCCTCTCTTTTGCTTTATTTATTTATTCTCTTTTATCTTCATACTTAATCTCATTCCATTCTCTGCCATGGGCAACCATTCTAATGTGTTATGTATAATTTTTGTATATATGTATTATTATAAAATGAGGATTCTTGTTTTGAATGTATTTCTTTTTAATTTGTGAAAAATACCATTGTGCCCTGCAATTTCACTCCAAGGTACATACCAAGAGATCCAAAAACTGGGGTGGGCATGGTGGCTCATGCCTATAATCCCAGCACTTTGGGAGGCCAAGGAGGGTGGATCACTTGAGGCCAGGAGTTCGAGACCAGCCTGGCCAACATGGTGAAACTCCGTCTCTACTAAAAATACAAAAATTAGCCAGGCATGGTGGTGGGTGCCTGTAATCCCAGCTACTCAGGAGGCTGAGGCAGGAGAATCGCTTGAACCTGGGAGGCAGAGGTTGCAGTGAGCCGAGATCGTGCCATGGCACTCCAGCCTGAGTGACAAGAGTGAAACCCCATCTCAAAAAAAAAAAAAAACAAAAAAACTTATGTACATAGAAAAATGTGTATATGAATGTTCACAGCAGCACTGTGCATAATAGCCAAAAAGGGAAAACCACTGAAATGTTCATCAGCTGATAAATGGATAAACAAAATACAGCATGGTTGGTCATACAATGGAATGCTGTTTAGCCATTAAAAAGGAATGAAATACCCATACCACGAGATGGCTGAACCTTGAAAACATTTTGCTAAATAAAAGAAGCCAGACATAAAACACCACATATTGTATGATTTCATTTATACAAAATGTCCGGAATAGGCAAATCCACTGGAGAGAGAAAGTAGATGAATAGTTGTCAGGGGTAGGGAGAGGAGAGAATGAGGAGTGACTGCTAATGGGAAATGAGTGGGGAGTGAATATGGGGTTTCTTTTTGGGGCGATGAAATGTTCTGGAATTCAATAGTGGTGGCTGCACAACTTTGTGAATGTACATAACTTTGTGAGTTGTACAAAAAAATATATTAGGCATTCAGGATTATTTAAAATGTTTTAAATGCCATTGTCTCACAGTTTCTTTCATTTTTACCAAGCACTAAGATTCATCTTGAAGAGCCATTATATTGCTATGTGTAGTTACTATTTTTTTTTTTTTTGAGATGGGGTCTCACTCTGTCACCCAGGCTGGAATGCAGTGGTGCGATCTTGGCTCACTGCAACTTCTGCCTCCCAGGTTCAAGCGATTCTCCTGCCTCAGCCTCCTGAGTAGCAGGGTTAGAGGTGCCTGCCCACCCTGCCCAGCTAATTTTTGTATTTTTAGTAGAGACGGGGTTTCACCATGTTGGCCAGACTGGTCCTAAACTCCTGACCTCAGGTGATCCACCCGCCTTGGCTTCCCAAAGTGCTGGGATTACAGGCGTCAGCCACCGTGCCCGGCCTGCTATATGTAAATCTAATTTGTTGCTTGCAAGTATGCATTCCGTACCAGTGTTGCTTTCCATAACCATGTTCCTTTCTAAATCTGCACACACACAAAAGTCATTTCTTTAAGACTTGAAGCCCCAGTCCCGCTTGTCACCTATTTCTTAGTATCAGATCCATGCCTTCGTTTTACCTGTTAAATACATACTAACGAATATAGACTAAAAAGTATCACAACCTAGTTAGTCCCCCACATTTCCAACCCCAGCATGAAATTCTCTGCTGACTGCTAAACTCACATTTCCAACAGTCCTGTGGATATTCTGACATATATGTTCCTTGGGTATCTTAAACTCAATATATCCAAAATTGAAGTCATTAGTTTTACAACTTCTGAACTAGAAGACCAGATAGACGCTCTCATCCAGATCTCTCAGGACAATACTGTTTGCTTAATATCACCCCTGCCCTTACCCCTGTTGCTCTTCTCTCAGTTACTGGGTTCCTCAGTCTTCTGGTTATCTAGGATAGATCCTCAGCACTGCTGGCCATCCTCCCACCCTACTCACACTACCACAATCAATCGCTCAATTACATTGGGTTTTCACTCCAAACTATCCCCTGAAATCTGTCCCCTCCCTTTCATTTCCACTTACTTTGTCTAACTCAGCCCTTTATTACTTCTCACTCAAGGTTCCGTGACCTATATTCTTTCTCCTACTGACACAAAAATTTTTTCACTACAAAAAGATCAGATCACAGTCACACAACTGACATCATCACAAAATTCAGAGCTGAGAAGGACCTTCACAGTTTAATTATTTTATAAATGAAACTGAGGCCCATGTGACTGCCTTACTCAAAAACTTTTGGTGGTTTTCCACTATCTATGGAAATAAAAGCCAGTCCCCTTATGATAGCACTCAATACTGCTCATGATTTAGCTCCATCTTATCTTCCCAGTCTTAACTACTAGCACACCTGAAAATCCTATACTGCAAAAGGCTATTCGTCATTCCCTGGACATTCTGGCCTCTGTGCTGCTTTTTCTGTGCCTTTGTATATAGTGTTCCCTCCATGCAGGTGGCCTTCCCTCAGCCTCCACTCTGCAAAAAAAAAAAAGCCTACTCTCATCCAAGGCCCAGGTAAATACTTTACCTTCCATGAAGCAAGAATGGCTCCCATTCAACTTTGCAAGCTAAGTTGGCTGCCAGTCCCCATATTGCCACAGCTCTCTGTTTAAACCAGATGTTCTCAATGATGGGCAATTTCCACCCTGCCCCACACATCTGGTAATGTCTGGAGACACTTTTGATTGTCACAACTGGAAGGGGGAGGGTTGTTACTGACATCTGGTATAGGCAAGAGATATCATATGATGCATGGGATAACCCCTGATGACAAAGAATTATCTGACCCAAAATGTCAAGAGTGCCAACGATGAGAAGCCCTGGTTTAGATCAAGTTAAGCACTGCTACAGTCTCCCTGATATCACAAGCTGTCTCCACTGACAGATAAATTATAAGTTTTTAGGGACAGTGTAACTCACATGTCTATTCCTTGTACATAATATTGTCTATTCCTTGCACATAATGGGTGTACATAATAGGTGTACATAATGGCTGTACAAAAAGTGTCTGTGTAGGATGAAACTTCTCCCTCAAAATACATTCTTTACATTCTAGTGGGGTAAGGATTATTAGAAGGCCCAGAATGGAATCATCAGTAAGGGGAAAGGGAATAACATTTATTGAACAATAGATATGTATCAAATACTGTGCTCCAGAATGTAAATGCATTATCATGTTTATCCTCAGCAATGGCAGGAGATACCTAGTATAGTTATAATTGTTAAAATGTATTGAACACTTATGCTGGACAGTTTGCTAAATGCTTTACAAACATGGTATTATTTCATCCTCATAACTTTATGAGGTAGATACTATTATTATTCCTTTTTCACACAGGAGGAAGCTGAGGCTCAGAGAGGTAACCTACTCAAGATAACGCAAGCTAGCAAGTATCTGAACAAATATTTAGAGCCAGGTAGGTTGGTCTAAGTCCAAAGACAGTGTCCTTCCTTCTCAAATACTAGCATTCCTAGCAACTAAATTTCCCTAAAAGGTAAAGTACCTGCTTTGCAGGAAGGACAGAGGTTGAGGTAGGAACTTCATAAGCAATTTGGAGAGAGGCTCCTCCCATATCCAGTATCCCTACTGTCCTTCTCCGTCCTGCTGCCAATTCCTGGGTAGCCTCAGCATCTGATTCTGAAATAAATAAGAGAACAAAAAGGCCCTAGTAATTAAAAAATAAAATTAAGTCAAACCCCCAAAACAGCAATCCCTTGAAAATTTGAAAGCAGGCAGGTGCCATGGCTCACACCTGTAATCCCAAAACACTGGGAGGCCAAGGTGGGAGGATTATGTGAGCCGAGGAGTTCAAGACCAGCCTAGGCAACATAGTGAGACACTCTCATAAAAAAAAAAAATTTTTTTTAATTAGCTGGGCATGGTGGTGCACACCTGTAGTCCCAGCTACTCAGGAGGCTGAGGCCAGAGGATCATTTGTGCCCAAGAGTTTGAGGCTGCAGTGAGCTATTATCGCACCACTAAACTCTAGCCTCAGTGACAGAGAACCTGTCTCAAAATAAAAAAAAGAAAGCAAACAAGTATACTAACTGAATCAACTATATATTACACAAAGAATAATTCTTGTGAATTACTTAAACATGACATTTTGACTACGTATCCCTAGTAGGATATAGCCTAAGGACAAAAGAAACAAATATCTTAAGCTACATCGCAGTAGTCTTGTTAACAATATTGTTGGTTTTATTATTTAAAAATTATGAAGGGAGACTGAGGCAGGCAGATCACAAGGTCAGGAGTTCGAGACCAGCCTGACCAACATGGTGAAACCCTGTCTCTACTAAAACACAAAAATTAGCCGGGCATGGTGCTGCACACCTGTAATCCCAACTACTCAGGGGGCTGAGGCAGGAGAATCGCTTGAACCCGACAGGCGGAGGTTGTAGTGAGCCGAGATTGCACCACTGCACTCCAGCCTGGGTGACAGAGCAAGACTGTCTCAAAAAAAAAAAAAAAATTATGAAACATATTGTGGAATAAAACAAATAAATGTTTATGTCAATATCTTTAGGAACAAAGATTCAGCATAACAGAACAAAAAGGATATAGGTATAAAAATCAAATAAATTAATAGCACCCTATAATCTTACATATGAGTCAGAAATATGACTATGAACTCATTTATTTTTCTCTTTCTAAAAAATACATATTTCCTAGCTGTGTTCACTGAAAGGCCTAGAAGCAATGATATCCCAGGAGTAATGACCACCTGTGGTATCTGGACCAATAATCTCTAAATACCATCTTTTACTAAAAGAAACCAGGGCTCTTTTAAAAACAGGCCAATGCCAGGTCTAGGGTAGAAAGTATACAAGATGACCCTGGAATACATTGCTGTACCAGATAGCAAGGGGAATATAAAAGAGTATTGGGGTCATATTAAAAGGATACAGCAGCCAACCTAAAGATGCTCCTTAAAATACTAATAATGTGATGGGCTCTAATGCATCTAATATATTAAAATCCATGAGTTCATAATAATAATTAAAACTTTTTTTTCACTGGTTACCTTTGGAAGTTGCTAGACACCAACTCATTATTCAGAAATGTGATAAATAAAAAGAATCAAGGATTTATTCTGTCTTTCCCATAAGAACTATATGTCAGGGTAACCAAAGAGTTGATCAAGAAAAGTTCATTACATAAAAATTCTAGCTGTTAAATGCAGAAGGAATGACAGAATTAGAAATATCACCATTTTGCAATCTCTAATGAAAAACATGTCCAAGCAATGATCACAATTGGCTATTACCACAATTCCATGAAAGGCAGATAAGGAATTTTAATACTAAGTTAGATCAGGCTGATAATACTTGAACTCTCAATACCTGATCAGTCTGAGCATGACAAAAAGTGAGTCAACCAGACATTACAAAACTCCTGATGTGAGTAGTGGAAAACACACAGCGCCTTCTATGATTTAGTCTTGCAGATGGAATTGAATCTGAGTCTAATCAAACATCTATATCTGACCTCCAGTTTAAAGGACATATGAGGGGATAAGAAACATGTTAAAGAAAACATGTTAACCCCACAAAGATGCAGTCAATCAAATCTAGCATGTGGCAAATTCTTTCTACCAGGTGATCCAATTTTTTCTTGCTTTTAAAGGCAGGGGAGTGAGGTGGTAAGGTTAACAATTATAGATTAAAAGAGACTAAAGAGACATATTAATCAAATGCAATGCATGACCCTTGTTCAGATTCTGATTTGAACAAGCCCACTACGAATAAACATTCTTGAGAAAATCAGGAAAATCTATACCTGGATAGGGTATTAGATACGTATTGTATGATATTAGAAATTGTTAATTCTATTAAATTTAAAAATGGCATTATGGATATATTTTTTGTTCATTTTGAAACCCCTTATCTGTTGTAGATACATACTGACATACATGAAAATAAAAATTACATGTCTGGGGTTTGCTTTTTAAAACATTCAATGAGAAAAAAAAACCTTTAATACATGGGGGGATATGGGGGAGAAATGGCAAAACATTAGTAAATATTGAGCCTGGGTAATGGGTCCATGGAGGTTCATTTTATTATTCTACTTTTGTGAATGTTTGAAACTTTCCATATTAAAAAGTTAAAAAGAAATCAAAGAAAGCAAATTAGGACTGGAAAATGAAGCATCTTATGTTTGAAAAAAGAAAAACAACTCAAAATTTGCATTTACATGCTACTGATAGGTTATAACTTAAATCTTCAGCCCTTAGGTAAACTGTCATAAAAAGACAATATTACTCACCATCCTCGTGGTCGAATCTTCCCAAAACAAAGTTGATTCCAATCCATGCATAAACCCCTAAGTAAGAAACAGAAAAGCCCTCACTTAATTCTCTACTGCTATGCCATGTATACACCTCTCCCTTAGGGCTTCTCTTTCCTCTTTTTCTTGGAAAAAGTAATCATAGTATTTTATTCCATACTCTCAATGTAGGAATTTCAA